>NC_000012.12:106551037-106854067 GCF_000001405.40 Homo sapiens | reverse complement strand
CGTCTCCCTACACCAGCCAATTGTCTCCCCAACAGTGAGCCAAGTGTCAGCTTTCATTTGTTCATCTTACATCTAGTCCACTTGACTTACTTTTATTACCAGCCTGGCTGCTGTAGGCATTTGAGTCTGTGACCCTTAAATAAAAAAGTAAGTAATACATGGGCAGAAACACTGTTTATCTTATATATCTCTGTAATTCCAGGGTCTAGTTCAAAAACATTTGTTGAACAAATGTCTGTTTATTCCGGAAGAATACATTTACTAAACTTATAATCAAATTGGAAGGAAAAAAATGATTATAGGTCAGGTGCGGTGGCTCATGCCTGTAATACCAGCACTTTGGGAGGCCGAGGTGGGCAGATCACAAGGACAGGAGTTCGAGACCATCCTGGCCAATATGGTGAAACCCCATCTCTACTAAAAATACAAAAATTAGCCAGGCATGTTGGCATGTGCCTGTAGTCCCAGCTACTCAGACGGCTGAGGCAGGAGAATCGCTTCAACCTGGGAGGCGGAGGTTGCAGTGAGCCGAGATTGCACCACTGCACTCCAGCCTGGGCGACGGAGTGAGACTCTGTCTCAAAAAAAAAAAAAAAAAAAAAAAAAAAAAAAAAGACTATAAAGCAGAATTGTTGAGGTCAAATTAAAAATATATTATCTGCTAATGGAGGTTAGCTTTGGGCTCAAAGACAGGACTATGAAACTAAATACTGGGTCCAAGAGGGAGCAAAACCAACCATTTTAAATTTAAAAAGTTAACAAAATTCACTTATAAATGCAATTTACCATATTTGCTATGATACTCATCGGTAATGTGATTACATTTAGAAATTATTTAGATATGTAATTATTTATTTAGATTTATATATTTAGATATACACTTAGGTGTGTAATTACAGGAGAAATAAACTTTATTTTCCCCATTTTAAAACTTTTTAAAGGTATACAAAAAAATACATGTTCATTATAGAAAAATTATACAGACAACTAAAAAAATCACCAGTTCTCTTATTACTCAGAGGTAACAATAAATAATATTTTGGTATATATTTTGACAAACTTTTTAAAATGAATAGATACACATATGTGTGATTTTGGATTTATGCATAAGCATGTATAATTACACTTTAAAAAACAGATCATTTCCGATCTCGAATCAATTCAATTCAGCCAATATTTACAGATAACTATGTGCAAGGCACTATGCTAACCACTTAATTCCAAGATGCTAAATCAATCTTTTTTCAAAGTCATTAAAGAAGAAGTAAATTGTCTAAAAGAACAGATGCTAAACAGTCTATGATAATAGTTAATATAATTATTATGAGAGGAAATATGGCAGAAAGAAAAGACAGGACCCAAATTTGGGCTCATGCCCTCAGCAACTGTGTGACATGTTATTGAAAGGCTCTCAGGTGGCAGGTTGCTTCATTTATGAAATCAAAATATAATATTTACCTTAGAGAGTCATTATGAGAATTAAATGAGATTATACATAGAATGTCAGGCACATGATACCTCTCAATTCATAATCACCATTATAATAATGATCAAATTAGGTTACTAACATACCATCTTAATGTGAACTTAAGTGGTTGGATCAATACATCAGAAATGAAGTTTAAGAATAACAATTGACTTAAGATTTTAGGAGGAGTGAACTTTTCCATCTCCAAATTATCTATCTTATAAAACTGGGGTACTTTAAAAAAGTAGAACATAGATCTGCTTAGATGGGATTTTATACTAGCAGACTTACAAAGTAGAAGAAGAAAAAATAAGTAGGAATAACTGAATAATCAAAGTTACTTGTTTGGAAAACTTGCCTTTTGCAGAGTAATCCATATAATTTTAGAAAATATCTTTAATTGTTGGATCTATCTCAGTAGACAATCACTTTATATACACTTATAGAGTAGTATTTATTACACTGTAGTACAGTTATTTTAAAATTTCTCTCTACCACTATCTTAACTTTGTCTCAAGGGTATTATGCATTTTAAAAATTTCTATTCAGTATATTATATAGCTCACATTCAGTAAGTACTGATTGGAAAACGTAGTAAAGAAACCAAAACTCCTATAGCTTTAATTCCAAGAGGAATTAAAAAGAGGAATTAACCCAGACCTGTGCCTCTTATTAAAATAGTAGCCGCTGAATTACTGAACCAATTTTTCATAATGGCTCTATGTCCTGCCCCATTAAGATGAAGGCTGGGTTAAGGATACAGAAGGCAAAGTTTAAATGTGAGTGTGTTTGGTAATGTATCTGTCTTTGCATGTCTCAATGAATTCAGAAGCGTATACAAATGTTTTTGGCTATTAATTTTTATTAACTCCTCAGCCTCTCTAATAGAACAGACAGTAAGCTTTGGAAAGAATGGAATGAGACGACCAGTACTAACACTATCAATTAAATTTCTCAAAGTCCCTCTGAAAGATAAAAGGCAGAGGCAAAGAGAGTTTAACCTACCTCTCTCTTTGCAAAGGACAAAAAGGAATTCAGCAGCAATTTGCTTGACTCCAAGGTCAACATGTGTCATGAGGCGCACCAGCTTATTTCTCACAGTTGAGCCAACTTCAGGTCGATTTGTCACATCCCTCAACGGTGGTAAAACCTGATGGCACAAATGCAAAAACCATCATCAATCGAGGCTACTAGAGTGAGTGAGGATGGTACAATGCAACTGGCCAGTCTTGTAATGTCTACTGGGGTTTGTATTGTAGGAGCAAAAAAAAAAAAAAAAAAAAAGGTTAGCTTCCAAGTAAAACTAAACAACAAAAACCAGACCTCAAGTGATTTCATGCCTCTGATGAGGTTTCATTTGAACAGAAACATCTCTTCACTGTATCATCACACTATCCTCAAGAGAATTTCCGAGTTTTTGTTTATCTCAACACCTGGAATGCCTCAACTTGCCTCTATGAAAATCCATTTTGAAGTTTAGGTCAAGTTTCTCTTTCTTCCATGAAGACTTCCCTAATACCCCGAGTCATACTGATTTTTACCTTCTCTTGAGTCCTCCAACATTTTCAGTATAGGTTGAGTATACCTTATCCAAAATGCTTGGGACCAGAAGTGCTTCGGACTTCTATTTTGGGGGGATTTTGAAATATCTCGTGTTATACATACATCTGGATTAAGCATCCTTAATCCTAGAATCTGAAATCAGAAATGCTCCAAAATGACCATTTCCTTTGAGCATCATGTTGGTGCTCAAAAAGTTGCAGATTTGGGAGCATTCTGGACTTCTACATAGGGACACTCAACCTTTATTTAATTAAAAAAACTGTACTTATGTTTTCTAGCTATTTAATTTTATAATAAAAATGGCTATTAATTTTTTAGTACTTTCTATGCATTAGTTGCTGTAATAGATGATATATATACATTATTTATAATCCTCACAGTAATCCCGCAAAGGAGATAGTAACATCACTCTCATCCCTGTTTTGTATTAGGTTGGTGCAAAAGTAATTGTGGTTTTTGCTTTTAAAAGTAATGGCAAATAGACTGATCCCCAGAGGGCTTATGAAACTTTCTTAGTTTGTCTGTTAGTTTGCTCACTCACTCACCCATTCATCCACCCACATACCTTTCTCCTGGTCCTCCTCCTATCTCATTGGTTGCTTTGTCTCAGCCTCTTTTGCCAATTGTCTTTTCTATTCCTGTTTTGTTAATGTTGGAATATTCAAGGGTTGAGTTTGTAGGCAACTTCATTATTTTTACTCAATTTGTGATCTAATCCAGTTTTATGGCTTTTTATAGTCTCTGCATCCTGATGACTCCCTAAATCAGCAGTCCCCAACCTTTTGGCACCAGGGACTTGGCCAGTTTCATGGAAGATAATTTTGCCACAGACTGGGGCTTGGTGGGTGGTTTCAAGATGAAACTGTTCCACCTCAGATCATCAGGCATTAGATTCTCATAAGGAGCACACAACCTAGATCCCTTGCATGTGCAGTTCGCAATAGTGTTTGTGCTCCTATGAGAATCTAATGCACCAGCTGATACGACAGTAGGCGGCGCTCAGGCAGTAATGCTCGCCTGCTGCTCCCCTCCTGCTGTGCAGCCCAGTTCCTAAAGGCCATGGATCAGGCCCTGGGGTTGGGGACCCCTGCCCTAAATTATATCTCCATTGTTGATTTCTTCCCTGACCTCCAAACTTCTTTCTTTAATCACAGAAATTATAGGATTTTACAAAGAGCTATAGAAACTAATAGATTTAAATAAGGGCAGAAAATATATTAAAATGGACTCACTTTCATTTTTTTAAGATAATTATATCTATGATAGATCTATATAGAGGATATTCAATCTAACACAATATTAAATACACTGCCACCACCTTACTTACACTTACAGACTGATTACAGAGCATATTAAAGTGTCCTGAAGTCATCCTGTTAACTAGGGCTTTTCAGGCTAGTGATTTTAGACTGGAATGTGCATTCCAAACACCTGGGGATCTTGTTAAAATGCAGATTCTGATTCAGTTAAGTCTTGGTGGGACCCATAACTGATTCCTTGTTTCTTTTTTCTAACCTTCTTAAATTTGTATGTGTACCATACAGTATTTTTTTTTGTAGTTTTTTTTTTTAATTTTTAATTTTTGGCCGGGCATGGTAGCTCACACCTGTAATCCCAGCGCTTTGGAAGACCAAGGCAGGAGGATCGCTTGAAACCAGGAGCTCGAGACCAGCCTGGGCAACATAGCGAGACCCTGTCTCTACAAAAAATAGATAAATAAATAAATAAATAAATAAATAAATAAATAAACTATTTAAAAAGAAAAAAATTTTTTTAATTGTTGTGGGTACATAGTAGGTTATATATTTATGGGGTATATGAGATATTTTGATACAGGTATACCATACATAATAATCACATCAGGGTAAATGGGGTATCCACCATTTATGCTTTCTGTTACAAACAATCCAATTACACTCTTTTAGCTGTTTTTAAACTGTACAACAAATTATTGTTGACATCACCCTGTTGTGCTATCAAATACTACATCTTATTCATTCTATTGAAGTACATTTTTGTACCCATTAGCCATCCCCACTCCTCATTCTCCCGCCACTCCCCCATTATCCTTCCCAGCCTCTGGTAACCATCATTCTATAGGTACAATGTTGTACAGCAGATCTCTTGAACTTAATAATTTTACATTATTGAAATTTTATATCTATTGAATAATAACTCCCCATCTTCTCCACAGCCCCTGGTAACCACTATTCTACTCCGTGTTTCTGACCTCCAGGCTTTTATAGACCTCTTAAATTTAGCGGGTCCTAAGCAGGACTCTTGAAGTTCCCACCAAACCTGTTCCTCATCAGTTTTCCATCTCATTAAATGGTAGGTCCATTCTCCCAATTGCTTGGTACAAAAACCTTGGAAATATCCTTGACTCCTCTCTTTAATATCTATCCATCAGCATATTATGTCAGCTCCACCTCTGAAATATACCCACAATCCAACCACTTCTCCCCACCTCCTCCAGTATTACCAAGTCCAAGGTACCAATATTTCTCTGGACTAATACCAAAGCCTTGTAAGTGGTCTCTGCTTCCATGCTGGTCACTCTCTAATTCATTTTCTACATAGTGGCTAGGATGATCCTTTGAAAGTCAGATCATGTCACTCCTCAAAGTTCTCCAGTTCCCATGGCTTCTCATCTCACAGTAAAAGGCAAGGTCCTTACAACTTCCGTACAGGATTCCACATAATCTGGCTTCCTGCTACTTCTCTGACTTCATTTCTACTATTCTCCCTGCCTATGCTGTTACAGACACACAGACCTCCATGGACCTTCTTAAACATGCCAAGTACTTTCCTGCCTCAGGTCTTTTGAATTTGCTTCTCCTTCTGCCCAGAAACTCTTTTTCTAGAAACTTGCATGGCTCTCTCCTTACTTTCTTCAGATGTTTGCCAAAATGTCACTTACAGGAGACATTCCCTGACCACTCCATATCACTAACCTTTAGCCCTCTCTTTTTGCAACACCTCCACCTCCTTACTCTGCCAGAACCTCTCTCATAGCACTTGTCACCACCGGACGTAGTATATAATTAT
Organism: Homo sapiens; assembly: GCF_000001405.40. Classification (NCBI taxonomy): domain Eukaryota; kingdom Metazoa; phylum Chordata; class Mammalia; order Primates; family Hominidae; genus Homo; species Homo sapiens. Next base: position 106,847,988 of record NC_000012.12, on the reverse strand, counting down.
CTGTTTACTTGTCTGCCTCCTTCCACAAGACCAAGTTCCACTGGGGCAGAGATTTCTTTGTTTTGTTTACTGCTTTCTTCCCAGTGTCTAGCATATTACAGGTGTTTAATGAATATTTGCTGGTTGAAGGAAAAATGAATTAATTCAAGAAGCTTTTATTAAGTGCCTTCTATTATATAAGCTAGGCACTGTGCTAAGAAATGAGGGCAGACACGAAGTCAAATAAGAACTTACTGTGCACCTATTATATCCCAGATCCTTTATGTATATATAATTTTACTTGATCCACTCAAATGACTTTCTTCTCTCTCTCTCTTTCTATGTCAAGTATCCACCATGTATCAGGAGATATCAGAGGCAGGGGAGACACAGCTATAAACAAAAATGGAAACTAAATCTCACAAAATTGAGTAACCTATCTAAAGTGTTTATGGAATCCATATTTCAGTCTCTGGCTGGGTAGAACAAAATGCTAGGCACAAAGTAATTGCACAACAAATCCTTACTACTGTGAACCATTATTGAACCATACTTAGTACGTCTCCCATTTCTAGAAGAATGAAACATGTAACAAATGATTTCATGTAGTATATGTCTATAGTACCTCGAGTACAGAATCTATGAACAAAGGTTATCATGTAAAAATTTTGTTAGCTACATTTTTGGTTCCTTAAAACAAATTTTTAACAAAATTTTGTTGTTATTGTTATATACCACTCCCAAACTGCCTATGTATTTCCCCCTAGAATACTACCTCCAACAAATTTTTTCTTTGACAAATCTTGTCCAGTTTCTTTTTCAAATCCCCCAAATACTCATTGCTTCTATAAGCCTCTCCAGAATAATACAACCTGGGTCAGTAATTTCTACCACTTGCTTTCTTTTCTACCTCCCAAACACAGAATATAGACCAATTTCCTTTGGATAGGCATGAGTTGGATTTAACCAGGTATTTACTACAGGGCATAATAATAAATCAAGGTTCCACTTACATTATTATCAGAGTTAATCATCTGTACTTTAAGTTCTGCCTTTCTTGATCATAACAGTCTACAGTGCATCCTCTTCAGAAGGAAAGTTGATTTCTGTATTATGCCTTGTATCTTTAGTTATCTTTTTACCTGTCATGTTTCATCTCCATACCTCTACTGTAATGTTTCTTGAAGACAGACAGTGGGTCACATAATCTTTTATAATGACACAATATGTGGCCCAAGGCCTTCATATTAAGAAGTATTTAACTAATAGGTTTTTTTTTTTTTTTTGGCTGTTCTGTTTAGAGATAGCAAAATCTAAACAGTTTAGGTGTACCTGGATCCCTTGTGGAAAAAAGCGAAAATGCAGAAAAAAAGTATTTTCATTTACTGTGCTTCACCAACTCCTCCTAGTCAAGGGAGAATGTCTTAAAATAATCAAATGTGGAAATGACCTTAATTAATTAATTAATCTTGCCTAAATCATTATTCATGCTTTCTGGGTATTTCTCTTCTTTCAACAGACTGTAAATTCCTCAAAGATGGTCTCTATTTTCTAATCTCTCCTTATCAGCACTACCTATTAGTGTTTCTAGATACAGTAAGGTGCTTACTAAATCTTGACCATAAATACAGAGGGAAAAAATGAATCTGGTTCATTTATTAGGGGAGATTCTATGTAGTGATAAATGAACAATTGGGTGAATGGTGGTACCACGTATTGAAATGTGGAAAGAAGGGGAAGAAATAGGTTGGAGGGATGAAAATCAAGATATTAGTTTGAGGTATGTTAAACTTGAGATACCTACTATACATCCAAGAGGAGGAGATGAGTCGGCAGTTCACTGTATAAGTCTAGAGCTTAGGTGACAGGTCAGGGCTGGAGATATAAATTTGAGAGTCATCAGCATATATGGATGATTTTCAAAACCATGACTCTTGAATGAGATCACCATGGCAGCAGAGATAGAGACAAGATAGTATTGCCTCGGGGCACTCAAACATTTAGGGTTAGGAAAACGAGGAAGATCAACAAAGAGGTTCTCTATTGTGTCCTAGAAACCAAGTGAAGAAAGTATTTCAAGGAGGAGGGAATACTTACATCAAATTCTATTGGAGAATTTAAAAAAAGAGACTTGAGAACTATTAGCTTTGGCAAAGTTGAGTTGGTGACTCTGATAAACACCTTTGCAGTGGGGCGGAAGGCATGTAGCCTACAGAGGGTTTAGGAGTCAAAAACGAGTAAAAAGAATAGAGAGAGTGAGTACAGAGAACTCTTCTGAGGACACTGCATAAAGAGGAGCATAGAAATAGAAAGGCAGCTTGAGAAGTGGGATAAGGGAAGGTGTTTTTGTTTTTAAGATGAAAGATGTGTTTGGGTGCTGATAAATGATCCAATACATTTTTTAAAATGATTAATATAAGAAGAGAGAGAGGGGAAATAAATGCAGGTGCAAAGTTAATGAGAGAGAAAGAGATCCAGGACAAATGCTGGCCACAGAAGTAGCAATGATTCATCCATTGTGACAGATGGGAATACAAGGGATATGGCAGTATAGATGCAGACAGATAGCAGATGCAATGGTGGAAAGATAAAGTTTTTTCTTAATTTCATGATGAAACAGGAAACAAAGTCAAGAAATGAGAGTGAGGAGAGGGCAGTAAGCATTGGAGGTGTGAAGAAAAGCTGTGAAATAGTCATCTTGGAGTTTGCTAAGGAACCGGTTGGGGCTGGTGGTCTTAAATTTAAAGTAGACTCGTCAAAATGGTTGTGTCATTTTCTCTTATCATGTTCAAGTGCTTGGTGGAGACCCAGAGTAGGAAGAAAGCTGGAGTTAGCCAGTTTGTTAGGTTTTGCCAGGTGAGTACGACTGAGGGAGCGCACAAGGTGCTAGTTAGAGATGTATGGAAAGGAGTGATTATAGTAATGAACCTCAGGTGGAATCTAGCCTGGGTAAGGAGAGAAGGCACAAGTGAGTGAAGAACAGTGGGAAAAAATGACAGACTGACAATCCTCCGAGGAAGAAAGAATGTTGGATTGAGGGTACTAAATAAGAGAAGGTGCTTGAAATTGGGATTTTAGAGGAGGCTAGTTTCAGGTATTGTTACAATCAAAGTCTTACACTTGTAGTCTAAGATATAATCTGAAAGTTTAAAAATCACCCTTATTTTTTCTTTTTCAACCCATACTCCAATCTATCAGCAAGTTCTGTGAGCTACTTTTAAGACATATTAAAATATTTAAAACATATCCCCAAGTATGAACTCTAACCACTACCATCCTACTCCAAACATGCAACATCAGTTATCTTTTGGACTTGTCTCCTTGCATCCATTTGTGCTCCACTATGTCAATCTTACAAATAGTAGCCAGGATATCTTTAAGCATAAATAAGGTCACATCACTTCCCCTCTTAAAACACTCCAATATCTTCTCATCTCACTTAGAAGAGAATGGAAAGTCCTACACCGCCTGCTGTATCTGGCTCTTGTTACCTCTCTTTATCTACCACTCTCCCCCTTGCATATTGTGGCCTAGTCACACAGGCCTTCTTGCTTTTCCTTAAGTGTACCAAAGCATCCTCTTGTCTCAGGGATTGTGAACTTGTTCTCTCAGGGACATTCCTTTCCAATCATTCTCAGAGATACTCTTACTTTTCCACCTTTCTGTTCAAATGTCATCTCAGAGAGGTCCTCCCTTGTTCCCTTAAAGTGTCTCCTCTCTCTTAAAATGCTTTACCTTTCTTCAGAATGCTTATCACCACCTGCCATTATATTTTAAATTTGTTTACTTTTTGTCCCCCTCTCTACAAAATAAACTTCCCAAGGGGAAAGACTTCATCTGTTGTTCAATGCCCAAAACACAGCACACACAGCAGATCTCGGTAGCATTTGCTGAATGAATGACTCAAAAAATACACACTTCTTGATTAAGAAGATTTCAAAGATTAAGACTGAGTTTCTGATTATCTGAAACAAAATCATTGTGAGAAAATTCAATTAATTCTATGTTTAAAATGCACATAAAAAGACTAACTTTGCAATGTAATATGCATTAAGCAGTTACCTGATCTTTGAGAAATTTTCGGATGTTTCGATGGGCTCGGGAACATTCGGTTAATAAGCTGAGAACTGGAGTTAGACCCTCTCTATAGCTGCTTCCCTATAAAAAAAAAAACCATATGTTTTTGAAATACGTTAGTTTTGTTTCTAACAGTATTACTTTCCTTCATGTAACTGAGGATATCAATTTGTTTTTGAGGTGGGGACTTTTTTTTTTTTTTTTTTTTTGGGAGAGGGAGTCTCCCTCTGTTGCCCAGGCTGGAGTGCAGCGGCGCAATCTCGGCTCACTGCAAGCTCCACCTCCCGGGTTCACGCCATTCTCCTGCCTCAGCCTCCTGAGTAGCTGGGACTACAGGTGCCCACCACCACACCTGGCTAATTTTTTGTACTTTTAGTAGAGATGGGGTTTCACCATGTTAGCCAGGATGGTCTCGATCTCCTGACCTCGTGATCCACGAGGTGGGGACATCTTATGTTACCTAAGCTTACAAACTATTTTAAAAATTCTTTTCCTAAAAACATTTCCATTTTATCATCTTCATGTTTACTATTGCCTTTTTTGGTCCTTCCTGGATGTTCCTACATTTTCTAGGATTCCCATGGGCTTAGCCAAAGGGCTTGAATGAAGCAAAATTTTGGTGACTGGACTATGCTACCTTGCTGCCTTTTAATACAGATACCTGACAAAGTGAGTGATAGACCAGAGAATGTATAAACAGCTCACAACAAATGGGAAATTGACAAGGTCTTCTTTTTTCTTTTTTTTGGGAAGATGTCTTTTAGGTATTATGAAGAGTATTTAGCAAGTTTTTGGGGGGATATTTTTTATTTCTAGGACTCACAAAGTAACAAAATGGAACAGTAATTACTTTTTCCTTTGTTTTCAAGCACTAGTCATAATTTTGGTGTTGCATGAACATAATTTTCAGCATTAAACAAATAAATTAACATGGCTTCAGCAATTTATCATATATTGTAATAAACTGCTTTCCAAAGTAAAAACAATTATGCAGCACATCAGTCAGAAAAAAAGCTTAGATTTAAAAATCATGCTCTGTGATGTGTGTCTGTATGTATGGCACATTTACATTCTTTGGAAGCATCTTCCCAGGGCTTCCATTTTATCAGCCTTACCTTGTCTATTCTCTTCTCCATAAAATTCAGTAAAACATGAATGGCCTCCATATTCATACCATTGTATACCATGGTATTGTTTTTCAAAACTGTTTCTTTCTCAGCTGTTTTATTACTGGGCAGTTCATCTAGAGTCGTTGCCTCTTGGGCTGTTTCTTCATGGGTTAACGGACAAATGAGAACATCCAAACAAGAGACTGGAACATTGCTTAAAAGGTTGACTGCATTGCTGAAAAGCAATTAAAAAAATACAATATTTTAACTTGATTGAATAGTCCTTTAAAATGCAAACATAATAAGAAGTTCAAAAGTGACTTTTAAGAGTCAATTAAAATATTTCTTTTCCAAAAATGAGCCATTATGGACACTTGACACTTACTATGAGATAGGAAATAAAAAACTGTTTCAAATATATGTTGTACAAATTAGAAAAAAAACAAATGTTGAATAGACAGACACAATCACATGATGTCATGTCACTTTCTGAAATGCTAAAATAGGAATTAGTGAGCTTTAATGCCAGCTCCTTAATTTTATTATGGCAACAATGCTAGCTTTGCATTTCTTCCCTGGGATTTTAAATCCTTTTGTGGATCCACTGGTGTTTTATTATTCCTTAGATTACAACATAAAGCATTTGAGAAACACTGAAAATAAGCAGCTTATCAGTAGCAACAACAATAAACCAAATATGGTAGAATTAAGTTTTATTCTTTCTAAATGTAGAAAATACAATTTAAAAATCATCCCAATTTTTGTAAGACATATGCAGAAAAAGGGAAATGGAGTTTTTTCTCTCTTTCTTATCATCAGGTCTCTAAATGAAGTTAATATAGCTATTTCTAATCTCTAGCCCCTAGGCCTTTCAGCTGTGTATTAATGAATACACGAGACTGGGATGCACACCAGTAGGGGGAACCCAAACCTTATATTTTTGGCATTCCCTAAAAACCTTGTTCTGTTGTTCAGTGTACAAAAGATTAAAATGACACTAACAATTTCAAAATTAGATATGTTCTCAACAAACATATTTTCTTCCATGAGTTATTTCATATTCTTTCATCTAAAAGGAGTGGTGGTGTTCTGGGCTAACTGGCTCTTATATGCCTGTGCCTTAGAACTTCCTGATCAACAATGGAAAGACAGGCATTTTATTTCCTAGTGACAGAGAAGCAGATCTAAAAATAACCACATCCTGACTAAAAATAAACTCCTGCAAATGCAATTTAAAAGTCCAACCACTTGGAAACCAAATTTAGAGCTTAATCTATCTGATACTATCTTAATTTAGACCAGTAGCTCCTTCTACTTTAGATTATAGTGACACCCTAAAAAATAAAGCAAAACAAACAGAAAAACAAAGAAATAGAAATACAAAAATTTTTCTTTCCTCTACCCTGAATTGTGCTCCACTTCCCCAAGAATGAATATTTCCTTTCTTTTTATATTATGGAAAAATAAAAACCAGTAACAAGTCAGTTGAAAAGTTAGACAATGCAGAACAGAAAGTGGTAATGTATAGGGCATCAAAAAAATGAATCAAGAGCAAAAAATAATTTAACAAGTCATATGAATAAATGGTTCCTAGTAAAATACAAGTTATTTGATTGCCCTCACTAAAACCAAATACTGCTGCTGCTACTGGTGTTATGCACAAAATCTCTATATTTGGTTATTGGTAAATAATCAAAGGTGGCTGAAATATAAGCTTTCCCCAAAACTTTCTCTTAAAACTTTTTTTTGCAAATATCTGTAGTTTATCTTATCTATAGTTCAGAACGTTTTGCTTCTATCTTAAGCACTTAGAAATTGTTACTAAATAATACCATAGATTCATTGAGAATAAAAGGGGGGAAATAACTCTACCTTAGAATTATTTTCAAAAACTGTATACAAGCCATTCTGAAATGTTATGATTTTTTCCCTAAACATCAGGCAATAGGCTCTTAAATACACTGACCGTATGATGCTCTGAACCTACCAGAGACCAGATTGAAAAGTTTCAGATGGGTCATTTCATTACAAAGGAATGTTTCCCCTTTAAATTCGTTTAAAGTAAGCAGTTTCCAGGAATTCAGTAAATTTAAGAAACCAAATGTAGAGTTTGATTCAACAAATATTTGGAGGTTTTAGGCTTTTCAAGAAAAGTTCCCATTTTCTTATTTCTTATTTAACAACTTGGTTTCCAAACAACTACAAAATTAATTTTTCTGGCTCACTGTGTTTGAGCTATTCTTTTTAAGTAAGGAAGGCCAGCTTTTTGAGCTCTGTCACTTCTCTGACAGTTTTATTTGTGGTAGAAGAGTGTATGAAATTCTCCAGCTACCAGGAAGTCAGTGACTATGCACAGATCTGCACAATAGTGTTTGCATTCCTACTCCAGGGGGTAGAAATACTGTGTATATTACACTCCCCTTTTCAGCTTCCTAGAGATCATTAATCACTGAGACATGACATCCTCCCGCTCATGCTCCCAGCCCCCTCCTGATATGCAGATTCAAAAGCAAGACCTATTTAGAACTCCTTAATGCCCTGATTAAAGCCTTGTCAGTTGTGGGAGAGGAAAGGCAATCTAAAATCTAGTCCTCTGTGAATCGCTGGACAAAAACATGAAATTACACTGAAGAACATGATATGGCACACGTAGATCCATAGCTGTTAATAAATCTTGCTGGTCAAATGTATCTTCTTTATATTTGGGGCTTACATATCTTTTTTCAAGGCTGTAAAGTCTATGTAAACGAATCTTAAAATCTCCAAAAGATTTTCCTTTTGCCCTCTTTATTCATTAAAAAAAATTGTTTTTGAGATAGAGTCTCTTGCCCAGGCCAGAGTGCAGTGGCATGATCATGGCTCACTGCAGCCTTGACTTCCCGGGCTCAAATGATCCTCCCACCTCAGCCTCCTGAGTAGCTGGGACCACACGCACACGCCACCATGCCCCTTGCTAATTTTTTAATTTTTAGTAGAGACAAGGTCTCACTATGCTCCCCAAGCTGGTCTCAAACTCCTGGGCTCAAGCAATCTTCCTGCCATGGCTTCCCAAAGTGCTGGAATTACAGGCGTGAGCCACTGCACCCAAACCCCTCAAAATCTTTGAAAAGTATTTTTTTCTTTTGTGGTAAGAGCACTTAACGTAAGACCTATTCCCTTAGCAACATTCTAAGTATACAATACAGTATTGCTAACTATAGGCTCTGCTACACAGGAGATCTCCAGACCTTATCTTGCATAACTAAAACTTTGTATCTTTTGACTGACACCTCCCCATTTACTCCTCTCCCCAGCCCCAGATAACCACTATTCTACTATCTAGTTCTACAAGCTTCACTATTTTAAACTCCTCATAAAAGTGGGATCATGGAGTATTTGTCCTGTGCCTGGTTTATTTCACTTATCATAATGCCCTCCAGATCCACCCATGTTGTTCCAAGTGATGGGATTTCCTTCTTTTTTTAAAGGCTGAATAATACTCTACTGATTCTGCTCTGTGTGTGTATACATATATACGCACATTTTATCCATTCATCTGACTGATAGACATTTAGGTTGTTTCAGTATCTTGGCTATTGTGAACAGTGCTGTAAGGACCATGTGATGAAAATGCAGATATCTCTGTGAAACAGTGATTTTATTTCCTTTGGATATACTCCCAGAAGCGTGATTGCTGAATCAAATAATTCTATTTTTCATCTTTTGAGAAAACTCCACACTGTTTTCCATAATGGCTATACTAATTTACATTCCCACCAACAGTGTAAAAAGATTTCCTTTTCTTCACATCCTTACCATCGATTATCTTTTGTTTTTTGAGGTTTTTTTTTTTTTTTTGGAATAACCCTTCTAACAAGGTATGAGGTGATACTGAGGTTTTGATTTGCATTAGTGATGTTAAGTACCTTTTCATGTACCTGTTGTCTGTTTGCATGTCTTCGTTGGTTAAATGTCTATTCAGGTTCTTTGCCCATTTTAAAATCAGGTTTTTTTTTTGGCTATTAAGAGTTTTTTAATAGGTTTTAGATATTAACCTCTTGAGGTATATGGATTGAAAATACTTTCTCCCATTTCTTAAGCTGCCTTTTCATTTTGTTGACTGTTTCCTTTGCTGTGCAGAAGTTTTCTAGTTTCATGTAATTCTACTTGTCTATATTTGCTTTTGTTGCCTGTGCTTTTGGTGTCATACCCAAGAAATCATTGCCAAGACCAATGTCCGTAAGCTTTTTCTCTCACGTCTCCTGCTCCTGCTCCTCCTGCTCCTCCTCCCTCTTTTTTTTTTTTTTTTGACAGGGTATTGTTCTGTTGCTTAGGTTAGAATGCAGTAGTGTGATCACAGCTCATTACAGCCTCAACCTCTCAAGTTCAAGTGATCCTCCCACCTGAGCCTCCGGAGTAGCTGAGACTACAGGTGTGTCACCATGCCTGGCTAATTTAAGTGTTCTTCTAAGAGTTTTATTGTTTTAGGTTTTACATTTAAGTCTTTAATCTATTTTGAGTTGATTTTTGTGTATGATGTGAGATAAGGATTCAATTTCATTCTTTTAGTGAAATCCAGTCTTCCCAAAACCATTTATTGAAGAGACTATTTTTTTCCCCATTGTGTATTCTTGGCACCCTTGTTGAAGATAACTATATATGCATGAGTTTATTTCTGGACTCTTTCTTTTGTTCTTTTGGTCAATATGTCTGTTTTATGCCAATACAAAAACTGTTTTGATGACAAAGTTTATGGCCTTGATTATGGTAATACCTCTCAGGTATTTACTTAGAATTCCAAACTCATCAAGTTGTATACATTAACTATGTACAGCTTTTTGTGTATCAACCAAACCACAATAAAACCATCTGAAATGATTCAGGCAACGAAAAGAACGATCCCCGACCAGGTGTGGTGCTCACGCCTGTAATCTCAGCACTTCAGGAGGCTGAGGTGGGTGGATCACCTGAGGTCAGGAGTTCGAGATCAGCCTGGCCAACGTGCTAAAACCCCATCTCCACTAAAAATACAAAAATTAGCCAGGCATGCTGGCGCGTGCCTGTAATCCCAGCTACTTGGGAGGATGAAGCAGGAGAACTGGTTGCACCCAGGAGGCAGAGGATGCAGTGAGCCAAGACTGCACTACTGCACTCCAGCCTGGGCAACACAGTGAGACTCTCTGTCAAAAAAAAAAAAAAAAAAAACAAAAGATTTTCAGATGTAAATAAATAATTTTATTTAATCTAACTCAATCCAGTAATTATTTATTATTTACTTATGCCAGGCACTATTTCAGGCAGGTATCACAAAGAAAATAAAGAAAAAATTCCTGTCCTCACAGAACTTATTCTCTGGCATGGACAGAAAAGTAAATAAAATTTTTTTAAAGTTAATTAAATAATATGCTAGAAGGTGATAAGTGCTCTGGGGGAATAACCCATGAGGGTAAACTAGTATGTATGGGTTATACTTTTTTTTTTTTGAGAAACAGTCTTGCTCTGTCGCCCAGGCTGGAGTACAATGGCGCCATCTTGGCTCGCTGCAACCTCCGCCTCCTGGGTTCAAGCGATTCTCCTGCCTCAGCCTCCTGAGTAGCTGGAATTACAGATGTGTGCCACCATGCCTGGCTAATTTTTGTATTTTTAGTAGAGACAGGGTTTCACCATGTTGGTCAGGCTGGTCTCGAACTCCTGACCTCGTGATCCGCCTGCCTCAGCCTCCCAAAGTGCTGGGATTACAGGTGTGCGCCACTGCGCCCGGCCGGGTTATACGTTTAAATAGGATGGTTAGGGAAGGCTTCACTGAGATGAGTTATTTAAATGACTTGAAGGGATTAGAGAGAGAGTAATGTGACTGAGGAAGGAGCATCAGAGGAAGAAGAGTAAAAGCAAAGGCTCTGGGGCAGGAGCAGTGGCATGTCTGAAGAACAGTAAAGAAGTTGGTGTGGCTGACCCACCATACATAAGAGGAGTAGGATATGACATCAGGTAGATAACAGAGAAGACCAGATTGGTCTTGTAGGATATTATAACTTTAGATCTTATTCTGATGGAAGTGGAAAATCATTCATTGCAGGGTTTTGCATGATGAGATCCTCTTAACTTAGGTTAAAAAGGTCACTCTGGCTACTGCATTGAGGACAGTCAGTAGGCCATCAAAGGTAAGGGAGAATAGTTAGAATGTTACTGCAATAATTCAGGTGAGTGCACAAGGTATTAACAGTGAAGTGGTTCATTCGATACATAATGAAGGATTTCCTGACAGGCTAGTGTGGAGTGTGAGAGAATCTAAAGTTCTAGCCTTAGCAAGTGAAAAGCTGGAGGTGCCATAAACTGAAAATGGGAAACACTGCAAGAGAAGAAGCTTTTTAGGGGGATGATAGAGAGTTTAATTTTGGATGTTAAGTTTGGGGTGTCTAGTTGACATCCAAGTGGAGATGTTAATAGGAAATTAGCTAGGTGAGTCTGGAGTTCAGGGAGGGAGATCAGGGTTACAGAGGGATATAAACTGAAAAGTCATCAGCATGTAGATGGTATTTAAAGAGAAGACTGTATTAGATCAGTAAAGGAGTGAGTGTGGATTAAAAGACTATGAAAGCTGAGACTGGAGCACTCGATCAATCATTCAGAGGCTGAGGAGTAGACAAAGAATTTACAATTAGTTAGGTAAGAGGAAAACCAAGACAGCATGGTATCTAAGAATGGAGTGATGATCTGTGTCAAATGATGCTGACAGATCAAGTAAGATGACTGAAAAATGTCCACTGGATTTAGCAACACAGAAGTCACTAGTGACCCTAACAATAGCCATTCTAAGTGGAGTAGTGAGGCTAAAAGCCTCGGTGAACTGGATTCAAAAGAACAGTAGAGGAATCAGATAGTTACCACTTAAAGGAGTTTTGCTACAAAGAACAAGAGATGACTACAGCAGCAACAGGTGGGGAAGCTTCAAGAAAACTTTGAATGGAAAGACCCCTGAATGCTACCCTCAGTGAAATACCTTTTAACCCATGGTGACCAGGTCATTGTTCTCTAAATGTGCTGTAGACATACTCTCTTTTCTGTATTTGTCCATGTTTTCTCCTGCCTAGAACATTTTCATTCTTTAAGACTAGCTCAAACCTCACTTTATTCATTCAACAAATATAATATTTGCTATGCCTTGTGCTAGGTGCCAGGTATAAAAAAGAAAATAAACTCCTTTTCGTAAGGGAAGGCAGCATAACATAATTAGTAAAGCACTGGGTTTGAATTCTAGTATGCCTTAGGCAAATTATACAACCTCTTCTAGGCCTTGTCCTACCTCTAAAATAAAGGAGCTTAAACTTACCAGGTTGATGTGGGTATTAAATGAAGAAAGGCATGCAAAGCATTCTGCCTGGCACATAGTAAATGTCAACAATTAAGGAGCTTCTGAACAGCAGACATATTCCACTATAAGAGGGAATAGCAAAAATTTGGAGGAATGAGAGATTATGGTACTTGTGGGGAACTGAAAACAGGTTCCTAAACCTAAAGCAAATGATAAGGCCTCTAAAGGAGGGGTCTTAGTAGGTAATAAGACCAGAAAGGTCTATTTATGTATGTATGAAATGGGGTGGGGACATTATAAAAAGTCTTGTATGTTATGATAAGGTAACTTACTAATGACCTTAAACCAGAGTTGTGCTGGCAGAGGAATAGATGCAGAAGCCTGATTACAGTGGGCTGAAGAATGAATAGAGGGTAAAGCCATGGAAACGGTAAGTACAAACCAGTAGTCTGCAAAGTGAGGTAGATACAACCCTGGAGGTACATAAGATGATCTACTGGGTGTGGGAAGAAAAGAGTTCTACTTTTTTTTTTTTTTTTTTTTTTTTTTGAGACAGAGTCTCGCTCTGTCGCCCAGGCTGGAGTGCACTGGCGCAATCTCAGCTCACTGCAAGCTCTGCCTCCCAGGTTCACGCCATTCTCCTGCCTCAGCCTCCCAAGTACCTGGGACTACAGGCACCCGCCACCACACCTGGCTGATTTTTTTGTATTTTTAATAGAGACGGGGTTTCACCGTGTTAGCCAGGATGGTCTCGATCTCTTGACCTCGTGATCTGCCTGCCTCGGCCTCCCAAAGTGCTGGGATTACAGGCGTGAGCCACTACACCCGGCCGAAATAGTTTTATTTTTATTATTTTTATCTAAAAAGTTGAAAAGAAATTAAGCTTTACTAATATTTTATAAATGAATTGACATTGGTACCCAGACCTGAACCATAAATCAAATGCTCCCCATGTCACAAACAAATGCAAAGTATCTTGAGATACTTTGAAAGAAGTATTAAAATTGAGAGAAGAGTTAAAATTCCATGTTACAGAAGGGTAGCAGTGATGTCCTTCCTTCCTGGTCACTCATTTGCTTTCTTCATTGGTCATATTACAATTTACATATGCCCAGTTAACTGGGTTTATATATTATATCCAGTTTTAACTAAACCAATTCTTGTAAAATGAACAAACTGTTTTAAATAATTCCTATAATACAAAGACACCAACATTGAAGATAATTAGTATAAGCAAAGGATAAGAAAATGGCAGAGCCTTTTGTATGCCATTATCATGAGTCAAAACAAGGACAATCCAAACAGATCTGACAAGAAACTAGTTTTAGAAAAACTGGAAATTATCTGTAACATGAATTCACAACTACTACAATACTTAGGAGTCTTGCCTTAAGTACTGTATTAGTCCCATAAAGGAATAGCTGAGACTGGGTAATTTATAAAGAAAGGTTTATTTGGCTCACAGTTCTGCAGGATGTACAAGCATAGCACTTGTATCTTACTGGCTTCTGGTGAGGGTCTCAGGAAGCTTACAATCATGGTGGAAGACGAAGGGAGAGCAGGAGTATCACACAGCAAGAGCGGCAGCAAGAAAGAGGGGGAGAAGGTGCTAGGTTCTTTTAACAGCTAGATCTCGAGTGATCACAGAGTGAGAACTCACTTGTTATGGGGAGGACAGCACCAAGCATTCATGAGGATCCACCCCCATGACTCAAACACCTCCCACTAGGCCCACCTCCAACATTGGAGGTCACCTTTCAACATGAGATTTGGTGGGGACAAAATATCCAAACATATCAAGTATATAATGTGCCCACAGCTATTAGCTAATGATAGTTCAAAGCCACCACAATTAACAAGGTACTTAAATAGTAAGTGTGCAGAACATAAAGAAAAACTTCTGCTATTTGATAATTTTTTTTTTCTTTTTTTGAGACAGAGTCTCACTCTGTCACCCAGGCTGGAGTGCAGTGGCACAATCTAAGCTCACCGCAACTTTTGCCTCCCAGGTTCAAACGATTCTCCTGCCTCAGCCTCCCAAGTAGCTGGGATTACAGGCATGCGTCATCATGCCTTGCTAATTTTGTATTTTTAATAGAGACAGGGTTTCTCCATGTTGGTCAGGCTGGTCTCGAACTTCTGACCTCAAGTGATCTGCCCACCTCAGCCTCCCAAAGTGCTGGGATTACAGGCGTGAGCCACCACGCCCAGCTGATAATTTTGAAAGTTTGTGGCAGGTTAATTTTAAAAATCTATTTTAAAATATTAATCTCTATGTTATCCCTTTTTATTATTTGTATATAATTTCATTATTTCGTATGTCAGTTTAGCAGCATATATATATAAGGTATATGTAAATAAATATACTTGAGGGTGTATTCAAAAATTTTTATTGATTAGGAATATGATCAAAATATTTAGAGGCTAATGGCACACAAAACACTGTCAAAAAACTTAGCTGTGAATGGAAGGGAAGAAACAGGGTCATATCTCTGAGGTGACAAAGATCCGATAAAAGATTTTTTTTTCCTCACAAAAGGGATAGATCTCAGCATGTCACATATTGAAGGGATAAAGCCCAAAGAAGAGACTGAAGAACTAGAGGAGGAGTTCAATGCTGAAATAAGGCCTCAAGAGGCAGAAGAAAAAGGTGTGGGCATTAACCTTGGGCAGCGAGAGAGCCACTTAATTTCCTGAGATTGGCAGAAAACAGGAAAGAATAGGTACATTTTACAGTACACTTATAGGTAGGGATGGGGAATTAAGGGTTTAAGAACGATCCTGCTTGACAGTTTCCAATTAGCCTCTTAAGAGGTCAGCAAGATCATCTATCTATCCATCCCTTCATCCAACTAATATTTATTGAGCATTTACTAAGTATACCTGTTCTAGGTGTTGGGTATATAATGGCAGAGAAGACAGACACAATCTTCACTCTTTTTAAGCATAAATTTTTTTTTTTTTTTCATACAGAGTCTTGCTCTGTCTCCCAGGCTGGAGTGCAGTGGCCCCATCTCAGCTCACTGCAATCTCAGCCCCCCAGGTTCAAGCGATTCTCCGGCCTCAGCCTCCTGAGTAACTGGGACTACAGGTGCCCACCACCCGCCCATCTAATTTTTGTGTTTTTGGTAGAGACGTGGTTTCACCATGTTGGCCAGGCTGGCCTCGAACTCATGACCTCAGGCGATCCACCCGCCTTGGCCTCCCAAAATGCTGGGATTACATACAATTTAATGAAGGAGAGAAACAATAAACAAGTGGAAAAATAAAAAATGAAGATTATTTCAGTTAGTGATAAGTACCATGAAAAAAATAAAGCAGATGATAAGATAGTGACAAGATATGTGTGTGTGTGGTGGCAGGGGGCTGGGAGGGAGTTCTTAATCTAAATTAGGCAGTCAGGGAAGGCCTAACTGAGGAAGTGACATTTGAGCTGAGTTCTCAGTGTCAAGAAGGACTCAGCCTCTTAAAGATCTGGGAAAAGGATTCCACGCAGTAGACAGAGCAAGTGTAAAGGCCCTAATAAGGAATCTATGTCTAAGGAAGAGAAAGAAGAGCAGAGTAGCTTGAATACAAAGTCATGCAGATTGTGGAATGGTAGGCTCCTGGAGGCAAAGGGAGGAAGTGGCTCCATGCCATGCAAATGTGTTGCTTGATAACAGAAAGACGGATGCTCTCGGGGCAGAGAGTTCCCAAGGTGAAGGCCAATGCCTCAGATCCAATTCCATGGATTCATCCAATACAACGCAACCAGAGATGGTTTCCCTCATTCAGAAGTTACTGGCATATTGCCATGATAACAGCATTTTGCCCAATTTATTAGGCAGAGACTCTGACACTTTAGCATGATAGCATGATATTCTGCCCTGAAGTCTTGTTGAAAGGGTTTAGATTTAATCCAGATGTCAGGCTTCAATGGCCATGCTAAGATGTATTTGAAGGCTTTAAGCTCTCTCATAATCTCACAACCCCTACACCATGTTGCCAGGCCACCCCAAATATCCATAATAAAAACTAAGTAAAAACATGTTATCTTCTGAGGACAAGGGGGTGCAGAAGGCCTTTAGAGAGTTGCAAAGGTTTGGTAGAATCATATACATAGGATGAAAGTGGGAACTGACCAGGGGAAACAGATTTTCTACATAAGACTGCATATCATAAACACATGCAAAGTGATTAAAAAAATTTTTTTTCTCTTAATCCTTAAGACAGAGAAGAGCCACGAAAGGACTTAAAGTAGAAATCCGCTTTTTGAAAAACACCTCTGTGTGCAGTGGAGAAGATGGAGCCATCTGTCAGGTTAGGTAAAACTTTCCCTTAGGGCTCAGCAGCCTGTGGAGAAAGAAGGTGGGCTGACAGATCTAGGGTTGAGTGCTTTAAGACTGGCAGGACATGGTAATGGAGTGGAGCAGGTTGAAATGATGAACAAATGTTTTAGAATAGAGATGGAAGAAAGGAAATCTATAAGAGGACTTAGAGATAGGAGAAAAAGGAATCATCAGAGGACTAGAAGTCTGGAAAAGGCCAGGACAGGTATCATTTGAGCAAGGAAGACTTTCTTCATCATGACAGACCATACTTACATTGCCCTTTGAATTCTATTAGCAATTATTATTTGAATAATTAATTTACTGGGAAACTACTAAAAAAAAATCTGTGATATCTCTCTATCCCTGTCTCGAATTGTTATTTAGCTTTCCTAACATTTATGTCTTTTCTCCTTATAAAAAAAATAAAGCAGATGATAAGACAGTGACAAGATATGTGCATGAGGGGGAGGGAGGGTCTTAATTTAAATCGGGCAGTCTGGGAATTTAGTCTCCATGTTCCTCCAGGTATGCATTGTGAAGTCCTCTAAGACCAGTGTTCAGCTATAGTTCAGAAAACATCTGTTCACCTAGATGACTGTCATTTACAGAGAGTCAGCTTAAAGAGCTAAGAGCTTTATGATTACAACAAAACCAATCCAAACCCCTTCTCAATCTCTCCAAAGTAAATTATCCTTTTCTGTACAACTATATAAGCTTATTCATGTCTAATACCGCACTCATCAAAACAACTCTACCTATTTACTTACAAATCTGTCTTATCTATTGATTAGCGAGTCATGGAGAACAGAGACTGTGCTGTATTCACCTTTGTTACTCAACATAGTGCCTAACACATAGTAGTGCTTAATTAATAAACAAATGAAATCAATTTTCAAACATTTATTAAAAGTCTGCCTTGTGTAATTAGAAGACAGTATTGTTAAAATGTTAATACAACCCAAAGCATTCTATAGGTTCAACGCAATCCTTATGAAAATCCCCATGACACTCTTTTTTAGAAATAGAAAAACCCACTTTAAAATTCATATGGAATCTCAAGGGACTCTGAATAGTCAAAATAATCTTGAAAAAGAACAAAGCTGGAGAACTCACACTTACTCATTTCAAAACTTACTATAAAGCTACAGTAACCAAAACAGTGTGTTACTGGCCTGAAGCCATACAGACAAATGAAATAGAATAGAGAGCTCAGAAATAAACTCTCACATATATATATTCAAAGGTTTGGTAGAATCATATATACAGGATGAAAGAGAGAACTAATCAGGAGAAACAGATTTTCCACATGAGACTACAGATCATAAATACTTGCACAATGATCCCCCACCAATCCTGCTGCCAAAAAGTTTTCTCTTATTCCTTAAGACAAAGAGGAGCCATGACAAGATTTAAAGCAGGCATTTGCTTTTTGAAAAACACCTCTGTGTGCAGTGGAGAAGATGGAGCCATCTTAATGAATAAATGAAAAGAGTTACGGAGAAGGATGGTGGTGATGGTTGCACATTATAAATAGAACCACCAAATTGTACACTTAAAAGATAGCAAATTTTATAACTGTATTTTACCACTATAAAAAAAACTGAAAGAAAAAAAGACTGCCATGTTTAAGGCATTGTATTTAGCACTGTAATAAGGTGTTATTAGGTACTGTATTATGTACTATATTGTCCCCTTCAATATGTGAGACAAAGTGAATTAGTCTAAACAAAGAAACAGTAACAAAAAGCTTTATAAATACCAATGTACTCAGTGAGTAAAAGAAAACGAGATTGAGAGCCTAAAATAAATTAAATCAAATCTGGTCCTCCCCTCCTCTCATCAGCATATAGGCCATCCTGATTTCTTCCCTTCTCTCCAAAATAAAATAAAACCACAACCACATGCCAACTTTTTTGGGCTAAGTATTTATGCATAAGCTTGTTGATTATGGACTGGAGTGCTGAAAATACTTTCAGGCACATAGAAATGAACAGAATTAGGATGTCCTTCAGTGGAGCAAAAAAGGTGGATCATACCAACAACCTACCTGTTACCATTAAGTACAGACAAAAGGAAATGAAAGAATAGATTTTAAAAGCCATATAAAATGTTGATTAGTGGAAATGAAGGTCAAGGTCTGCTGTCTTTACGAGCTAACTCATTTCATCTCTATGTCCATGTCCTCTTGACTTCTCTGAAAAAACTGCACTGTCTTACAAAGACAACGTATCAGAAAAAGCTGCCAGGCTATTTTTTTTAACCTACTTTTCTCCTAAAGCACCTTTATAGGCTCCTAACATGCATATATCATAGAACTTATCTGGCTTCAGAAACACTTGGATTAAAAGAAAAAAGATGTCTTTACATGATCACAGGATGAACATAGGCATAAGTTCCTAAACAGCGTATCAAAATCAACAAACAACTTTTAAAAAAAGATTTAAAATAACTAAATATTCTAAAATCCAGTATGTTTATCATAATACTAATAGAAGTAGCACATCAGTGGCACAGTGGCAGTGGTGGCAGCAGCGGCAGCAAGTGCCATTTACTGAGTATTTTCTCATTGCCAGGGAAGAGGTGCTTTATGAACCTCTCATTTAATCACCATCACAACTCTTTGGGTTTGATGATAACGCACAACCATACACTGTGCTACCCAGGGTTACCTATTTCATTAAACTTTTCTTTAAAGCAAATCAAAGTGTCCAAAAAAAAGCAAAAACAAACTTAGAAAATAACTTTCAAAAATGGAATTTGAGATGTTACTTTGAAATCCTTTAAAAAAATTTTTATGCTTAAAACACACACACAGAGAAAAATTGTTTTCAGGATCACTACAGAAGCTTCCTAAAATAGCACTTTGAGGTTAGTGCCATTTTCATTGAATTTAAATGGATTAGCCTGGAGTCATTACTGCTCAAAATGATACTAATCACTCTAATTCTGATTAAAGGAACATGCAAGGCCATTCCAGATAAACTGTTAAGTCAGCAGCAACCTCAATCTCCCAGGAAAGCCTCTGAGAAATACTCATAAATCCTGTCTGTGGCTCTAGGCATGCTCCTTATTTACAGTGAAGCCGATAGGTTTTTATCAAAATAACTTTTAAGACAAAAGCAAATTTAAGGAAAAAAGCTAGCATCACTAAGGAAAATAAATACGACTTCTTTAAAAAAATTTTATTTTAAAAACCTCTATTACATAGTTTTGCTCTCTTTCAACAAATACTGGGTGCTGCGTCAAGATATTAAATTCATTATTCGGAGAAATCTTTGGCAATGTATTTGTGACTAGTATAGCAATTTTGGTCAAAGTGCCTTCCTTTCACATCCTTGTATGATTATTTAACTTGTGATATCTGACTTCTTAAAAAAAATCAATTTACTCTTGGGCTTATAAGAGCATTTTCTTTTAGTTTTAGGGTCTAAATTTCTAGTGTCTCTTAATTACGAAAAAAATTACAGTGGGTCAAAATGTTTAATAAAATCTTGTTAGGATATGATTTATTGCAGTTAATCTGACTTTTTTTAAAGGTACTGTCTTAAGAAAACTAAAGGAATGTTTGATTTGTAGCTACAGAAAAACAATTACATTTTTTAATCAAGAAAAACAGTCTTTTGACAGGCTGCAGGGCAGGGAGTACACTGAGATAACCTACCAGCAAATTCAGTACAATATCAAATAATAAGTTGCTGATCATAACTAAAATAATATGGATTTAATTGAAAAATAACAATTAAGCATATGTTTCACTTTATACTGTGGCTGTGTTTCTATAGTTTTATTTAAGCCGTATTTTGGAAAACTGAATATTTTAAGTGTTCAAAAAGGAATTTCTACTATTAAGAACAACCCTATGTTAAATTCTTTGTAGAGTTAATGCCAAAGTAATTTGTTTGCAGATATGAGTTTATTTGAATTGTTTAAAATGCCATTTGTATTCATATAGAATAAAGCATCATGAGTAGCATCATGATGAAGTCAGAACTCTTGTTATTGTAAATCTGATCCAGAATGGAAAGAGAACTGGAAAAATGCATTAATTCTTATTCAGTTGTTCTCAGAGTACAATAAATTTTTACAGCAGTCCGTTAATAGTTCTAACGGACAAGTCGCAAAATTTGAACTATTTTATTTATTTATTTGAGACAGGGTCTCGCTTTGTCACCCAGGCTGGAGTACAGTGGCGGAATTTCGGCTCATGGCAACCTTCACCTCCTGAGGTTCAAGAGATTCTCCCACCTCAGCCTCCCAAGTAGCTGGGTCTACAGGCGTGCGCCACCACATCCAGCTAATTTTTGTATTTTTAGTAGAGATAGGGTTTTGCCATGTTGCCCAGGCTCAACTCAAGTGATCTGCCCGCCTCAGCCTCCCAAAGTGCTAGTATTACAGGCATGAGCCACAGCACCCAGCTGAACTATTTTATATATTTTATTTACTTTTAAAATTAATTAATTAATTTTTTGAGATGGAGTCTCACTCTGTTGCCTAGGCAGGAGTGCAACGGTGCGACCTTGGCTCACTGCAACCTCCACCTCCCAGGTTCAGTGTTTCTCCTGCCTCGGCTTCCCGAGTAGCTAGGATTACAGGCATGTGCCACCATGCCCAGCTACTTTTTTTGTATTTTTAATGGAGACGGGGTTTCACCATGTTGGCCAGGCTGGTCTCAAACTCCTGTCCTCAAGTGATCCACCGGCCTTGGACTCCCAAAGTGTTGGGTTTACAGGCATGAGCCACCACACCCGGCCTATTTTATATATTTTAATGCTAGACACTATGCCCTAATTCTTACAAGTTTTTTTAAAAAATAAAACTATCATTGCCAAAATATATACTTTTTGGTAAGTACTCTTCAAATGAAATTAGTGAGAGTACTAGTTAAGTGTAGTAATTAAAAGCAGGGTTTAAATCCCAGCTCTTTCACTTGTTAGGGCTGTATAATCTCAGAGAAATTGCTTGATCTTTCTATGCATCAGTTTCCTCAACTAGTAAAAGGGAAAAATTGCAGAATCTACCTTATAATGTTGGCATGGTGATTAAAGAAGTTATCGTTATAAAGCACTTAGCACAATGCCACAGAGTTAAGTGTTCAATAACTGTGTACTATTATTGTTGTTCTGGATAAAACCAAGAACAGTAACTATTTGTGGCATTTGCAACAAATGCCAAATTCTCTTCTCCTGTTGAGCCTCAATATAACAAAGTGAAAGGGGGCAGAATAAAAATTTCTCATCAGGGCATAGTAATGATTTCCATGATAATGATTTCTGACCTACCAGTTACCTGATTTACTGTAGTATTTTCACTTTCTTGTGCTTATAACAATTGAAATTAGATGCATAAAACCAAGAACAACTGATGATGTCCTTCATTGGGATATCAATACAGAGCTTACCCACCTGTGTAGCTCTTCTGTTTTGTCTTCAGTTGGACCTACGATTAGTAAACAATGACGAAGGACAGCTGCCATTACACGGAACTGATGAGAATCACTCTATGGCAAATAAAAAAGAGAGGAAACATTGGGGGTTGAATGCCTGAACAGTGGGGTCTGCTACTTTACTACATCTCTTGCCCACCCCAAACAAGCATTCTTATACCATACATTTTAGATGGCAGAATATCCTAGGAAGAATTCCTGAGGCAATACTAATAGTCACTATCTCTTATGAACAACCATAACCACTTCTAGAAATGCTGACCTAGCCACTCTCATTTACCTTCTTAAGATTCAATTCCGCTAGAGACTTTTTTTCATTTCCAAAAAGCCTAAATTCGTTTTTTCTATGGTGCACTGTTGCAGTTTACTAACCATTATAAAAGTTTCAACAGATGTGATGTTACCAGGTTATTTCAGAGACTGGTTGTACACCCTTAATAAAAATGTCTCATCTCTTAACTTTCAAAGCAATAAATCCACGAACTTCATTTTAATCAATCTTAATATCCTAATTCCCCCAGAACTACCAGCAAGTAATGAAATACAAGTGATCTCCAATGTTTACTCATTGGCAGTGGTATTAAAGAGACACAGGGAGTTAGAGGCAAGAAGGCAAACAGTAGGAAATAAACTAAGCCCTGAATACTCATTTGGTTTACTTCTTCATTTTTAGTGAGATCTTGGGCCATTACACCTGCTTTAATTATCTGCATCAAAGTCATATCTTTCTTCTTCCAGATTTTAAATAATTAAGAAGACACATGAAATTAGAGACAATTGTGATAGAGAGCCTGGATATGCCATATTTCAGGAAGACTCCAACTACCTCAAAAACTACTAAAAAATTATAAAACTTTTTTCTTTTTTTTTTTGAGATGGAGTTTTGCTCTTGTCGCCTAGGCTGGAGTACAATGGTGTGATCTCGGCTCACCGCAACCTCCGCCTTCCAGGTTCAGGCGACTCTCCTGCCTCAGCCTCCCGAGTAGATGGGATTACAGGTGCCCGCCACCACACCCAGCTAATTTTTTTTTTCTTTTTGTATTTTTAGTAGAGACAGGGTTTCACCATGTTGGCCAGGCTGGTCTTGAACTCCTGACCACAGGTGATCCACCCGCCTTGACCTCCCAATGTGCTGGCATTACAGGTGCCAGCCACTGCACCCAGCCAAAACTTCTTAATATATCATCGATTTCAAGTCCATGTGAAGTGATATATTTTCATAAATTATACACATACATCCTATATTCATATATAGAACTCACATAACCCTTCTAGGAAGATGTCTCTCCTAAAATCTAGCAAGCAATTAGGGCACACTTTCACAACTCATAATGTGGACCATAACATTTTAAATATAACATCATCATGTATAGAGCTGGATGAGAAGAGGGCCTCAGTGGCCTAACTGAAATAAAGGCACTGCACTTGGGGTCAGGACTCCAGATTGGCACTTTAGACAAGTCGTATAGTTTCTCTGAGCCTCAGTTTCCCCACATGAATCTCCAAATACTGGAGGGTTCTGTCAGGGTTACAAAGGATTAAAGAAGATGATATGCATAAAAGTGCTTTAATGCTTTCAATATAACATTTGAAGGTTGGGGGAAGGGTAACAGAGGAAGGGAACAAAAAGCAAGACTGATAGAGCTGAAACAAATGATAAATCATTGTAGGGGGAAAGGGGAAAAACAAAGAGGACTACTGGAATGACAGAGACACTGAGACTGGAAGGGTTGGAATGAATGTTGTCCCATTCACTATCCATCTCAAACGCCTGAATAAAAATTCTCTCATACGAGTCGGGTGCCGTGGTTCATGCCTGTAATCCCAGCACTTCGGGAGGCCGAGGCGGGTGGATCACCTGAGGTCAGGAGTTAGAGGATAGCCTGGCCAACATGGTGAAACCCCGTCTCTACTAAAAATACAAAAATTAGCTGGGCATGGTGGTGCAAGCCTGTTAATCCCAGCTACTCGGGAGGCTGAGGCAGGAGAATTGCTTGAACCCAGGAGGCGGAGGTTGCAGTGAGCCGAGATCATGCCATTGCATTCCAGCCTGGGCTACAAGAGCTAAACTCCGTCTCAAAAAAAAAAAAAAAAATTATCTCATATGTTAAATACCTATGTGAAATGCATTCATTACTTAACTCTTGATAAGATCATATTTCCCTTAGTTTTAAAAATTAACTAGGGAATACACTTCCCTTTAAATTATATTTTCCTTTATTTTAGATATAATAATCTTTCTCTTTTCATGCTGATGTTGACAGACTTTTGGAAATCTATCCATTTGGTCTTTCCATTATTTGCAGCTGCAAACCAAAATTCTACTTTTTACCTTTTCCAGTTTTGATAACATCAACTCCCAAGTTGTACCCGATGTCTACAATGTCCTCTTTTACTCTAAATCCACTAAATTAGCTCTATTTCTCTACTCAAAACAACTACCAAAATCCCTGGATTGTTTGCCTCTGCTCTTTGCATCGCTGGTTCCTTTGCATACTCCAGGTTTCAGCTAAAGTATCTTCTCCGAGAAGACTCTTTTTTCTCTCATGAAATCATAATTTGTAATTTCACATTTGTTTACTTGCATACACTTTGTTTCCTCCACTAATCTACTACCTTAATGAGGAAAGAGGGTGTGTGTTTAATAGGTCATCAATAAATTTTAATGTAAATGTTAAGTATAATGTACATACAGAAAAGTGCACAAATCATAAGCACACAGCTAAATTTTGACAAAATGAGCATACCCATATAGCCAACATAAAAATCATGCAATGCCAAGATTAAGAATCCCAGAATTCTTTCCATACCCCCTACAAATGACCATCTTCTGCTCCTCAAGGGTAATTCTAACTTGTTAATGTCACAGGTTAGTATTTTGGTTGCTACTGAACTTTACACGTATGGAATCATAAAATACAGACTCTTGTGTTGGCTTGTGAGATTCATTCACACTACTCTGTGTAGTTGCAGTCTGTTCTTTGTCATTGTTTGAGAGCAGTGCTATTTGAAGTATGTTTGTGTACCACTGCTGGTCCCCACCCTGTTCATCACTGGCCTGCAACACCATGAGTACAGAAGGTATGTGTGAACATTTAGAAACTTTTGAGCAGTTTGGCGTTGTATGTAATATTGTATTACACAAGAGTTTCATCCTGACAGATTTTTAGGGAAAAAAATCTGGTTCCTCACCTACAGGTAGGTTAAGAAAGCACTGCTATATAGTATTCCAATGTATGAATATGCCACAATTTACTTATCTGCTGTACTCCTGATGACACTTGGATTGTTTCCAGCTTGGGGCTATCTTGAAAAGTGCTGATGTGAACACAATTTTTACATGTCATTTGATATCTACAGGTATACACCCTAGAGAGGAGATGCTGACTCACAGGTTATATCCATATGTCAATCTTTACCAGGTACTGCTGAACAGTGTTTCAAAGTACTTATACCAATTTATACCCCACCAGTTGCTCTACAGGGACACCAATACTTGTTAGAGTCAGCCTTTTTCATTTTAGTCATTCTCACGGATGTGTAGTGATTTCTTGGTTGTAGTATGCATGTTTATGGTGACTAATAAAGTTGAACACCTTTTCATATGTTTATTACTCATTTGGATATCTCTTTTGTGAAGTTCCTGTTCAAGCCCTTTGCTTTTCTTTTTTTTTCTTCTTTTTTTTTTTTTTTTTTTTTTTTGAGATGGAGTCTCGGTCTGTCGCCCAGGCTGAAGTGCAGTGGCACGATCTTGGCTCGCTGCAAGCTCCGCCTCCCGGATTCACGCCATTGTCCTGCCTCAGCCTCCTGAGTAGCTGGGACTACAGGCACCCGCCACCACAGCCGGCTAATTTTTTGTATTTTTAGTAGAGATGGGGTTTCACTGTGTTAGCCAGGATGGTCTCGATCTCCTGACCTCGTGATCTGCCTGCCTCAGGCTCCCAAAGTGCTGGGATTACAGGCGTGAGCCACCGCACCTGAACGCCCTTTGCTTATTTTTCTATTGGGGTGTCTGATTTTTATTTTTATG
Organism: Homo sapiens; assembly: GCF_000001405.40. Taxonomy (NCBI): domain Eukaryota; kingdom Metazoa; phylum Chordata; class Mammalia; order Primates; family Hominidae; genus Homo; species Homo sapiens. The sequence continues at coordinate 106,821,749 of NC_000012.12, read as the reverse complement.
GGTTTGTAGGACTTTTTAGTGTATTCTGAAGAGAGTCATTGCACATATCTTCTCCTCCTGGTGTCTTGTCTTTTTGCTTCTTTTGATGAATTCACTTTAATGAAAATCGATGTCATTTCTTTAATTAATAATTTTATCCTTATTTTGCCCTGTTTTAGAAATCTTTGCTCATATAAGAAATGTTTGACTTGCATGAGATAAAGTCATGAAGATACTCTTCAGTAAGCTTTATTATTTACCTTGTATATTTAGGTCTCTTATCCATCTCAAATTAATTTTTTGTGTATGGTATAAGATGGGGATTCAAATTCACTTTTTTCCCATATGGCCATACAATTGATAAAGCCCCATTTATTAAAAAGCCCATTCTTTCACTACTGCACTTCAATGTTACCTGTAAGTCAGTGACTGTATCAACTCTATTTATTCTATTCCATTAGTCTATGTCTCCATAAATATCCGTTAGATGAGTGCTATCATTTAAGAAGTCTTAACAAAGCTTAAAGTAGACACTATTTTCTACTGTTGGTTATTCTACTGTGTGACTTTCCTTAAGTAATTTAAACTCTCTGATCTTCACTGTCCTCATTTGTCAAATTGGGTTAATGCTCCTGTCTCACAAAGATGCCAGCAAAGAAATGCAATTGCTTTTTCCATAGCATTATACAAACACAGCTTATACAACTGTTTACTAATTGTTTCCTGATTTAGTTTTGATATTTTCAGGGCATCAATATTCTCTCCTCCTGAAATGATACCACCTTCAAAGGCTGAGAGAGAAAAGAAGTCCCTAAGGATGAAGGGCAAAGGAAGAGAAAGACAGCAAGCAGGCTTGGTTGTGATAGTGAAAATCGAAATGAGGTAACATTAAAATGGAGAAAAAAACTCAGGAAATTCTTTGGGATCTCTTTATATAGCTTTCACATCTTAATGACAGATTCTACTACTGCATATTTCCTTCAAAGTCTTTAAAATAAGCATGGAACTAACCTCTTTTGTGACATTCCTAATTAACTTCTATGGACACTCACTGTTTTATCTCATTTAAATGGTATCCTTTGACTACTCAGATACTTGTACTTCTCTGTGTGCACTGGGTTGTCTGTTTCTAACATGTCTGCTGGTCTGTACTTTCTTATTACGTTTCACTGATACCTTGGAAGCACGGGAGAAGGGAATGTGGTCTTCATTCTAGGGACCCCTTACAGTCCCTAGAATAACATGCTCTCTTCCATCAACAGAGATATTTAGAAAAGTGTTAAAACAGGAGGAAGACAAGACCATTTCAATTAACTTTTCTAAAACTGACTTTATATCCTGCTAAATAAATCAATTGGCTTTTTAAAACACACTAGCTTTAGGAAAGGGAGACAGAGGCTGATTCCACATGTGGAAATAAGGCTAGCTACATTTCCCACTGAATGGAAAGCAAACTCCAAATTAATCTGCTGATGGCATCAGCAGGCAGGCACGAATTTAACACTGAGGCATGAATCTAAAATGAACAAATTGCACTAATTTGCTAAACCTCAAGAAAAACCTAGTCATTAATTTTCTATTTTTGGTGAACTGTAAATGAAAGTGGTCATAAAAATAACTAAAACAGTTTAAAACCAAATGTTTGCATTTTCTGTAACTGTAAAGCTGTGAAACAGGCAAAGATTTTAAAAAGTGAAATGCCCAGGGTTTGAAAAGGTATAAACCAACAATATTTTTCTGAAGGTAAATTTGGCAACATATATAAAAACACCTGAAACTTTGAAACCCGCTGGCCCACCAATTTCAGGAATGTACCTAGAAAGACTTTGTAAGAAAAATCATTAGAATTTAAAACAGCAAGCAACTGCAAACAATCTAAGTGTCTTCAAAAGGGAGATTTGTTAAAGGTTGATACATCTTTCCTTATGAAGGAATACTCTAAGTATATAATATATAAGTATTTTATATATTTTATATATACTTATATATTATATACTTATGAGTATTCCTCCTCCTCTTTTTTTTTTTTTTTTTCCTGAGACGCTGTTACCCAGGCGGGAATGCGGTAATGCAGCCTTAACCTTCTGGGCTCAAGTGATCCTCCCACCTCAGCCTCCCAAGTAGCTAGGACTACAGGCACATGCCACAATACCTGGATAATTTTTATCTTTTTTTATTTTTTGTAGAGATCAGGTCTCACTATGTTGCCCAGGCTGGTCTCAAACTCCTGGGCTCAAGCCATGCTCCTGCCTCAGCCTCCCAAAGTGCTAGCATTACAGGCGTGAGCCACCACTGCACCCAGCCATATTCTTTATTTTCATAGGTCTCTTTATACTTATAAGTATGTATTATTTCACAAGAAGTTAGAAGGTGGTCATCAAAAATTTCTTTTGGGTTGAAGAACCCTTTTTATCCCCCAAGTTAAATCTTAATTACAACCTATATTTAAAGAAAAGCAATAGCAAGAACAATTGGTGCTCTTTATTTAAAGTGAGAGGGAGGAACTTGGAGCACTGTCCAATTACTCCCAGAGGCCACTGCTAGGAACCTTGTGGCTTAAAGAAACACATGTTGAAAACCTACTCTATGAATTTTTATTGTGAAGAAAAAAGACTAAGATTATTAAATGACTGCATTTTTGTAAAAATGTATATATATATTCGTTTATATATTATACAATGAAGAATAGTTAAAAAGATATACTCCAGCTGGGCGCAGTGGCTGACACTTGTAATCCCAGCACTTTGGGAGGCCAAGGTGGGCGGATCACTGAGGTCGGGAGTTCGAGACCAGCCTGACCAACATGGAGACACCCCATCTCTACTAAAAATATAAAATAAGCCATGGGTGGTGGCACATGCCTGTAATCTCAGCTACTCTGGAGGCTGAGGCAGGAAAATCACTTGAACCCAGGAGGCAGAGGTTGCCGTGAGCCAAGATTGCGCCATTGCACTCCAGCCTGGGCAACAAGAGGGAAACTCCATCTCAAAAAAAAGAAAGATACACACCAAAAGGCAAATAGTGCTTGGTGTAGTAGCTTACATCTGTAATCTCAACTACTTGGGAGGCTGAGGTAGGAAGACTGCTTGAGGCTACAAGTTCAAGACCAGCCTGAACAACATAGCAAGACCCACGTCTTAAAAGAATAAAAAACAATTAGCCGAGTGTGGTGGCCTGCACTCATAGTCCCAGCTACTCAGGAGGACGGCTTGAGCCCAGGAGTTCGAAGCTGCAGTGAGCTATGATCACACCACTGCATTCCAGCCTAGGCAACAGACAAGACCCTGTTCTTTAGTTAAAAAAGAGAGGCCGGGCGCGGTGGCTCATGCCTGTAATCCTAGCACTTTGGGAGGCCGAGGCGGGTGGATCATGAGGTCAGGAGTTCAAGACCAGCCTGGCCAACATGGTAAAACCCCGTCTCTACCAAAAATACAAAATTAGCCAGGCATGGTGGCGCACGCCTGTAATCCCAGCTACTCCAGAGGCTGAGGCAGGAGAATTGCTTGAACCTGGGAGCCAGAGGTTGCAGTGAGCTAAGATTGCGCCACTGCATTCCAGCCTGGGCGACAGAGCAAGACTCTCTCAAAAAAAAAAGAAAAAAAAGTGTTTATCTTTTGAGTGGTGAGTTTACAGGTAATTTGTATTTTCTTATTGCTTATATGCCTTTTTCCTTGATATTATACAATGAGCATATATTATTTTCATAAAAAGGAAAAAAATGTTTATTTTAAAAGTTGGATTCTTCTGTACAATAAGTTTTCCATATCCTTTTATTTCAGTCACTGTTTTAAAATTCTGGCAATTCTTTATGGGCTTGCCCAATTGAAGTAAACTGTCTTTTGTGTCTTTTGTCGGACAATCAAGCAGATATTAAAATCCAGGTAAATGGGCTCTTAGTAGCAAGTTTCTCTGCACTCTGGTGAGAGATTTTTTTTTTTTTTTTTTTGAGACAGTGTTTCGCTCTGTCTCCCAGGCTGGAGTGCAGTGGCGCGATCTCCGCTTACTGCAAGCTCCGCCTCCCGGGTTCATGCCATTCTCCTGCCTCAGCCTCCCGAATAGCTGGGACTACAGGCGCCCGTGACCACGCCCAGCTAATTTTTTGTATTTTTTTTTTTAGTAGAGACGGGGTTTCACCGTGTTAGCCAGGATGGTCCTGATCTCCTGACCTCGTGATCTCCCCGCCTCGGCCTCCCAAAGTGCTGGGATTACAGGCGTGAGCCACCACGCCTGGCCGAGAGATTTTCTTTATGCTATGTTGTGGGTCCCTCACTAGAAAGTACTCTATGTTTTGGTCTCTGTCTTTCATACACTGTTTAACTTCCACAAAATGTTCATCCCCCAATTTTTTATCCCCCGGTTTTTCAAATGGCTGAATCGTTCTGTTTTCAGATCTCAGGAGAGACCTTCAGAAAATTTCTCTTACTAAGTATTCTCAATCAGTGCGCTCTTTCTCTCCTAGCACTTAACGGAATTTGAATTATATATTTGTTTACTGATTTATTACCTATCTCACCTAAAAAAACTGAAGTTTCATGAAGGCAAAGACAATGCCTATTATTTGCCAAAATATTACATAATGCAGGGCATTATGTCTAGCAATTGACCATAAATATTCACTGACTGACAGACTGATTGGATGAATGAATGACTAAATGTTTGCTAAAAGTTGACTTTGGAAACTCATGAAGACATTCTTATCTAACTGGGTTGGCAAGAATCTTATTTTCAATAGTATTTAAATTTCTGAGCACTTCAATAATAGCCCAGAGTCACATTAAATGTGCATATTTTATAATGGCTATATCAACTGACTCACAACAGGTACTAGGTCAGAGATACCTGCTCCAGGATTACTGATCCTTTTCATATATCTTTTGAAGAATAAATATTCTATAACACAGAATGAGTATTTGCTACTTCAACATTTTCTAAAGCTTCTTCTAGCTCCGATATTACTTATAACTGAAGTATACTAATAAGGGATAATCTCAATATACTGATATTTATTACCTATCATCCATCTCATAAATATACTGATGTGTAGCCACTGAATTTTAAACCCTTTTTTGTCAGGAATCTGAACAGTGTGAGCTACTATTTTGGGTATAATTTAAATAACAGGGGGCTCTAACAATGGCAAACCAACAGTCTCTGGAATTTAAGGTCTCAAATGGAGAACTTAAAAACCCCAAAACAAACAGCGTAAGAAAAATAACCATAGAAGGTACCAAATAAGCATAGAAACATAACATTTTAAATACTTCCAAATATTTGGTTTCAATGCATAAATGGAGCATGTGGGCTTTCCACATCTTTTCTTGCCAAGTCCCAGGAAAAACTGACCATACTACAGTCATCTAGAACAGCTGTTAGAGCTGATATTCAAATATTTAGTTTCAAAATACAGATCTATTTGCGCTTTAAAACTCAGATGTCTGCATATTCCCCCTATAACAATGCACTGAGATAATCCCTTTAAAGTAGGCTGCTGGCAAAAACAGATCTTTACTCATGGGTGAGAAGTGTTTCAAATGTTAGCCTAAATCTTAAAGTCAATTGTCAAAAAAGACAATTTGCTCTGGAACCAAAAATCTCTTTCTTTTTACAGGAGGGGGTGAATTTCAACAGTTATTTAAAGCTAAAAAGAGAATAAATGTGACATGTTATGCTTCTAGAAGGAGGGAAAAAAGCTTATGTCTACTTCACTTAATTTGTTGACTTCCTTAAACTAAGTTTCCTATTTAGCATATTGTTCTTGTGGGTACTCAAATGTAAACTATCAAATCTGCGTCACTTTGGGTTGCTGAAGGGTCCAAGCCACAGTGAAGAAAGATCTTTGTTTAGAAATAAGTCAAGTGGTTTAAAATAACCTTTCCCACACTCTGGTATAATCAGCTTGTTTTCTAGAACTTATATATGAGCACAGATATCTAGTTGTGGTCCTATGCCTCTGATAGTTATCTAACACTACAGAGAAACCTCCCAGAGACTGGGACAACAGGCATACACAGAGCATCTTCTACTCTCCTGAGCAGACACCAATTCTGATTGATCAACTTCAATTGGCTTGATCTGTCTTAACTTTTCTTTAAGATGGCAGCCACTGAAAATGCCTATAGCTTTATCAACTACATTGTTTTGTTTCCCCTCAAATCTTATAATTTAAACCTTATTCCTGAAAGCGGCACTCTTAAAAAGAGAGAATAATGCAACTCAGAAAACTATATTTGGCATCTTACAAAATAGTAGTCCATTTTTACACCTATTCTGATAGGTGTTATCACACAAATGGAAAGAATAAGACTTACAATGGTTAAGAAGTATATCCTGGGTAATACAATTGCTTAATGGGAGAAGTGGGAACTTTTTCCATTTCCCAACTTGTATTCTTCTCTTGCAGGAAACTCTAGGGATGTCCCAGACCAATTAAATTCCAGGTAGACAAAAATAGCCTTCTCTACCTTACCTCTTTATGCACCTTCCAACTGTCTACCGTCACATTGAAGAGAGCTTTGAGGGCCTCAATGGCACAGTCTGTCTCCTGAGGTGAGAGAGGAGGTCCATTATGGTCTATGGCCGATTCATACTCATCGGTCCACTTGATGCTAAAGGCACTTTCCAAGATCTGCGTTAGCAGCGGTAGTCCCTGGAGCTCATAGCGCAATTGTGACCTGATGTCGGTGTGCAAAAGTGACAGAAGGAAGAGCAAGCGCAAGTCAAAGCACTTAATGTCATTGATAAATTTCCGGTCCTTGCACTTTCTCAGGAGGTTACAGAGCTTTGCAGCAAGATTAAGTTCCAGGCTGAGCTGCTGTGCCATCTGACTGTTGAACACTATATTACACAGACATTTTAATGACTCCACAATAACTGGGAACTCTGATACTTTCTCCAAAGAATCATCTAACTCATTTAGCTTGGCTAGTCGCAGCAGTATCTGCATATTTTCCTTAGTTGTCACAGGAACTAAAACCTTTTTGTCTCTGGAGAGAATGCGGAGTACTTCCAGGCAGGACACTTGACATGTTGTTGGGATGTCCTTTATAAGGACTTTAAATATGCCTTCACAGAGTTTCTGAAAAACAAGAACGAGTATGCAAAAATCATTATTTGGCTCAAATGACTTAACACAGAATGTTTCTCTGCCAATGTACTTAACAACAGTTAAAAATCCAGAGAGAAAAGGTTTTTATTATTTTTTAAATCACGGAATGTTAGAAACTGAAATATAAGGTCACCATCAGGATGGAAGACAATCAGTTTGAATCATAGCTGTTCCCTTCCCAGAAATAAAGATTAACGTCTCAAGAATTGGTTCATATTTGTCCAGAGTACAGGCTCTTGCAAAAAGACTTAAAGAAGTATGCATTTCTGCTGAGTTTTAGTCATGCTATTGCTTCTGAATTTATAGCTCTTTAGCAGCAGTCCCATGTTTCAGAAACCCTTGAACCCCCTTTAGCTAAGATCTAATAATATTTAATCATCAAACAACCCCAGAGAAGAACTTTTGCTGACAAACTGATAAAAAATTATTCAAGTGTTAGGTTCCAAATAGAGTTGAATTAGCATCTATTATGCCTTGAGCCAATTGCAAAAAGGTGACCCCTCCTGGTATACAAACTACAGAAAAAAGTTCCCACTGGGTGGGCAAATTATTAAAAAGCACACATAGCTTGGAAAGCTCAGACTGTGGACAGAATTTTAGCTTTCTTTTGTTATCTTGCTGTAGGGCACAGACTGTACAAATATATGTAGTAGTTCTGGTTCCAAACCTTGCTATCAATATCTCAAAAACAATTCTAGAATGAACCCAAATATCTTATATTTCCTAAAAAGGATTTTTTTATACCATTGTCAAATTTAAGGATCACTGACCACTCCCTCAAAATTCAATGTCAGTTTTCTTCTCTACAAACTGCAGGTCTGGGTCTCTCAAGCTTACCCTTATATGTGAGGCAAGCAGGTATAACTACTCTATCACCGAACATTTCTGTACTCCCTTACATCTTATAAAAACAACAACTACTATTACCAATATAAGATTTTACAAAATTTCTATTAATCTATCATCAGACTTAATTCTTCAATAAAAAGAGGCTGCCTGTGGGTCCCATTGTGATCTTGTCAGGAAACCTAGGCTATGTGCACATAGTCATCAGCTACAAAAATGCCTATTTTAAATGTAGTCATCCCTTGGTATCTGTGTGGGATTGATTCCAGAACCCTCTGCAGATAATAAAATCCACAGATACTCAAGTCTCTTATATAAAATGGTATAGAAGGCTGGACGCAGTGGCTCACGCCTGTAATCCCAGCACTTCAAGAGGCTGAGGAAGGCGGAACATGAGGTCAGGAGATCAAGACCATCCTGGCTAACGTGGTGGAACCCCGTCTCTACTAAAAATACAAAAAATTAGCTGGGCATGGTGGCACGTGCCTGTAATCTCAGCTACTCGGGAGGCTGAGGCAGGAGAATCACTTGAACCAGGGAGTCGGAGGTTGCAGTGAGCCAAGATCATGCCACTGCACTCCAGGCTGGCAACAGAGCGAGACTCTGTCTCAAAAAAAAAAAAAAAAAAAAAAGGCATAGTATTTGCATATAACCTATGCACTTCTTACTGTATACTTGAAGACATCACTAGATTATTTATAATATCTAATACAATGTAAATGCTACGTAAATCGTTTTATTATTTAAGGAATAATGACAGAAAAGTTTGTACATGTTCTACACAACTATCCTTTTTTTCCTTGAGTATTTTCAACCTACAATTGATTAAATTCATAGATGCAGACTGCACGATACAGAGGGATGACTGTATTGCGTTCTCTAAATAGATGTGGAAAAGAACTTTATCTGATAAGACAAAAAAAAATTTCATAACATTGTCAATTCTATCCCTGCCATACCTGATATTTAGAAAGGACTTTCTCTTAATATTTTACTATCATTGTTAAAGCACTTTTTTTGAATGTAGTTTGGGGATAGTGGAAAGTATAATGTGCCCATTAATTAAAAGTATACAGAACAGGGAAAATTTTCTCCATATTTAGATCTTTCATATTCAAGACAAAAAAATACATTCTACATACTGCTTCACATGTGGTATATTCCTGGGGGTGGAGTCAGATCACCTTTGTTTCCACACAATTTTATTCAAGAAGGAAATATCTACCATCCTCCTTAAGTTGAGAAACATGTAATAAGGTATTATAAAATATTATATATGTGAACTTGGAGTTCTACATATCTAAAAGCACACAAATATCTTTCTTCCATTCTAAACCAAAAACAACAGCGACAATAAAATTAAAAAAAAAAAAACAAACTATAGGCAATATGGTACCTTTCTTCCTAATAACTTCAGACTCAAGAAAGAAAAAGAGCAGAGCCTGAAGACAAATTGGAATAGCCAGGGCTATACAAAAACCAAATGGACTGAGAAACTCTGGGACATGAAAGAGATTAAAGGTGCCTACAAAATTTATAGTTAAAAACTGCTTCATCTAAAAGCTTGTAGAAGATCATCCAGCAAGCAAAGACAAGATTTTTTTGCACAGTTTTTAATCATAGTTGTTCTTGAACATACCATTTCTCACTACAGACCTACCTCACACGGTGACTGTTGCACAGCTTTTTGCCATATCTCTTGAAAATTAATACCACTTTTTGGACAACGACTCTTTTTAAATTACAATTTTTAGAACCAAAAACACGTAAAAAATAAAAGTGATGTTTAATAGACATATTTAATGTTTTACTCAATACAATAATTTCTATTTAAAGAATATTATTAGAAACAAATAAAAGTGGTTGAAAAGGCAGCATTCTTTGTAGCTCTTCTATCTGTTGAGTTTGTGTACTGCTTCCATGTTTCAAAGGTGCTCTTGTATTTCCCCTTTATTTTGCCCTGTCAGTACTTTTCTGTGCTATAACTATTTAAGTTGATTTTACTCTTCCTAAAACATGCTCTGCTCTCCTCAAACACCTTTCATACCTTCCTGCTGCCCACAGAATGCTGCTGAAATGGGCCCAATTTCCCCTTTCCTACTGTTGTCTGATACACACAATGCAAACACACACAGTTTCTTCTTCAGGTGTTCCAAATTGACCCCCAGACCCTGACCATGATACATCCTGAGTCTTTCCTCCACTGTTCCTTCAGCATGGTATGCCCTGCCACTACATCTACCCATCAAGGATTGCCAAAAACTTTTTAGTAGTTTGCTCCCGAACTGAAATCCTAGAGTGGACTCTAAAGGTGGTTCTCAAACTTCATCATGCATCATAATCACCTAAAGGACTTTTAAAAAACAGACTGTTGCACCTCATCCCTAGAGTTTCTGACTCAGTAGGTCTGGGATGAGGGTCCAGAAATGGGACTTTTAACAAATTCCTAGTTGATGCTACTGCTGGTCCAGAATCCACAATGTGAGAATCACTGAACTATGATTAACAACAGAGTGACATAATTCGGACGTTAGGGTCAAGGGTTAACTGAGAATACCTGACCAGACGAACACAGAAAAGCAGGCAGACTTGAAAACCATTAGCACATTACCTTGACTTCTCCTTCACTGCCATGTGCTAAAGATGTGTAAGGGTGGCAGGGACAGGAATGAGATGTCAGTTTCTATTGTCACATTACGTTTCTTAACTAAAATGTTAAAAACTGCCAAAGGTGTGAGGCATATTACTTGTTTAAGGTCAGTGATCCTGGGCTTGAAATTTGTTCAACCCACCATAGACTCTAAAACCAAATCAGTGTGGTAATTAAGAGTAGAAGTTCTGAATTTAAATTGTTTGTATGCAAATCTTGGCTCTTCTTCTGAACAATTGTGGCCTTGGCAAGTTACTTGTCTCTGGACCTCATTTACTGCAAGAATTAAATGAGATCGTGCATGTACAAACACATAGGGCAGTGCCTGGCAAGTGATAAATGTTCAGTACAGGTTATCTGTTATACATTATTATAAGGTAAAATGTCAAAGTCCTCAGTTTGGCACTTAAGATCTGCTAACCTGCTCTGAGTCTTCTTTCATACTATTCTTATCAAATTTTCCTCTTTAGCTATATTTCTTTCCAAATTATCTCATATTGAGCTTCTTTGCTTTTTTACAGCCTCCCTCTACACATCAGTCCTTTTCCTTTTCTATTTAAGTTTTAGCAATTCTCGAAGGCTAAGCTTAAAACCCACTTTCAACATAAAATTTTCCCTAACCACTTCAGCCCTCAACATTCTTCTTTTCTAAGGGATACCTAAACCACAAATCTGTAGCAATCATTTGGTGCTTAGCACATCCGTCCTGTCAGTTTTCTTTTTATGAGTTTGCCTCAACTACTAAAAGCTCTCTGAAGGCGGAAGGGACATCTTTTTTACGAAGAAAACGTATTGTAGTGGCTTTTAAATCAAAGACCGGAGTTTAATACCTGGGTTTGCCACTGTGTGACTTTCTTTTCTTTCTTTTTTTTTTTTTTTACCAGCTGTATGATTTAGACACTTCTTAACCTCAGTTTCCCATTTTTAAAAAATGGGAGGCTGGGCATGGTCACTCATGCCTATAATCCTAGCACTTTAGGAGGCTGAGGTGGGAGGATCAAAAAAAAAAAAAAGGAAATAACATCCATATCTCACAGGGATGTTATAAAATAGACGCTGGGACATAATAAGCACTCTTTAATGGTGACTACTATTATGTTTTATTTTTTCCTAAGAAATAAATAATAAATAATAAATAATAAATATGTTTTATTTCTTCCTAAGAAGTGATAGTAGAAGTGGCTTTGTGGTGGATATGGAGGGGTTGGTTAATGGGTACAAAAATACCATTAGAAGGAATAAGATCTAGTGTTCAGTAGCCCAACAGGTCAATTACAGTTACCAATAATTTATTATATATTTCAAAAGAACTAGAAGAACAGAATTGGAATGTTCCTAACACAAAGAAATTTTAAAAGTTTGAGAGGATGGATACCCCAATTACCCTGATTTGATCATTATACATTGTGTACACTTGTGTCAAAGTATCACATGTACCCCATAAATATGTAGAATTATTACGTATCCATAAATTTTTTTTTTGTTTCAAATTTTGGAGATTTCAGGTTTGGGGATTTGGGATGTGTAACCTGTAATATTTTTTGCTTATGTGCTTTACAGTTTACAAAAAACTTTTATGTTTCTCAATCTAAGAAATGCTTACTGAACACTTACTGCACAATTCTTTTTTTTTTTTTTTTTTTTTTTGAGACAAGAGTCTTCTCTGTCTCCCAGGCTGAAGTGCAGTGGCACAATCTCGGCTCACTGTAACCTCCGCCTTCGGAGTTCAAGTGATTCTCCTGTCTCAGCCTCCTGAATAGCTGGGATTACAGACACACACCACCACGCCTGCTAATTTTTGTATTTTCAGTAGAGATGGGGTTTCGCCATGTTGGCCAGGCTGGTCTCAAACTCCTGACCTCAGGTGATCCTCCCACCTCGGCCTCCCAAAGTGCTGGGATTACAGGCCTGAGCCACCATGCCCGGTCCCACCACACAATTCTTAAAACGTTAAATGATTGCCTGGAGCCACTTGGCTAAGAAATAAAAGATCAGGACTCAATCCGGATCATCTGATTCCAATGTAATTTCCACTGTAAATTATGATCATACCATAGCTGTCTCCGATTTATTGTGATTTTGAGCATGTCACTTTATTAGGCCTTTTTTTCCCTCCACACCGTGCATTAAAACTAAATGCCCTCTAAGACAACCTTCTTTGAGCTCCAGAATAGTAGGCTTTTTTTTCACTCTGAATCAATAAAACAAGGATCATCTTTGGCTTTAGCTATGAAACAAAATAGGCTATGAAGCATATGTGGGCATTCAAACGATCTATCAAGATTTATATACTATCTTAAGAGGTGATTTCTAAAACTATTAAAAAATTAAAAGTTTTATATTTTATACATAAAGAAAATGTCTTTGTTTAAAAGATTGATACCACAGTTCATCTACTAGACTCTGGGAATCCAAAATAGGTTATTAGAAAACACTTTTGAGGCAAGTGCTACTTAGAAGAATTGTCCATTGATTAGTGCCAATTCACCAGCTCCTTGTTGCTAGATCATGTTGAGATAGGTACATAAGGTGAGACAGGCATAAAAAAAGAGTATGCATTTAGAAACTTTCATAGTAATTTGATGATTATTTCTTTTAGTGATTAATTTTTATTATATTTTAGAAAAGTATTGGCCTACTGCAAATTAGGGAAAAACAAACAAGAAAAGACCTTGATCCTTCATCTCAAATAATTTGAGAAGCACTGTTCTAGACCACATTTCTTATCCTTTGTAAGTTTTCTTCAACCATATAAGGTAGCAAAACTGAGATACCAGAGTAATAAATAAATAACATAAAGTTTCATAAATATAGTTGTCCCTCAGTGTCCTCAGAAGGCTAGTTCCAGGACCTCCATAGATACTGAAATCCACAGATGCTCAAGTCCCTAATATAAAGTGGTATAGTACTTGCATATAACCTTTGCACAACCTCCCATATACTTTAAATCACCTCTAGACTACTTATAATACCCAATACAACATAAATGCTATGTAAATTGTTATACTGTATTTTTTATTTGTATTTTTTACTGTTATATCATTGTTTTGGGAGGTTTTTTCCCCTAATTTTTTTTTTTTTTTTTGAGACAGAGTCTCGCTCTTTTGCCCAGGCTGGAGTACAGTGGTGCGATCTCAGCTCACTGCAACCTCCGCCTCCCAGGTTCAAGCGATTCTCCTGCCCCAGCCTCCTGAGTAGCTGGGATTACAGACACGTGCCACCACACCCCACTAATTTTTGTATTTTAGTAGAGATGGGGTTTAACCATGTTGGCCAGGCTGGTCTCGAACTCCTGACCTCAGGTGATCTGCCAGCCTTGGCCTCCCAAAGTGCTGGGATTACAGGCATGAGCTACAGTGCCCAGCCTCCCCTAAATATTTTTGAATTCTGTTGGTTGAATCTATGGATACAGAGGGCTGACTGTAGGCTCATCTAACAGTTTAATTGTTAGACACTGTGATGGAAACTGATAGCTGTCCACCAAAACTCACTGTCCTTTTCTCATGCAGTAACAACTGTGGCAAGGCCCATGGCTACCTAGCTACACCATATTCCCCAGTTGTTCTTCACTGCTATATGATGGAGCTCTTGCCACTAGAATGAAAGTGTATAGACACGATCTATGCCATTTCCAGGTCTGGCTCTTGAAGACAGTGGGTATGACTTCTCCACTGTCTTATCCCCTTCTATAGCCTAAAACCTGAAAGTGGCAGTCCAGCCTAGGTTAAGACAATGCTCAGAAGGTGAAGCATGACTTGACGACTTGAAAGGAAACAGGCCCCTGAATAAATTCATAAAGCAGAGCCATTCACTGCCTGAATGATTATCTCAGAACTATTACTTGAAAAGGTAATAAACACTCATATTTTGTAAACCACTTCTATCTTGAGGTCCCCTTGTTAAAACAACTTAGCTTTAACCTAAATATAATACAGCTTTGAAATATGGTATCCCATTGATGTACCATACAGAATCTGTACCATACAGAATCAAAATGGGTTGGACTGGAACAAACATAGTTTCAACTAGAGTGGTAGCAGCGGAGAGGGAGACAAGCGAATGGATTTGGTGTGTATTTTAGAGGGAAAATTGACAGGACTTACTATTTGTGGGGGAGAGGGAAGTTTCTGGCTTAAGCCAACATAGTACCATTTATTGAGAAGGGGATGACTGAGGAAAGAACAGGTTTGGGGGAAAATTCTGTAAGGTCACATTAAGTTTGTGATAACTAGAGATGTCAAATAGGAAGCTGAATGTATGTGGCTGGAGCCCTAAGCAGCCATCAGGGTTATCTATGCTTTCTATATGAATAAGGGCATTCTTTTATTTATTTATTTATTTTTGAGATGGAGGCTCACTCTTGCCTAGGATGGAGTGCAATGGCATGATCTTGGCGCGTGCAATCTCCGCCTCCCGGGTTCAAGCAATTCCCCTGTCTCAGCCTCTCAAGTAGCTGGGATTACACGCGCGCACCACCAGGCCCAGCTAATTTTTGTATTTTTAGTAGAGACGGGGTTTCACCAGGTTGGTCAGGCTGGTCTCCAACTCCTGACCTCATGATCCACCCACCTCAGCCTCCCAAAGTGCTGGGATTACAGGCGTGAGCCATTGCGCCGGCAATAAAGGCATTCTTAAGTTACAAAAGTAAATGAGATTGCCTAGAGAAAAATATATAGAGAAAAGGGGGACTAAAAGCCATGAAAGATGCCACCACTCAGTGGCTGTGGGGAAGAAAAACTGATAAAGGAGGTAAAGAGGTATTAGCAAGAGGAAATTTAGGAGTGTGGTGTTCTGGAACACAAGATGGCAGAAAATATTTTATGTAGGGAATGGTCAGCTGTTTGAAATGCAGATGAAAGATCAAATAGCATTAAGACCTGGCAATGCTAGAGCACAAATGGCCTTGATAAAAACAGTTTCTGGGGACAGGCACAGTGGCTCATGCCTGTACTCCCAGCACTTTGGGAGGCCGAGGTGGGCGGATCACCTGAGGTCGGGAGTTCGAGGCCAGCCTGGCCAACGTGGAGAAACCCCGTCTCTACTAAAATTACAATTAGCCGGGCATGGAGGCACATGCCTGTAATCCCAGTTACTTGGGAGGCTGAGGCAGAAGAGTCGCTTGAACCCGGGAGGTGGAGTTTGCTGTGAGCCGAGATCGCACCATTGCACTCCAGCCTGGGCAACAAGAGCAAAACTCCATCTCAAAAAGAAAAGAAAAAAACCAAACACAAAAAAACAGTTTCTGAAGAGTAACTGGGAGGTGAAAAAGAGAGAGAGAAGTAGATACCTTTCAAGATGTTGCTGTAAGACAAACAGAGAAATGGGCTGGCAATAAGAGGGAATGTAAGATCAAGAAAGGCTGTTCTTTCTTTTTTAAAGAGAAAATATACTAGTCCACGTTTATATGAGAAGAATGAAGAGTCTGGAATTAATCCAGAGGGAAATGGGGAACTTACTGCAGAGTATTAAGCAGGATAATGACATTAGATTTGTATTTTGGAAATATTACTCTGATGTTAATGTGGAAAATGAACAAGAAAAGGGGAGCAGGACCAGAAGCAG
This sequence comes from Homo sapiens, assembly GCF_000001405.40. Classification (NCBI taxonomy): domain Eukaryota; kingdom Metazoa; phylum Chordata; class Mammalia; order Primates; family Hominidae; genus Homo; species Homo sapiens. Next base: position 106,805,607 of record NC_000012.12, on the reverse strand, counting down.
GGCAGTTAAGTGGTTGTTGCAGTAATCCTAGTGAGGGATGATGGAGGTCTGAACTAAGGCAGTGGTAATGAAACTGGGAAAATTACAGGGTTTTTTTTGTTGTTGTTGTTTGAGACAGGGTCTCACTCTGTCACCTAGGCTGGAGTGCAGTGGTGCCATTATGACTTACTGCAGCCTTGATCTCCTGAACTCAAGTGATCTTCTCACCTCCCAAAGTGTTGGGATTACAGCAGTGAGCCATGGCGCCCAGCAGAGGAAAGATTTTAAGGGTGCAGAATTGACTGAATGATTGGTGGAATGATTGGTCAAGAATGAAGAAGAAAGAGGAGGCAAGGAACCTCATAGATTTCTAACTTGTATAACTTGGTTGTTGGTGGTATCTTTTACTTCTGAGATAGGTGACTTGCTTCCTAAAGCTGGCAGCAAAAAGAAAATGTTGCTGCCTGGTAGACATTTCTCTTTAACTGTCCCATAGTAGATACCTGAAATAAAACACATCCAAACACATTAACCAGGAAGGGGCCCGATCCCCCATAACTCACCTTTCTAAAACTCACATTCAACTACTTATTGTCACAATATCCTTGATCTAGGCACAATAATCTACTCTCTAATGCCTGTCCAAACTTCTGTGCCTTTTCTCATGTTACTTCCTGGATTCAAAACGTCTTCCCAACCCCTGACCTTCTTGAATCACTCCTCCCTTCAAATCAAACGCTATCTTTTTCACCATCCCCCAGCAGGAAGTAATCCCTTCCACCTCTAAATCCAGAACACTTAATCTCTAGCACTTTTATAGCACTTAACACCTCTGACCTTGAATTATATTTATGGAGAGTTCTCTCTTTTATCAGCTTTGGCGGGGGCAGGGTCTGTTTAACATATTTCTCTTCTTCCACATGCACAAAGATGCTGTCAAATATGTTGAATATTTACAAACATACATACTAAGTATGACATCTTCAAAGCACTGTGTGCTATAGAATATTATTTCCAAACATTTAATAGGTTATTAAAGCTCTGGATTTGATTCCCAGCTGCCACCTGACCAATTTATTTACTTCCTTACCTGTAAAACTGGTATAATAGTACCTACTTCAGCCTAGGCATGGTGGCTCACGCCCAGCACTTTGGGAGGCCAAGGCGGGCGGATCACTTGAGGTCAGAAGTTCCGAGACCAGCCTGGCCAACATGGTGAAACCCCATGTCTACTAAAAATACAAAAATTAGATGGGCGTGGTAGTGGGCGCCTGTAATCCTAGCCACTCATGAGGCTGGGGCAGGAGAATCGCTTGGGCCCAGGAGGCGGAGACTGCAGTGAGCAGAGATCACGCCATTGCACTCCAGCCTGGGCGACAGAGCGAGACTCTGTCTCAAAAAAAAAAAAAGAAAGAAAGGAAGGAAAAAAAAGTACCTACTTCATAGGGTTGTTGAGGGAATTAAATGAGATGATGTGCATGTGCTACCCTAGAATTAGTCAATAAATGTTACTTATCATTGTAACTACACCACACATGCCACATACAGTATTATCATATGTTTTAATAAGAAGCTACAAGGTATAATAGAGAATATAAGTTGGATATGACTGCTATTTATTATTTGTGAGATCTGGACAAGTTATTAGGTTTCTCTGAGCTTTAGTTTCATTACCTATAAAACGGGGATAATACTCCTTCTATGACAATGTTGTTTTATTAAATGAAATGATGGTACACAGTAAGAGCTAAAATTTTGCATTTCTAAGAACAAGACCTATAATTAAAGATCTTAACCAATAGCAACATTTTAAAGGTGGCTTGTTTTTCTGATTGAAATAAGTCCACATGTAGAAGTGACATAGTTTTCTCTCCAACATTAGTGTTTCTCAAAAGGATTTAATGGGCTGAGGGTTTCAGAAATCTTTACTATGAGTTGGTGAAACTCAGATAAAGATGAATAGATTAATTTAGAATAAAAATGGGCCAATAATTGAATACACTGAAACAAAGGGGCACAGAGAAAGTGAAAAACTGCAAAAGACAGGGAGTAATGTTTGTTTTATTTACAAGAAACAGGAAAATGCAATAACTTTCCAGTACCAGCTGGAAAAAATGGCAGGATACACACACATTACAAGCATTGAGTTCAACTTGTTAGTAACCTAGGATAACTACAGTCTAGAAACGAGCTGCACAGTCAAACAAACTGTGTCCAATTTCAGAATGTTAAGAGTTAGAAGGCACTATAATGATCACTTACCATTAACAAACACTAGCAGTACAAAAGATTCTATAAAAATGGGTTTTGTAGGCAAATAAGCTTGGGAAACTTATAAGGCATATCAAACTACCAAAGATTCTCCCATGTATTATGGAAAAGAAACTTGCTTTTTTTTTTTTTTTTTTTTTTTGAGACAGGGTATCATCACTCTTGTCACCCAGGCTGGAGAGCAATGGCACGATCACAGCTCACTGTAACTTCGAACTCCGGGGCTCAAAGGATCCTCCTGCCTCACCCTCCCAAGTAGCTAGGAATAGAGGTCCAATTAACTGTGTTCAGCTATTTTTTTTTACTTTTAAAGACAGGGTCTTGCTATGCTGCCCAGGCTGGTTTCAAACTCCAAGCCTTAATTAAGCAATCCCCTCACCTTTGCCTCCCAAAGTGCTGGAATTGCAGGCTTGAGCCACTGTGCCCAGCCCTGTTCATTTTTTTTAAACTGATATTTCCTTACTTTGACCATAGAACCCTTTCAAAAAATAACACCTATTAACATACTCAGGACAAGAGGATTTATAGATATGAAAACTGACTCCCAGATAGGCTAAATGATTTGCTTAAGGTAGCAGAGAAAGCTACAGCAGAAAAGGGGACTCAAATTCTTATTTGACTCAGTCCTACTCTCTTTTACTGGTATCTAGTGATACACAAGAACTAAAACAAAAATGAGTGTTCTTAACATTAAAAGAAATTCTGGGCTAAACCAGGCCAGTGAAGGGAATTTCTAAGAACAGATTTTTGTTTTCCTTAAATAAACAGACCTAAATCCTTAAACATGGTTCTACTTAAAAAAAAAAAAAAAAAAAAAAAAAAATTCTCATATTGTAGTGGCAGTGAAATACCTATCCCTATAGTCTGCCACTTTCTCTTTAAAAAAATAGAATAGATAATAGAATAGACTCCTCCTTCCCTGCTTTTTTGTCCATTATGGCTACAGTGTTAGCCACATGCTTGAATTATACTCACTTGAATCTACCAGTATACTCCTATAGTGACGGGATAGACCCTAATCTTAAAATAGGTTATGCACATTCATCTGGGAGATGTGGCCCAGTGCCAGGGATACTTAAAGTCATAGGGTAATTTTGGTACATATTCTTTAACCACTATTTTACTAAAAGATTTATTTGGGGTAGGCGATTTCTACATGAAAATAAATGAATGCATTACAAATCACAATACATAACTTACATGAATGTTAAGATAAAAAATGAGATGTCAAAGGAATTTTTGTAGTTAAGGCAGGCTCCCTTGGATGGATGATGTTTCCCTGGCCTCTCAAGGTTATGTCTACACTCTTCTGTGATGAACGTCACTGGATATATATTCCACAAGGATCTAATTTTAGTTCTTAACTGGAGCTGAAGGTCAGCCACCTAAATCTGATAGTCCTTAATTTCTGCCCTCTGTATACAGCACGTGTATGTAGGGGGGAACAAGAGGTACATGTGTACATGCAGAAGATGAGGGTTGTATTAAATTCTAAAATAAGCTTACTATAACTGTAGTTGGGACAATGTTGTCAGTTCCACAAGACGGACCTATTCAAAAACTGTATTTCACAAAAATACTAGTTAATGACTTATTGCCAGAATTTTAAAATATGTTTTTAATAAAGGTTCTGGGAGGATTCTAGAGGTCAAATTTGGAATTCTTTATAAAAAGCTAACATGGAGATCTTCTAAAATGAATACTCATGCAGCTGAGTTCATGTAAAAGATTAATATTATATACACTTGAGGGTTTTTCCTACTTGTAATATGGGAGGCAATGGCAATTCTCACTTTTTATTTAATGGATACTGTCTCTATGAACGAGGCTGTATCTCACTTCCTAAATTTCATCTCTAACTTCCTTTCCTGCACATGTACATGTTTCAGTAACACAATCAATGTTATGTTATATATCATGGTGATCTGTCAAAAAAACTGAAAATAAAGTTCTGAGAAACAATTATTAAACAAGTTTGGCTCAAACTTTTTTGCTAATTAGCAATCCTGAGAAAGACACATTACATCATCAAGAGTTCATTAACAGGAAAGAGCTTAGGTGTAAATGGAAGCTTATAAAACCAATCAGCTGCCCTTTCTTTCTTGACAAGAAAAGTTTTATAAGCTTCCACTTACAAGCCTCCATTTTGAGGGCAAAAATGGGTATGTCAAAACTTTCTATTTCTCTTCAAACACAGTACCAGCCAACTCTGCTTCTTTTACTACTTAAGCCTATTTTTCAGAAAGCCCTGTTCTCCACTGCCCATGTGAAATGTATTTTAGTATTTAAAGTTAGTATGTTGGCAAATACAGCGGTATCTTCATTTGTTTCAAATTAGAATTTACCAAATGAGAGAACAATACTCATTTAATCTTTAGGGAGTTCTTAGCACAAGCTATAGTTTGATTATACAGTACACTAGGCAAGGCTGCAAGATGAACACTGTCACAATAACATATACCTCATATCTTGGTGGCTGATATAAATCCTGGTCCTATAGCAGCCCCTTTGCTTCTTTGCCTTTTTAGTGAATCAAGTTCTTTCCTATATACAATCTCTTTGGAATTTCCTTACTTTGTCTCCAATGCCATCTACTCCACAACACTCAATTAGCCACTCTGAACTAGTTCCTCTATCTTTGAATCCCTGGTTTTCAGCTCTAATAGCCCAAGCACGTATGAAAGATAGTCAGGGACTCTGATGGTAAGCTAACATATGGACTGTATGTTTGTGTCCCATGCCCCCAGATTCATATGTTAAAGCTCTAACCCACAATGTGATAATATTAATATATGGAGATGGGGCTTTCGAACAGTGATATGGTTTGGATCTGTGTCCCCCCTCAATCTCATGTTGAAATGCAATCCCTGGTGCCGGAGGTGAGAATTACATGGTGGGAGGTGACTGGGTCATGGGGGTGGATTTTCCCCTTGGTACTGTCCTGAGTTCTCGTGAGATCTGGCTGTTTAAAAGTGTGTAGCATCTCCCCCTTCTCTCTCTCTTCCTCCTGCTCAGCCACATAAGGTGTCTCCCTCCAGCTTTGCCTTCTGCCATGAGTAAAAGCTTCCTGAGGCTTCCCCGGAAAGATGCTGCCTTGCTTCCTGTACAGCCTGTAGAACTGTGAGCCAATTAAACCTCTTTTCTTTATAAATTACCCAGTCTCAGGTATTTCTTTATAGCAGAGTAAGAACAAACTAATACAGAGGTAAGTGGGGTTAGGTGAAGTCATGAGGGTGAGGCCCCGGTCTCTTGGGATTACTTCCCTTATAAGAGACACCAAGAGCTTGTGTTCTTGCTGTATAAATGCATACAAAGAAGTGGTTATGTGAGCACACAGTGACATGGCAGCTGCTCACAAGCTAGGAGAAAAGGCTTCGAAAGGAAATCTACCTTGACAGCATCTTGATCTTGACTTCCCAGCCTTCAGAACTGGGAGAAATAAATTTCTGTCCTTTAAGCCATACAGTCTACGGTATTTTGACAGCTCAAGCAGACTAAGATAGCCGAGAACAGGGGAAAGAGGGAAGTTAAGTTGTCTCAATGAGATAGCTGTGTGATTTTAGAGGTCTTCAAAGGCATAAGAACACATTAATAATATAGCAGAAAAAGTACGGAAACAAAATATGTGGGTTCTTCCTAATCCCTAGTTCTATTTTCTGAACTTGGATCTGGAGTAAATTGATCTTTCTGAAACTAAATTTCCTTATTTGTAAGATAGAAATGTATCTATCTCACATGCTTATGGTAATTATTTACATAGACAGCATATGAAAGACCCTATTATGAAGTATAAGGCATCTTTTACGTGACTTAATTGAAACAGTATAGTTGAAGTAAAAAAAGCACCTGGATTCAGCCACTAGCTGTGCTCTGCCCCTGTGGCTAGGTAATCTTGGGCAAATTTCTTGAAATCACTTGAGCTACATTTCCTTAACTCTAAATAGATAGGGATAACAACTAGGGCTTATAAATATGAAATGAGATGATATATTAGAAACCTCTAGCATAGTGCTTGGCATAGAGTAGGAGGTTGATGCACATTACATCATAAAGATGGCCAGATGGACAAACAGATCAAGAAACGTTAACAAGCACATTCTATACAAGAAAAATATTGCTAGAAATATTTTTGTTTTGTTTACAAGGGTTTGCATTTTAATGAAATGGCAAAGCCACTTGAGAAAGGGAAGTAGTGATGTTATAAAAAATAACACTGCAGTTTTTCTATTAATTCTATAGATTCTACAGTGTCCATTACTGAGCACCTATGTACACCACCCTGATACAGGAACGTATCTGAAAATGTTCCCAATTTAAAATTTAAGTGCATGCAAATTATTCAAGAGAAATATATTCTAACTTAGTGACAAGATGTCTATTTTGAGTTAGTGAGATATAAAAGAACATGACTCAAGTAGTTTATAATATTAGGGAGGTTGAAACTATGTAAAATGAATAAGAAATGCTAAATTTCAATAGACAGCAATTTAAGCTATGTGCTAAAAGACTGAAGGAATGAACTATAAGAAATTTTGCCAGAGAAAGCTTTTTGATAAATGTGTTGGGCAGTAAGTGGGGGAAAAAAATGATAAAGACTAAGTGGCAAAAAAGAGGTGGAAAGCTAAGTCAAATGACGGACAACAGCAGCAGAGAGAAATATGGGTAAACTAGGACAAGCAAAGCAGATTTAGAGTTCATATAAGTAACAGCCTTCTAACAATTACAGCTATCTAAAAAAAAAAAAGTACAGTGGCTGCTGTAAGCTTTCCATTACCGAAAGTATTCAGTCAGGGTGATGACCCTCAGTGTAGGATGCCTTAGAAGGAATCATACTGTACTGGAAGACACTGTGGGTCCCTTATTACACTGTGAGCTATCTGAGGATAGGCCCTGCAAAGATCATCACTGAAGTCAGAAAAGAAGACAGAGGAATTGGTTTGAGTTCCAGCTTTTCTGCTCATTAACTCTGATCTTGGGTAAGTCAACCTCTAGTTTTTTTATCTACAAATAGAGGAGTTGAGAACGTGGAAACATCTGGTCAGCCAAGAACTTTCAGGTCCCTATGAGTTTTCCATACATCAAAGATGTACAAATTTCTGCACTTTGCTCAGCATCTGATCAAAATTTGAAAGGAAGAAAAAAGCCAGCTACCGAGAAAAGGAAACCTTACATTTTTGACAACAAAAAATGAATCCGAGGCATCAAAAAGATCTACGATATGCCTAAGTGTTATAAGGCCAGTACTACACAGCTATCTTCTTCACTAGTTATTTTATTCAGTCACTTACACTGGCAAGCATGATCTTCTGTTTTCTGTCAACGCTATAACTAGTTTAATGTCAAAGCTTTATGTTCTCCATCAAATCTCACATTTCGGGTGCCTAAAATCAGGAAATAAATAGAATCGATTCATAAACTACACAACAGGTCAATCCAATTATTAATGAGCGGCAGTACGGTGTAGCACACGGGTCTTGGAGCCAGGCTGCCTAAGCTCGAATCATGGCCTCCAACTTCTTTATTTTCAGCGAGTAATTTCTCTGCGTGCCTTTGTTTCCTCATCTGTAAAATAAGCAAAATTCTACCTACTTTATAGCTTTGTTGTGAGGATTAAATGTTAATACCCAACAGTACTTGGAACGATGATGGGTGTAGAGGATACATTATCTACTAGTATTTATTTTAAAATAGCTTGAGATATAATTCACATATTGTAAGATTCAACTTGTTAAAGCATGCAATTCATTGGTTTTTACTATATTCACACTTGTGCAACCACCCTTATTATCTAATTTTAGAACATTCTCATCATCCCCAGAAGAAGCTCAAGATATCTATTAGTAGTAACTCCTGATTCCCCTCTTCCTCCAGCCCCTGGCAACTATGAATCTACTTTGTCACCATAGATCTGCCTATTCTAAAATTTTAAGTTAATAAAATCATACAATCTGTGGCCTTTTAAGTGTCTGGTATCTTTCGTGTAACATAATGTTTTCAAGGTTCATCCATGTTGTAGCAGCATCAGTTAGTTTATTCCTTTGTATGGTCAAATATTTCATTGTATAGATATAACACATTTTATTTATCCACTCACCAGGTGATGGGCATGTTTACATCTTTTGGCAATTATGAATAATGCCATGAATATTTGTGTACAAGTTTTCATGTGGATATGTATTTCCACTTCTCTTGGGTAGACACCCAGGAGTACAACTGCTGGGTCATATGGTAATTATTCAACCTTTTGAGGATCCACCAGACTGTTTTCCAAAGTGCTGCACCATACTACATTCCCACCAGCAGTGTATGGGGATTTTGATTTCTTCCAGTTCTTGTCAACACTTGTTATCTTTTTTGTTTTAGCCATCCTAGTGGGTATGAATTGATATTTTATGGTGGTTTTGATTTGCATTTCTCTGATGACTAATGATATCAAGCATCTTTACTGACCATTTGTATATCTTCTTTGGAAAAGTGTCTAGTCAGATCATTTGCCCATTTTAAGATTGAGTTGCCTTTGAGTTGTAAGAGTTACATAGTCTAGATACACGTCTTTTATCAGACATAGGATCTGCAAATATTTTCTCCCATTCTGTGGGTTGTCTTTTTACTTTCATGATAGTATCCTTCAAAGCACAAAAGTATTTTAACTTTGATGAAATCCAATTCATGTTATTTTTTTCTTTTATTACTTGTGCTTTTGGTGTTATCTCTAAGAATCCACTGGCAAATCCAGGGACATGAAGATTTACCTTTATGTTTTCTCCTAAGAATTTTATGACTTTAATGCTTACATTTGGGTCTTTGATTCAGTTGAATTTTTGTATACAGCAAGAGGTAAGAATCCAGCTGCATTCTTTTACATGTGGCTACCTAAGTGTCACAGCACCATTTGTTAATATCTACATTTATCCTCACACCAATACCAGCTGCCTTGGTTATTACTGCTTTGTAGCAATTTCTTTTTTCTTTTTAGAGATGGAGGGGGGTGGGGGTCTCACTATATTGCCCAGGCTGGTCTCGAACTCCTGAGCTCAACAGACCCTCCCACCTCGGCCTCCTAACGTGCTGGGATTATAGGTGTGAGCCACCGCTCTTGGCCCTGTAGTAAATTTTAAAATAAGGAATTGTGAATCCTCTGAGTTTGTTCTTCCTTTCAAGGTTGTTTTGACTACTCTGTGTCAAAAATTCATATGAATTTTAGAACTAGCTTGTCAATTTCTACAAGGAAGCCACCTGGGTTTCTAAAAGGTATTGCGTTGAATCTGTAGATCAATATGAGGAGTACTGACATTTTAGCAATAGTAAGTCTTCTAATCCATGACCATGGGATGTTTTTTCATTTATTTTAAGCTTCTCTAATTTCCTTTAACAATGTTTTACAGTTTTCAAAGTGTAAGTATGAGTTATGTCCTTAGTCATTATTCTAGGGCTTAGCATATATACCTTATTAGAAACAGCTCCAGATTTATACTAATTCCAGTGAGATACAGAAACATTCCTGTATAACATTATTGATACAGGAGTTAAGAAGAAATTACTTAGGCAGATAGTGAGGGTACGGAAGTCCTCGGTAAGGTTTTCCTTTTAATGAAAAGCAGCCCCAAATTATTTTCCTTTCTAACAAAGAGCAGCCTGTAAAATCGAGCTGCAGACATACATGCCAGCAGTTGTGCCAATCATATTCAAGATGGTGGCTCCATCTTCCCTTCTCTTTGTCAGCCACATGTACATTAAGGAGCAGACAAGACAGTGCTGGCCAATGGGAAAGTTCATTTGCATAATAAGATGAGGTTGGGGCGGCCAGCCCTCCCCACGCTATGTAAACATCATACCTGATCGAACCAGTCTGTGAGCCCTATGTAAATCAGACATCACCTCCTCAAATCTGACTATAAAATCTGGCACATCCGCTGCTGGCTCCTTTTTCCTCTCAGAAGTCCCCTCTCTCTCACTAGAGAGAGAGCTGTTTTCTTTTCTTTCTTTTGCCTATTAGACCTCCGCTCCTAAACTCCTGGTGTGTGTCCATGTCCTAAATTGTCTTGGCGTGAGAAGACGAACCACGGGTATTTACCCCAGACAACGTAGCTACTTCACTATTCCCTTCCCCCTTTTTCTATAGTATTATTGTTATATACATCTATAAAAATTACAAATCCAATAATACATTATTATAATTATTACTTTATAATTTTGTCTTTTAAAGAAGCTGGGAGAACAAGTATACATTTATAGCTTTTGATATATTAGCCTTATTTATCATTTCTGGTTTTCTTGATTTGTTCTTGTGGATCCTAGTTACCATCTGGATTTGCTTCCTTAGTTCAATACAGCTTTGCTCCCATTCACCATTGTGCTGTTTTTGGCAAGTGTATTACATTTCTCTATATTACTGACTGAACAATACATTATATACATATCGTTTTATACAAATGCTCTTAAAATCAATTAACAGAAAATGGGAGAATTATGTATTCATACTGACTTCTACAATTACATAATTAGCTTTACAGGTACTCTTTATATCTTCACGTGGATTCAAAGTACTGTTTAGGGTTACTTGCTTTCAGTCTAAAGAACTTGTTTTATTAAGTCTTGTAAGGTGAGTCAGCTAGCAACAAATTCTTTCAGTTTTTTGTTTATCTGAAAATGTCTTTATCTCCCTTGCAGTGTTAAAAAATAGCTTTACTAGATACAGGATTCTTAGATGAGGTTTCTTCTTTAAGCACTTCCAATATGTTATCCCACTGACTTACATTTCTGATAAGTCAGCTGTGAATCTTATTGACCTTCCCTTGTAATGATGAGTCATTTTTCTCTTGCTGTTTTCAAGATTTTCTCCTCGTCTTTGGCTTTTAGCATTTTTACTATGATGTATTTATGCATCTCTTTGGGTTCACTGAACTTCCTGGATATGTAGGTTTCCAATAAATTTGGGAAGTTTAAACCATTATTTCTTCAAATATATTTTTCTTCTCCTTTCTTTCTCTCTCCTCTCCTTCTGGTATTCCCATTATGTGTAGGCTGGTATGTAAATGTTATTCCACAATTCTCTAAGGCTCTCTTCGTTTTTCTTTATTCTTTCTTCTGTTCTTTGCCTTGAATATTCTCTATTGCTGTGTCTTCAGGTTTGCTTATTCTTTCTTCTGCCAGTTCAAATCTACTGTTGAGCCCCTTCAGTGAATTTTTATTTCAGTTATTGTACTTTATTCAACTCCAGAATGTCTATTGGGCTCTTTTTAAAAATAACTTCTATCTCTGTATTGATTTCTCCATTTTATGTGACTTCATTACATCTGTTACTTCTTTAATCATGGTTTCCTTTAGTTCTCTGAATATATTTATAATGGCTACTCTGAAGTCTTTGTTAAATCCAACATCTGGTCATACAGGCAGTTTTTGGTGCCTGCTTCCCTCCCCCACCCCCACCCCGCCCATGGAAACTGGACATCTTGTAACAACTCTAGGTATTTGCACTCCCTTCCACCCACCTTCTCCAGGAGTTGCTATTGTATTTGTTTATTTGTTTAGTGACTGGCTAAATTATCTTAGCAGTCTATTCTCTCTCTGCTTCCTCAAAGTGTGAAGCCCTAATGTTGCACCTTATAGGGCACACCATTGGGTATGTCCACAGTTGCACTGGGATGACAGTGGCTTTGGCAGACCCCTCTGACTTTCTCTTTTCCTGATCACACACAGCTCTTATGTGACACTAATTGCTGGTTGACTGATCTACTGTCTTCAAAAATGTCCTGGGGCAAAAATTGCTCCACAAACAGATCCAATCTTTTGAAGGGATAGTTCCTCCCAGCTACCACTTTCCTCCTTTCACTCTAGCAATCTAGCTCAGTTATCCCATTCCTCCTAGCAAAGTAGCTGGCCTTTGGGTTAACCTATATCTCCAATGACTGTGTTAATGTCACCCCAAGTGCCTTTCATCACAACCTGCACCCTTAGGCATGAACTTCTCCATATTCTGTGCAAATGAAGTCAGTTCCTTTGAGGAGACATTCAGCACTCTCTTTTATAAGGCTTGCTTCTTCCCCTGGACAAAATTTCTGAGCCCTGGTGCTGATGCTGGGGGCAGAGACAATGGTATGCTTCTGTGTGACACCCTCACTTTAGGGCTGACAGCTCAACTGAAGTAAAGGTACAGCAACCCTTGATCTCCTTGGTTTGCTTTTCCTGGGGTGGAACCATGTTCCGCCACCAGGATGACTGTGGCCCCGGTATTCTCAGCAGTGTCACATCCAAGGTACAGCTGCTATCCCATGAGGAAGGGCAGAATGGAAGGAGGTAAGACCCACCTCTCAGCTACACTTATCCAGAATTTAGTTTCAGCAACAGGTAGCTGGGGGCAGGATGAGAAATGCTGACATTCCATCACTCCTGTGAAGACAGCACTCCAACTGGGACTAGAGGGAAAGGGAACCGTATATTCTTCCCTGCACCAGTTTGGAGAAGAGTTCTATCTCACTTAGCCAAGAGAAGAGAGGGAGAACAGGTCTTGGTTCAAATAACACAGACTTTCACTTTCCTTGCTTTTTTTCCTTAGAGATAGGGTCTCACTCTGTCACCCATGCTGGAGTGCAGTGGCGTGATCATAGCTCACCACAGTGTCAGATTCCTAGACTCAAGCAATCCTCTCTCCTCAAGCCACCCAAGTAGCTGGGATTACAAGAGTGAGACACAGCATCCGGCCCACTTTTCTTACTTTTAGATTTTTTTGAATAGGTGTTTCTTCATTGACTGTATGCCTTTGGGACTATTTCCAGACTTTAAATGGTTGTTCTTAAAAATAATTTTTACCAGTTCCATTAGGGAGCAGATCTGTAGAGATCTTCACACTGTCATGGCTGGAAGCGGAACTTCTTGATGAAATCTCTATATGAGAAAATGCACCTGAAACTCTAAAGTACAAATCAGAGATAGTATTCTTATTATCCCAGACAGAAATCTTAAAAAGTGATCCAACGATCATGTATAGACTGCCATACCTGTGGCTTACTAAGTCAGGGCTGTCCTGTCCTTGCTTTCTAGATTTACTCCTCCAGTGCCATGGAAAACATCTAAAACTAAAAGTGGAATTTGGAATGAAGTTTAAATTGTTTTTTTGACCTACCGTGAAGCATTCATCCTGCCCTATGATACAACCCAGACCTAAGTCAAGTCTTGTGTCAGATTCCAGCTGGACAGGAACTTTAAAAAGTAAAAGGTTTAGATGTACTTTTGGTATTGTGTGCAATTATTTTAAAGAGATGAAGATGTTGAAAATTACTGGTTTCTAAGTGAGAACTGTACTTGCACTATGTAACAAAACATTCCCTCAAGCAAAGACACCAAATAAATTTTGAGTCAAATTTGCAAAGCATACAAAGCTTATTTTATTTTAGTAAAAACTGGAGTGTGACAATTCCAAATGACCAAAATAAGGACAAAGGGCTTTTAGAACAAGCATCCATTCCTCAAGCTATTCCAAAGCATGGATTCACAGTCTAGGATTAATGATTCTATTTTGGCACATATTCCTTGGGGGAATCTAATATAGAAATTTACCCATTCATTTTCTATAGTCCACAATGGCAAGCCTCAGCATGCATCTATAATTGAGAAAGTGCCAAACCAAACACCATGGACAAAAAGCCAACTTAGGAGCCAAGGCCTAACACAAGGCCAGGAATACAGGATTTACTGAGAAAACATTTGTGGATTACAGAGATCTCTAATATGCTAAATACATTTGTGTCTGGGGGAAAAAAAGAAAAAAGTATTTGAAATGGCAGAATGAACTTTTGTGTTTATATATATTTCACTCCATAAACTGGCTCTGCCGATAATACTGCCCCAAACTGAGTAAGAGTTTTTTATGCTCTCCCAAAAGGAATACGTAATCAAGAAGGCCAATTTTAGAGAAAATACATGATTTGAAAAAAGAAATATTAGTCCTTCGCTTATAACTCCAATCACACTATTGTAACAGTATATTGTAACGTTATAATTATATAATGAACCTATGCTTATATCATTATAATCTATTGTAATATAAAAGAACAGTTTAAAAAACAGAAAAGAAAAATATCCACAGTAATAACTATACAGGTGGCTGCCATTTATCTCCTTGTCACCATTTTTTCTTTGTATGGTTTTTATCAGTTTTACGTGGCTGTGATCATACTGTATGCATACTTTTGCACTGTATCCTGCTTTTTCAGTGAACAACATGAGCTGTGCTTGGGATTCTACTTTATAGCTAAAATAATATAGAACACAAAACCAAACAATATGTACAAGTCACAGGAATTCTGGCCTCCACTCACTCACCAAGTTCTTTTCATTCAGTTAACAAGCATTTATTATAGGTGCCTATTTTGCTGAAAATATAAAGTAAGCTAGAGTTCTTGTCCTCAAAGAGCTTGCAATCTCAACTTGACAATTACCTTACGGCTTCACAGAAATATGGGCTGTGTGAATTTGAAGGTAATAAAATATGCTTGATATTTGGCTACTTTTAACTTTACTCTTTTGAGGAAAATTACTATATACACAAAGATTTATCTCAGACAACTGAAATTTTCCACATTTGATAAGGCTGTATTCTTATATGTGAAAGAGCTGGAAATCTTTTAATCATTTTATGATATGTCTCTTCCAAAACTTATTGCAATTAGTACTCTTTATTGGTTTTGAGGTCAGTTTTGTTTTAAAGCTTTTTGTTTAAGAGCTTTCATTTCCTCAACATGTGAATTTTCAGATTATTCATTATATCCTCCCCACCAATCCTACATATTTGCATGACATATTTGTTTATGTGCTGGTAGATAATCACAGCCTACCAATTTAGGTACAGAATATAAAGCAAATGCTTCAATAAACACAGGTGCTTTTATCTAAGTATACAATGATCCACATGCACCTGGAACTATTTGCATTATATGCACAAACATTAGCCGTTGTATCTGACTTTACTTCTCTAGAAAAATGTAAGCACTTCTAGTTGCTAATTTCCTTTGCTATCTTCCAACTTAAATCTAGTTACCTAAATGGTTTCTCAAGGTATAAAATGAGAGAAAACAAGGTACTGGATGATAATTTCAAGCCTTCTGAAATATACCTCAATGGTAATAAGAGGGAGCTATTGAGCAGTGAGCAGTGAAGGAGCTGCACATAATAGATAATCTGCTGTCTATGTGAGGCTGAACCACTAACTAGTGGTGTGAGTGTTAGCAAGCTGTCATTCATATGAGCCTCAGTTTCCTTATTCATAAGATAGGAATGGTGATATTCTTACCATACTTACAGCACTACCGGTAAGAAGCAAATCTTTGTAAAACTGCAAAACACTATATAAGTGTCAGGAATTAGGTCTAAAGATCATTAATTTATAATTATCTCCTAAAAAGCACAGTATAATCAAGTTTTTTTTTTTTTGAAGGGCACTGTTCCCTTACACTTACTTCTAAGTTGTCACAAAGATTTTTCATATAAGAGGGGTTAGTGTTTTTCAAAGAGATAGCAATGTAGTTTACCAAAAAATGTCCCGCTGTTACTAAGTAGTTGCTGGCATAGAGCTCCAAAAACACATTTAGGAAAGAGAACGAGGGGAGTGATATGGTTTGGCTGTGTCCCCACCCAAATCTCATCTTGAATTGTGCTCCCATAATTCCCGTATGTTGTGGGAGGCACCTGCTGAGAGATAATTTGAATCATGGGGGCGGTTTCCCCCATACTGTTCTCGTGGTAATGAATTAGTCTCATGAAAGCTGATGGGTTTATCTCATTCTCTCTTGCCACCACCATGTAAGAAGTACCTTTCGCCTCCCACCATAATTTTGAGGCCTCCCCAGCCATGTGGAATTTTAAGTCCAATTAAACTGCTTTTTCTTCCCAGTCTCGGGTATGTCTTTATTAGCCGTGTGAAAATGGACTAGTATGTTAAGTTGGTACCAGTAGAGTGGGGTGTTGCTGAAAAGATACCCGAAAATATGGAAGCAACTTTGGAACTAGGTATCAGGCAGAGGTTGGAACAGTTTGGAGGGCTCAGAAGACAGGACAATGTGGGAAAGTTTGGAACCTCCTAGAGACTTGTTGAATGGCTTTGACAAAAATGCTGATAGTGATAAGAACAATAAGGTCCAGGATGAGGTGGTCTCAGATGGAGATGAGGAAACTTGTTGCAAGTGGAGCAAAGGTGACTCTTGTCATGTTTTAGCAAAGGGACTGGTGGCATTTTGCCCCTGCCCTAGAGATCTGTGGAACTTTGAACTTGAGAGAGATGATTTAGGATATCTGGCAGGAGAAATTTCTAAGCAGCAACACATTCAAGAGGTGACTTGGGTGCTGTTAAAAGCATTCCACTTTAAAAGGGAAACACAGCATAAAAATTCAGAAACTTTGCAGCTTGACAATGCAGTAGAAAAGAAAAACCCATTTTCTGAGGAGAAATTCAAGCTGGTTGCAGAAATTGTGAAACTAATGAGGAGCCAAATGTTAATCCCCAAGAAAATGGGGAAAATGTCTCCAGGGCATGTCATAGGTCTTAATGCAGCCCCTCCCATTACAGACCCGGAAGCCTAGGAGGGAAAAATGGTTTAATGGGCCGGGCCCAGTGTCCCTGGCTGTGTGCAGCCTAGGGACTTGGTGCCCTGAGTCCCAGATGCTCCAGCCATTGCTAAAAGGGCCCAAGGGACAGCTCAGCCCATGGTTTCAGGGGGTACAAGCCCTAGACCTTGGCAGCTTCCATGTGGTGTTGAGCCTGTGGGTGCACAGAAGTCAAGAATTGAGGTTTGGGAACCTCCACCTATATTTCAGAAGATGTACAGAAAGGCCTGGATGCCCAGGCAAAAGTTTGCTGCAGGGGCGGGGCCCTCATGGAGAACCTCTGCTAGGGCAGTGCAGAAGGGAAATGTGGCTTCAGAGCCCCCACACGGAGTCCCTACTGGGGCACCGCCTAGTAGAGCTGTGAGAAGAGGGCCACCATCCTCCAAACCCCAGAATGGTAGATCACTGACAGCTTGCACCCTGCACCTGGAAGAGCCGCAGACACTGAACACCAGCCTGTGAAAACAGCCAGGTGTGGAGCTATACCCTGCAAAGCCACAGGCGTGGAGCTGCCCAAGACTATGGGAACCTACCTCTTGAATCACCGTGACCTAGATGTGAGACATGAAGTCAAAGGAGATCATTTTGGAGCTTTAAAATTTTACTGCCCTGCTGGATTTCAGACTTGCATGGGCCCTGTAACCCCTTTGTTTTGGTCAATTTCTCCCATTTGGAATGGCTGTATTTACCCAATGCCTGTACCCCCACTGTATCTAGGAAGTAACTAGCTTGCTTTTGATTTTACAGGCTCATAGGCGGAAGGGACTTGCCTTGTCTCAGATGAGACTTTGGACTGTGGACTTTTGGGTTAACGCTGAAATGAGTTAAGACTTTGGGGGACTGTTGGAAAGGCATAATTGGTTTTGAAATGTGAGAACATGAGATTTGGAGGGGCCAGAGGCAGAATGATATGGTTTGGCTCTGTGTCCTCACCCAAACCTCATCTTGAATTGTACTCCCGTAATTCCCACGCACTGTGGGAGGAGCATGGTGGGAGATAATTTGAATCATGGGGCAGTTTCCCCCATACTGTTCTCGTGGTAGTGAATAAGTCTCACAGGATCTGATGGGCTTATCGGGGGTTTCCACTTTTGCATCTTCCTCATTTTTCTCTCTTGCCACCACCATGCAAGCAGGGCCTTTCACCTCCCACCATGATTCTGAGGCCTCCCCAGCCACGTGCAATTCTAAGTCCAATTAAACCTCTTTTTCTTCCCAGTCTCAGGTATGTCTTTATCAGCAGTGTGAAAACGAATATAGGGAGCAAACGAATTGGGCAGTAATGTGACTTCCTTTTATTTTCTGAGTAGGCTTAAGGTACAGAAATGCCTATATTCTATATGTCTCTCCATTAAGAACTTGAAAAGCTTATTAAGGTATAGATCCTTCTGAGCTGTCCAATAGTTCTGATGTCTAAGTCTAAAAAGAGCCTTAGGCATGAAAGAGTCACAAATGGTTTTAACCCCTGGAGACTTCACAGAAATGAATTTGTTTGTTGATGTTTTCCCATTAATGAAGATTACCTGGCTAGGTCCCTAATGACATTTGTTTATAACAGACCTCCCAGGAAGCAGAAACCTACACACTGTAACTGGTAATAAGCACTACAGAGTAGTTACTCTCTTCAGAAATCTAAAACTCAGAAAAAGACAGTACTTTGAAAATGTTAGTTTTTTTCTACTACCCTATTGGAAATAAACACATTTTATTAATAACTGTGAAAGAAATTTCTCCCTTTCACCTGAAATTTATATGGGGTAGGAGACTCTGTCTTAATATGCTTGTATTTACCAGTAAAAGCACTACCAAAGACTCTAATGTCAGATTTCTAAGGCACCATGAATCTATGGATATAGTATGGATCTTCCAATGAAATTAAATAAATAGCAGCTGGCTTCCTAGCCTGAATACTTATCATGAGTTTGTCAAACAACATGTTCTTTTTAACACCTTGCTTTTTTTTTTTCACTCTCTCATTAGCACATACAGCAAATCTCTTTCTACTACATCATAATATTCCATAATGTAAATGAGCCATAGTTTCTTCAAACACTCCTTAAATGCTGGACACTTGTTTCCAATCTTTTGCTATTATGTACAATGTTTCAGTGAATAACTTTGCTTACTTGGGGTTCAATCTATCTGCAGAATAGATTTCTAAAAGAGACACTTCTTGGTGAAAGAGTAAAACGTATCTGTAATTTTGGTAGACACTGCCAGTTTCTTCCCCATAGGGATTGTGCCATTTTGCACTCCCATCAGATATATGAGTATTTATTTCCTGAAGACCATCTATAAAAATACACATTGGGGCCAGGTGCGGTGGCTCACGCCTGTAATCCCAACACTTTGGGAGGCCGAGATGGGCAGATCACGAGCTCAGGAGATTGAGACCATCCTGGCTAACACGGTGAAACCCCATCTCTACTAAAAATACTAAAAATTAGCTGGGCGTGGTTGCGGGCGCCTGTAGTCCCAGCTACTTGGGAGGCTGAGGCAGGAGAATGGCATGAACCTGGGAGGCGGAGCTTGCAGTGAGCTGAGATGGCGCCACTGCACTCCAGCCTGGGCGAAACAGCAAGACTCCGTCTCAAAAAAAAAAAAAAAAAAAAAAAAAATACACCTTGGGCCAAATGTGGTGGCTCACACCTGTGATCCTAGGGCTGTAGGAGGTCAAAGTGGGAAGATCCCTTGAGGCCAGCCTGAGCAACAGAGTGAGAGCCCGTCTCTACAAAAAATTTAAAAATTGGCTGGGCATGGTGGCACATACCTGTATTCCTAGCTACTAAGGAGCCTAGGGCGGGAGGATCACTTAAGCCCAGGAGTGTTACAGGGGACTATAATCATGCCACTGCACTCCAGCATGGGCAACGAAACAAGATTCTGTTTCTAAATAATTTATATACTTTATACACACACACACACACACACACACACACACACACAGAGAGAGAGAGAGAGAGAGAGAGAGAGACATAGAATACACATGTCTGGAGCTCACCTCCCAAATTCTCACTCGGTAGATAAGAGGTTGGGCCTGAGCAGGGCTATTTTGAAAAAGCTCTCCAAAGAGCATATCCCTAGTTGAGAATCCCTGTTCTAAAAAGGTATTCTAGTCTTGGTTACATTGTTCAAATCCAAAAGAAAGTCAGAGTTAAACCTTTAATCTACAAAATTTATATTCCATGGTCACTCATCCAATAAATACTTTTTGAGTGCCTATTATGTGCTGGGCACTCCAAATGTCAAGTGTATAAAGATACCAGTGTCTAACATCAACAGATATATAATTAAGAAACAAGGCATAAATATTAATTTAGAGATTTATATAGAGTATTATGAGAATATTGAAGAGGTACTTCACCTTAACTGGAATGTCAGAGGAGGCTTGCTGAAGGAGGTGCCCCTGAGGTGAGTAGGGATTCACCAGGTGAGAAAAAGAAGAGGTGTACAAGAGGGAGAGAGCACTCTAGGTAGAAAACAATATATTGCAAAAGTAGTAAGCAAGAAACAGAAGGGATGTGGATGTGTGCATAACTGGAAACATTTTCTATTTCTAAAACACAAAATACAAGGGAGAGAAAAGAAATAAGCTGCGAAAGTAGGCATATGACAGATCACTGAGCACCCAGCATGTCATGTTAAGAAGCTTGAAGTTTATTCTGTAGGTAAAGAAAGTCAATGAAGGGATAGATGAAGGGTTTTAAGGCTAAGGATGACATGGTCAGATTGTTATTTTGGATTTATGGATGCCAATCTACTAGAAAAGCATGTAACTGGAAAATGAAAGAACAGTCAGGAAACTGATGCAGTAATCAGATGTAGGCCTGAATTAGAGCAGAGGTTAAGGAGAAAATGGATGGAAGAAATCTGAAAACGTAAAATGAGCAAGACACTGATATTAGGTATGGGGATACAGGTGAATGGAGGAATGATTTCAAGGCACTGTCAACCCACTACTAGCAAAATACTGGATTTAAGCTATTTTTCTAGCAGCAGTGATAGATTTACACTGATTCAGTCATACTCTCTTGTTTGGTTCTGGCATTTGTATAGCCAGGGATAGATGTACGGAGTACAGCAAGACACAAAGGCAGGGCCAGGCATGGTAGCTCACACCTGTAATCCCAGCACTTTGGGAGGTTAAGGCAGGAGGGATCACTTAAGGCCAGAAGCTCAATAGACCAGCATGGGCAACATGATGAGACCCTGTCTCTACAAAAAAATTTTAAAATGGGCATGCTGGTGTGTGCCTGTAGCTCTAGCTACTGGGAGGCTGAGGCAGGAGGACTGCCTGAGCCCAGGAGTCTGGGGTTACAGTGAGCCACTGCACTCCAACCTGGGTGATAGAGCGAGACCTTGCCTCAAGCTAAGTTTTGTAATATTAGCAATGGATTTTGGGCAACCTGGAGTCTTGCCACTAAACAGTCAGTCTTTGGGAGTGAGTAGATCTGGGAAGAGACTCCTCTGAATCCCTCCCACTCCCCTGATTTATACAAGTGTTAATAGTCCTGCGAGGACAAAGGAGGAAAGAGTTACGTGTAACCCAAACTAAACCTAACCTAACCTTTCTTCTCAGGGTTCCTAAAAAACAAAATGAAGGGAAACAAGAAACCAATCAATAACCATCAGATGAAAACATGACCACTGCTTAGAAAGTCCATGAATGCAATACACACACACATAAACATTCACAGAGCAACACCAAGGCTTACCTTTCTTTTATCTTCATCTGTTGATTCAAATTTGAAAGTAGCCCTATGCTGAGGGGGAAAAAAGGGAAACAATGTCATTTTAAATACATGTATTTTTTAATTTTGGCTACGTTTAATAGCATCTAAAATAATGTCCCTGTAAAAAATGTTGCCTTCCCGTATCTCAATATTCTTATTAAAGTAAGGGAGACAGGCATGTAAACAAATAGTTATAAAGCAGTGTGAAAAGACTACAGCAGATATATATACAAAGGAGCACAGCAAACCAAGCCACTAACTGCCCAGGAAAATCCGGAATGGCTTTCACAGAATACAGAGCATTTGTGTTGGATCGTGAGGGATAAACAGGAGTTTGCCAGAGGCAAATGGAATGCATTCCAGGAACAAAAACAAAGGCTCGAATGTGTGAAACTATATGATATATTTGTGAAATAAGCAACTTTGTGAGACTGGAACACAGGACATACGTTTGGGGTGGGGCATGGAGGAAGAAGAGAATGGAAAAGTAGACTGGACAGTGATTTGGAAGGGCCTTCCGATGCTGCTGAGTTTATACTTTCTTTTTCATATGCAATAAGAAATCATCAGAGAACTGTGGATAGGGAAGACTTGATGGTTTGATATTTCAGAAAAGTAATTCAATAAGAATAAGAGTTTAAATCATGGTGGCTCCACCACCTACTAGCTGTGACCTTAAGCAAGTAAACTCTCTGGAACTGAGTTTCTCATCTGAAAACAGGGTGTACCTAGTTCATAGAGAGACTGTGACAGTTAAAAAAAAGCTAAGGCATGTATATAAAGCACAATCTCAGTGCTGGCAAGTAGCAATACTCAGTAAATATTAGGGATATAATGATGATGATGCCAATGATTATGAGGAAAAAATAACTGGAAAGGCAGAGAGTGTCATGACTCTTCTGCAATGATTGGCAATACTATATTTTCTACTCTGTAGCTGAAGTAGAGGGGAATAGAAGACAGAATAAGTTGGCTTGCCCATGATCACAGAAAGAACAATGGTACCCCAAAAATAGAGCACAGAATTCCTCATTCTCCTCTGAAGTTTTATTCAGGAGAACCAAGTACTCTTAAGAATTCTAAGCCTTTCTATTAAAAAACAAAAATCTCCACCAAAAATCTCTCCACTTTTTCTTTTTTCTTTCTCTCATTAGCCACACTGACAAATATTTACTGGCAACCCACCAGGAGTGAAGTACACTGAGTACTAAAGATATCATCATCACAGGTGGTTCTGTGTTGACATCTTTGTAGAAGCAGCAATTTTTTAAATTAAAGAAGATAGAGAAATGTTGGCAGAAAAGAAGTTCTGAATGTAAGAAATGATCAGAGGGAAGACTCAGAGGTAGGAGAGAGTGGCCATTTGAGGGAGGGAGGCTGCCTCGAATATAGATGCAAAACAATTAAAAGGAATGAACTCAGGTGGTAAGGGCATGGATTTTAAAATTTACACCTGAATTGGCAAATAGGTGACAGGCAACCAGGGGAAGACTACGACGGAGGTGTGAGACCAGCATTCTGGTAGAACATTTTGGGCGGTAGCTCACAGGCCAGATTAAAGGAAAGCAAGACTAAGGACATAATGCCCTGTGAGGAATGGACATCAATAATCCAGGCATGATACTCCTGGTGGCAGTATAAACTGACATAAACCTTAAAAGAGAAAGTGATTTGGCAACAACACATATTAGAAGACATAAAAATATTCATATTCTTTGACCCAGAACTCCTACTCCTAGGAATTTATCCTACTGATCTAGAAGGAGAGAATAATTATATGTGTATCACTGCAGTGTCATCCAACATAGTGGAAGAAAAAAAGCGAGAACTGGAATAACCAACAGGAGACTGACGGAATGTTATGCATGTGACAGTATTCTATTATACATAATATATTCACCTGACAAAATATTATGTAGCAATTTTTTAAAAAGAAGACTCATTGTTGGTATATTGTTTTCATAATAAAAATTTTTTTTAAATAGATAATAAAGAACAAGAAAAAGAAAGAAGGAGGAGAGGAAAGAAAGATTGTAAATCTGAGGGCTATACTTAGAAATGTATAGACCTGAGGTTTAGTGAAAATTAACATTAGACTTAAAAGTGCCAGATATCAGGTTAAAGTTGTAAACTAAAGCCCCTAAAGGTTCAATACAAATGAAAATAATCGCACTAAGAAACCAAGAAAGCCTATTTTTTTGCCATTATATGTAAAATGCTAATTCCATAAATTATCTGGAATAAATGTACCTACTTGTTAATATAACGTTTCTTCTAAACTTTTTTTTGGCATTAATGGTAAGGGGAAAGAAAAATAAATTGTCTTTTGGAAAGACACTCAGTAAGTTATAAGTGTCTTTTAAACAGTTCCTCTGTAGAATTAATCTTTTAAGGTGGGAATTCAGAATAGTACCAAGGTCTAATTATTCTGTTGCTCTTAATTAGAAAATATAATGGTCTGTGAGGCACTACAAATTGAATCTGGAATGCGCCAATCTATTCAGAAGCTCAAACCTCTAAGAGTGTTTGGATCCAATAGATGTTGGCTTCTATAAACCTGGGTTCTTTTATCCAACTTAGATCATACTTAACTTATTCAGTACCCCTATCTTTATTCTCTCCCCTTTCTAAGGCTGAAATGGGGAAAGAGAGAACAAGCATTTCCAGCTGTACATGTATTTCTAGAACTGTTAGCCAACAGTCAGCCATCTCACCTTCTTTACATGTTTAATTTCCAGAGAAACAGGAGCAAAAAATCAAATATAAAGAGTTAAATTGGCCGGGCATGGTGGCTCACACCTGTAATCCTAACACTTTGGGGGGCTGAGGTGGACAGATGGCTTGAGACCAGGAGTTTGAGACCAGCCAGGGCAACACGATAAAACCCCATTTAAAAAAAAAGAGTTAAACCATTGTTCAATTTAGAGATCAAGCAAGCTAACAGCTCAGTGACACACCAGACTATTATGAGGACTCTCACTACAGGTTTCATACTCCATGAATAAGCTCTAAAAAGCTCAGGATCAGGAGTCAGACAACCTTGAGTTTGAGTCCAGTCTTACTGTTTACTAAAAGTGTAAACTTGGTCAAGTTATTCAACTTTACTACCTATCAAATTTTCCTTATTTTTTATAAGCATGGCACCTTGCACACAGTAGTGTTCAATGGCCACTACTGTTATTGTTGAATAACCTATGGTGTGGCATCTGGCCAAATATTGACCTATTAGAGAGCTAGGAATAATTTCATAGATTTCTAAAGATACACTCAAACAGCACTACTACAAGGGAATAAACCTAATTGCGTGGTGTATGTTGTGCTGTTTCATGAACACAGATTGCTTCTACAACTAAAAATTAGAAACAAATTATATAACATAATCTGGACATAAGAACAAAGTATAACAAAGGAACAGCCCACTAAACATGCTTCTCTGCAAGAACCCACAGAGTGAAATCAAAGAGTCAGAGCCCAACTTCCAAAGTAGAAAACAAAAAGTCCTCTTACATGGTCCTGGATATTTACATACTCTATTCAAATGTAGAGGCTATATTTATAGAACTGTCCCAATATCAGGTTTCTATGAATCAGGTTCTTCTAGCACATGAATGAAGACCTCACTGCCAGCAGTCTTGTTTTCTTCTCCTAAGAGGACTACTACTAGAGACCTACCTATCTGTCTGTATCTTAAATACCTTTCATTTGGCCAAAAACTTGCCATACTTCAAAACTGGAATGCTGCTGGAATTTGCTATGTATGGGGTAGTCATATGTCCAGGTGGCCTGCAGGGCCACCAAGCCACGTCTCTGGTTATCATCATAGTTGATGAGTCATCTATTAAACGAGGGGGTTGGGCCCTATTATCTTTGAGGCTCCTCTAACATAAATAGCCTGCGATGTAAAGAATCATGATACTACTCCATACCTCAGGGCCCTTAGTCACAGTTTGTTGTTGATAATCATGATAATGATGGCAACTAATCTCTCTACTAAATGTGTTATTAGAGAAGTCCTGAGGGCTGGGCACTGTGCCTCATGCCTGTAATCTCAGCACTTTGGGAGGCTGAGGCCCAGAAGTTCAAGACCAGCCTAGGCAACATGGTGAGACCCCCAACTCTACACACACACACACACACAAAAAAAAAAAAAAAAAAAAAGAACAGGCCCCCGTGGGGGAGCAAGAGCTTGAACAGTCTAGACTGGAATGATACATAATTCCCCAAATTAACAGTTCATTCTATAACTAAAGTTGAGGTGATTAGGACCCAACAGTAGCCAAAGGATTCTGTATCTGTGGATTCAACCAACAATGGCTTGAAAATATCTGAAAAAAAAAAAAAAAAATTTTTTTTTGTGTGTGTCTGTGTTGAACAAGTGCAGGCTTTTTTTTTTCTTCTTGGCATTATTCCCTAAATAATACAGTACAACTATTTGTATACCATTCACATTGTATTACGTATTATAAGTAATCTAGAGATTAAAGTATATAGGAGAGGCCAGGCATAGTGGCTCATGCCTGTAATCAGAGCACTTTGGGAGGCCCAGGTGAGTGGATCACTTGAGGTCAGGAGTTCATGACCAGCCCGGCCAACATGGTGAAATCCTGTCTCCACTAAAAATACAAAAATTAGCCAGGCATGGTGGCACACATCTGTAGTCCCAGCTACTCAGGAAGCTGAGGCAGGAGAATCGCTTGAACCTGGGAGGCGGAGGCTGCAGTTAGGCGACATCAAGCCACTGCACTCCAGCCTGGGCGGCAGAATGAGACTCTGTCTCAAAAAAAAAAAAAAAATGTATATAGGAGGATATGCCCAGCCAGGCTCAGTGGCTCACGCCTATAATCCCAGCACTTTGGGAGGCCGAGGCGGGCAGATCACCTGAGGTCGGAAATTCGAGACCAGCCTGACCAACATGGTGAAACCCCGTCTCTACTAAAGATACAAAATTAGCCGCGCATGGTGATGCATGCCTGTAATCCCAGCTTCTCAGGAGGCTGAAGCAGGAGAATCATTCGAACCCAGGAGGCAGAGGTTATGATAAGCCGAGATCGCGCCATTGCACTCCAGCCTGGGGCAACAAGAGCAAAACTCCATCTCAAAAAAATGGAGGGTGTGCCCAGATTATATGCAAATACTATGGTGTTTTCTATCAGGGACTAAAGCATTAGAAGATTTTGGTATCCACAGATTCTGGTATCCACAGGAGATCCTGGAAGCAATCCCCTTTGGATATTGAGGAATAACCGTAGTATACCACTCCTGAAAAAGAAACTTTTTCTGTGCTCAAAAACACAGAAGAGACAGGGTAAAGGCAACATAGCCCTGCAAAAAGATCCCTGGATATGGAATCTGAAGACCAGGTCTGCCATTTCTTAGCTATGTGACCTTGAGCCTGTATATAGAATACTTCCATCTCCCTCATAAGTTTTAATATAAGAGGATTAATATAAGAGGAATTAATATAAGATGACATACGAAATGTGAAAATGCTTGGGATAATACATAGTACATAGCAGGCACTCAATAAATGTTAACAGGTGCATTGAGAGGAGAGAAAAACAACTGCTCCTCCCATTAAACAAACAAACAAACAAAAAAACTTGCCTATGCTGAGACCTATGCTGTGTCATGCCCTTGACAAACAGACAAGTTTCATTCTTTCTGGGATAGATACATATTTCCTCTCTCCAAGATAACAAAGGTCAGTGAATGAAGCAAGAAGGCTTGGAAATGAGAATCTATATAACACAGTAGAAATTAGATGTTTCCCGGAGCCCGACAGGTATCTCTAAAAGCGGTACAAGGTACAATTTTGCTACCCATTAGAAAAAGAAGGGGAAGAATGGAGCATATTCCCAAATTTTAATATCGTGCTATCCCAACTCATGCCACGTTTAATTTTTTTGTTCAAAGCTAACAGTTATGGGGTGCCTCCTCAGTGGCAGGCACTGTTCTGTGTGCTTTACACATGTAACTCATTTAATCCTGACAACAAATCTATGATATAGTTACTATTATTATCTCCATTTGGCAGATGAGGAAACTAAGCCACAGCAAAGTTAAGTAACTCGTTTAGGGTCACACAAGCCATTAAGTTGAGGATCATAGCCAGGCTGGCTACAGAACCTGTGCTCCGGCCACACCTCTTAGGTACCCTGGTCA
Organism: Homo sapiens; assembly: GCF_000001405.40. Lineage (NCBI taxonomy): Eukaryota > Metazoa > Chordata > Mammalia > Primates > Hominidae > Homo > Homo sapiens. Next base: position 106,777,864 of record NC_000012.12, on the reverse strand, counting down.
TTATAACTGTAACTTACTGAGTGCTTCCTAGGTGCATTGTGCCCAGTGTTGGCATTATATTTCATTTAATGTAATCCTCACAATAATTTAAGAGAATGGTGATATTATCCCTATTTTACAGGTAAGGCAACTGAGACTCACAGGCTTAATATAATTTATCCATAGTCATAAAGCTAATAAATGGCAGAGTTGGGATTTGAACCAAGTTTATCTGATGTCAAATCCCACCACCTTTCTACTACACTTGACTGCCTCCTTTCAAGGACTAGCTTTATTAGAGGTATAAGGTAGCATAAAGAACCTCTCCACTACTCTCCCAAATAACGAACCGGTCTCTCTCTCTCTACAGCATTCATTTCTCTCTGTTGGACTCCTCAATGCCCTATAATCACCTCATAATCCAAACATTTCTCAAATCCATTTTTCCAGATAAGGAAACTGAAGTATATGGTACCCAACTATTTTTTTTCAGGGTTCTAAATTCCATATACCATAGAGCTGGGCAATTTAATTCCACCTCCCCATTCTTACTGCCTGAACCACTATGATCATACATTCACTTCCTATTCATCTGCTCTCAAAATCTCTCCCTTTGAGGGGCAAAACCTCACTGCAATATGATGTTCAGCCATTTTCTTTGTATTATAATCAGCCCTACTATACTGGCCCTACTACAGTCAGTATTAAATATGAGAGCTTTCTCGCCAGGCACAGTACCTTACACCTATAATCGCAGTACTTTGGGAGGCCAAGGTGAGAGGACTGCTTGAGCCCAGCAGTTTGAGAGCAGCCTGGGCAACACAGTGAGACCCCATCTCTACAAAAAATGAATTTAAAAAGTTAGCCCAGTGCTGTTGCACGCACCTGTAGTCTCAGCTACTTGGGAGGGTCGGTGGGGGGGAGGAGATGGAGGCTGCAGTGAGCCGTGATTGCACCAGTGCACTCCAGCCTGGGTGACAGATACAGACCCTGTCTCCAAAAAAGAAGGGAGCGCTTTCTTCTGAAAGAGCTAACTGACCCAGTTCACATCTAGTCAGAGCACTCTCAGGCTTGATCCCAAAATTACAAGGGTTTGGGAATCTTTTGAAACACTTCAGATACCACCTTAAGCAAGACACACCATGCAAAACAACCTTAAAAACATTCCCAATACAAAAGGGGAGCTGGAGATGTTCAGGATTTAAGCTCTGACAGCACCTGGCCAGGAGTGGTAAGTAGATACCAATCTGGAGGGAGACCAATGAGAAGAGATAAATTGGAGGAAGCAAATCTGGAGTCTAATTAGTTTAGCCATAAAGGGAAGGAGAAATATTAAAGAACGTGATTATATCCAGTTGAAGGTTTTTCCTCCTTCCTCCCCTACAGAAACAAATTCCTATTTATTGCTGGGTATCTGGCATATAGTAAGTGCTAAATAAACATTAGTTGATTCAACAAATGGCCAAGTTCTCTTTGCATTTCTTGCTTCTGAAAATCAGTTTGAAGCTGCCTTATATCTTTTCTGGAAAGCAGTAATAAATCGGGTTAAATCATAATCTCCACAATATGTACAACTATGCATTGAATGAGTTATTCCTAAATTAGGCAGACATGTTCAACAATAAAGTGTATCAGAAAGTGAAGGAGCTAAGATATGAATAGATAGAACCTATGAATCTTCCCAAGGAAAGCAACACAGTACGGCAGAAAGAGCGCTCGCTGGACTTGGAGTTGGACAACGTAAATTCAAATCTCAGCTCTATCTCTCAGTGGCTGTGTGGACTTGGGACCACATTATCATTCTAAATTTTATCATTTGTGAATTGGGGAATACCATCACTCTCCTCCCAGGGTTGTTGGGAAGATTAAACGGGAATTCAGCCACCAGTATGCCATTTCTGCCCCGGGTGGAAAAGATTCAAAAATAAGACACCAATTGTCAGTAATACAAAGTGGATGGATGCAGTGGTGGACACAAAGCAAACACTGAAGGGGAGACGATGTACGGGGGCAAAAGAAAGAAAAACATTAACAGCTAGGTTGTGACTTGGTGTTGGGTGTGTTTTCACAGAAGGGAGTCGCCAGTCATTCCTATAAAGCAGTCTTCTAAACCAAAGGATAAAGGTGTGGTAGGCTATCTTTTGAAGTGAGCATGTAAAATTCCTGGAAGGAAAAGTAATGAAGAGCTAACGGTTCTTGGAAAGAGGTTCTGAGAAGTGACTGGGATTTATAACAAGATACTCTTTTACGCAGAGTTGTGAAGTGGAAAGAACTAAACTGGAATACCAGCTCCAAGTATGACCTTGGGCAAGTTACTTAACCAATCTAGAGTCTCAATTGCAAAATGCAGATAATACCTCACAGGATTGCTGTAAGATTAAATAAGATAATGGATAGGAAAGCTGTTAATGCGATACAAATAACAGGTATCATTAGGAGTTACATTCTCCACCCACTTACAACATTATATGTCCATGACCTTGGGCGTGATTTCAGCTCTTTGCACCTCGGTTTCCTCATCTATAAAATGGGGAGGATGATACCATCTACCCTATAAACACTCTGAGGATCAAAGGAGACCATAGATGAGACATCAATGCCTTGAAAACCGTACAGTGCTAAACGTATAGAAACTGCCATCGTTGCTGATACATTTGATGCATGTCAAGGGCCGTGTTTATGCAGGGAAGCACGTATTTTTATGCTATACAGGTGAGGAAGCCTCTCATGCATTTATGCATCCAGGAGTGGGGCACGGGGCACAGATGCACATCTACGGATTCCGGGGGTGTGACTTGCACGCTTGAGAGGAGGACCGGAGGTCAAGCTGCTGGGCCAGGAATCAGAGGAGTGGGCGCTACAGTGGGGGTAGTGGGATGCAGGATGCATGGATGGAAAAGGCTGGGGGCACAAACACGCATGCCCAAGCCGGAAACGTTTTCGGGGGAGAGCAATGCGCATCCCCGGAATGAGGGGGGTGGGGAAGGATGCGATGTGCAAGCACGGAGGGCGGCCCGGGGGTGCGATACCGCACGCCCGGGGCCAGGACTCTTTACCTTGTCGCTGTAATCCCTCAGGACCCGCTCGATAGCCCCTGCTTCGCCGGCCCGGACGATGTAGAGGGCGCGCTCCTCATCCATGGCCGCAGGTGCGGGGGAGCCGCGGCCGCTCTGCGCGCCCAAGCCGCTGCCTCCAGGTAAACGCCTCGCGCCCCCGCTCGCTCCTTCCCAGCTTCCTTCCTTCCCTCTTTCCCTCCCTCCGTCCTGCCTCCAACCCGCCAGCCTCCGCCCGGGCCGGCCCGACGTCACCGCCCCTCAACTTTCACCCCGCGACGTCACCGCTCCCCCAGCAACCGGCGCCTCACGGCCGCCCCTGACAAGGCCCAGGACTCGGTCGAGGCCTGGCTAGCGGACCGAGGCGGAGTCAGGCCCAAGGCCCTGCTTGCTCTCCTGCCTCTCCCTCCCTCGGAGAACTGTCCAGTCTTTTAAGGGGGCTTTCACAGACTGAACCGTTCTTCTTTCCTGACCCTCCTCTATGAATCATTCTCAAAGGACTAGAGCAACCCGGCTCTTCCCCGCCCATCTATGAACCAGCCGCTAAATGGACTGCAATTCCCTGCATGCAATGGGGCTATCCCGCTCTTCCATCTAATTTACTGGCGTGCCGAATGGCATGCTGGGATTGGTAGTCATCCAGCCGGAAAGAATTCCCGCCAAGGGCATGCTGGGAACTGTGGTACCGCGAGGGCCGGAAACGGGAGTCTGGCGGCCGCCTGAGGCCAGCGGCGGGGAGACCGTTAGAGGGAGGGTCTAAGCGTCTGCTTCGGTTTTGTTCGTTATGTCGCTGACTGTCCTGCTTCAGTCTCGGCTGGCTGGGCTGGCTGGACTGGCCGACGGTCGCGGAAACTGCCATCCCTTGGTGGGAACTGTCAAGCACGGTTTAATTCCCTTTTCTCATTTAGCGGTTTCGGTCTCGGGAATTCCTTCCACCCTTATTTGCGTTCTTGTTATGTACTCAGCTACAGTAATGTGGGAAATAATTGAAGGCAGTTATCTGGATAAAAGAGGACTCGGCGATTTTCTGCCTTAATACTAATCTCTAGCATGCATCTCGTGCCACCGGGGCTCCAGACTCTCTTAGGTAATTTCCCTATATCCTCTAATTCTCCCAACACAAATTTTTGTGGAAATAAAAAGGAACCCGAATAGTTTCAGTAATTTATCCTAAGTCACACGGCCAGAGAATGGGAAAGTCGAGGTTTGAAACCAGGCCTTTCCCCCCGAAGCGGCCGCTCTACGACCTCCGGGAACTGTAATAATACCGATACAGTAGCGGTGGTGGTGATGACAAAGATTCCCATTGCCCCGGTGGTAATTACGTGTCAGGCACTCTGTTAATACTTCACCTGTGTTAGCTCAATCAATTTCATACACATTCATTCAACAAATATTTGAGAGCCTGTGCTGTGCCCAGGTGCTGTTAAATGCAGTGTGGATACAGTGGGCCCAAAGTAAAGTCCCTGCCTTCATGGAGCTTCCATTCTAGTGAGCACCCATATGAGTTATTCTCATTTTAAGATGAGGAAACTGAGTCTTGGAGAGGTTAGTTGGTTAATTTATCAAAATTGCAGATTTTTGGAAACTGAATTTGAACTCAGAGCCTGTGCTCTTTCTGCTCTCCCAAGCTTTTTTTTGATGGAAAGTGGATGAATTCTCCAAGTAATTTCAAGTTTTCCATTCCAAGCAGCCTTTACCCATAATCATCCTTGATGTCTCCCCTACCAGTCTCTCCCTCTTGAGCTGTGCTGAAGAGGAACTAGAGGGGGCAAAAGTTTATTTATCTAATGATTGAATTTCTTCTATGCTGTGGTAGATATTCTGCTAGATACTGGGAATTCGGAAATAAGAACGAACATGGGACCTGAGTTTATGGAGCTTTTGGTCTTTCTGTATATTATACTTTCCATGCAGCAAACATTTATTGAGCATATTTGAGTCAGGCATTGGGGTAGGTGCTCTGTAATAAATTAAGTCAGAAAGATTTTAATCCATCTCTCCAAAAAGCACATTTTAGTAAGGTCATGGAATAGTTAGCTAATTTTCTAAGCTAATAGTAACATCTTGCAATTGTTTTTAACAGTTTACAGAACTTTTTAATACTTCTAATCTCAATGGATCATTGGGGAAGGTATTGTTCCCACTTTATAGATAAGAAAACAGGGTCAGATGAGTTAAGTAACAAGAACTGGGACAAAAACTGAGAGCTGTTAACAAAGTATTTGGGTGCCTGCTCTGTGTCCAGTACAGAATTAAGTGCTTTGGGGGTATCCATATATTTATTTTTGGAGCAAGGGTCTCCCAGAGACGATATTAAACGAGCACAAAGTATCTTATTTCCGTAGAGATGTTTCTCTTTAGAATTCTTTTAGAAGGTCTCTGACATTTCAGACACATGTCTTTGAAATGTCTGTTTGCCAGAAATAGGCTATGTTTTTAGTCTCCAACTCTGTACTTCTAAAAAGAGATTTAAAAAATGTAAAACGAGATGAATTAATGACTTGGGAAGTTGTACTTTAGTAATTTTAATTAAATGTTCATATTCTGATTTTGTAACTCAAAGGGATCTTTGACTCTAATTCAAGTCATCTTTTGACCACTGACGAGACTCTGGTTCCAGAAAAATTAAGTGGCTTGTCCAAGGTCAATAGCAGACTCTGGGAATGGAGCCTAGACTAGCTGAGTCCTAGGTCACTACATCACTTTACCTCCTTGAATATTAGTTACGGGATACTTTCAGGGACTAGAGACTCTAGTCCTGTTCTGACTTCACTTCCTGGTGATGCTTGAGTGGCATGATAGCAAGGAATTAATATTTAGAGCCTTGGTAATCAAAGCAACAAATATTTTTTCACAAGTCGTTGCTCTTACAAACAGTAATATAGTAATCCTATATATATCTATGGATAGAGATTTTAAATTCTTAAAATATCTCCACATAGATTATTTGATTTAATCCTTACTATAGCTGAAATTGCAAGATCAATAAGAGGCACTATTTTCTTTTTTACAGAGAAAAGGGAAGTTCAGAGTATTGATTAGCTGGCTCATAAGCAAGGAAGTTTGCTAATAAGTGGTATAGTTAAGGGCTAGAAGCACCCTGGGCTCTGATAACATAAAATATTATGGACTTTCAGGTTAGGGCCAATGAAAAAGCCTGCAAATAGATACTAGTCATTTATTTTGGACTTTGATATATCCTGCTGTGGCATTTCCTCTTGCCATGACAATGGGCTAGTTGGAATGTGCCAAACTGAAGGTCTTTAATGAGTACCTGGTGCTAACAGCTTTTAAAATTCAACTGTTATAATATTTTGAATACATTTTCTTTAGAAGAAAGCAGAATTTAAAGCCTTGGCAGTTTGGTCTATTGGCTACAGCTCCAGAACTGGAGTTCAGAGAATTCCACTAATTCAAGATATGACTTGTCACTCAGCAACCACCACCTCACTATGTGAGGCCACTCACTCAGCCTTTCTTGAGGTTTAGAAATTTAGAACTGAAATAATAGCTGGATTGTCCCACAGTGTCCTTAGCTGTTAAACTAAGGGATTGATCCAGATATTATTTCAGTTCTAAATTTTTCAGTTCTAAAATTTTGTGATTCTCGGAAAAACAAAACCACCTTTAAATATGCTAATTCTTTAGAAAAACCTATTATGAAGAGTGGGGATGTGAAAATCAATATGTGCAAATCAAATATCAATATGATATATGCAAATCATTCCTTGGGCATACCTCCAAAGATTCTGATTCAGTTGATCTGTGGTGAAATCTGGATACTGGTAGTTTTAAAAGCTTCTCAGTTGATTTGAATAAGCAGCTAGTATTGAGAACCACTGGATCAATATTTTGATAGAGTATCTACCACTGAACTGGTTTTTTGATAGACCCCCAAACTCATGTGCATGTAACTCATTAGTCTTTGAGAAATAACCTGACAATATGAAAGTTATTTTTTTGGCCGGGCACGGTGGCTCATGCCTGTAATCCCAGCACTTTAGAAGGCCAAGGCGGGTGGATCACCTGAGGTCAGAAGTTCAAGACCAGCCTGACCAACATGGAGAAACCCCATCTCTACTAAAAAAAATACAAAATTAGCTGAGTTTGGTGGTGCATGCCTATATCCCAGCTACTTGGGAGGCTGAGGCAGGAGAATAGCTTGAACCTGGGAGGCGGAGGTTGCAGTGAGCCGAGATCGTATCATTGCACTCCAGCCTGGGCAACAAGAGCGAAACTCCGTCTCAAAAAAAAAACAGAAAGGAAGTTATTTTTATTTCATTTTTTACCAAGAATGCAGTCTCAGCCGGGTGCGGTGGCTCATGCCTGTAATCCGAGCACTTCAGGAGGCCAAGGCAGGCCGATCTCTTGAAGTCAGGAGTTTGAGACCAGCCTGGCCAACATGGTGAATCCCCATCTCTACTAAAAATACAAAAATTAGCTGGGCGTGGTGGTGCATGCCTGTAACCCCAGCTACTTGGGAGGCTGAGGCAGGAGAATCTCTTGAACCTGGAAGGCAGAAGTCGCAGTGAGCCAAGATTGTGCCATTGCTCTTCAGCCAAGGTGACAGAACGAGACTCTGTCTCGGAAAAGAAAAAAAAAGAATGCAGTCTCCCTTTGATAGCAAAGTTACTTAACATAGTTTGATCTTTTAACACATATGTAGTGCTCACTGGAGCACAGCATTGTCTTAGATACCATAAAAATTTTTTAAATTTTTCTTATATCCTTTGGGGATATAAGAAACAACCAAACAATAAAGTAATCTTTTTTACTGATAGGAAAAAACAAATTGAACATAGTACTGTGTAAATCAAAGCAAGATAAACATTAATGGGAAGGATAGTAGTCAGAGTAGCCTTCTTGAAGGAGGTGATCTGTAAAGAGGGATGGTGGAGAGAGCATAGAGGGCTCCAAAACGGGGAAATGCTGTAAGAAAAGGTCAGGAGGCCAAAATTAATGAGACTCTTGTTGAGAAATGACACCAACTTGGTTGAACTTGAAAGCCAGCAATGGCGATTTCTTAGAGGTCAGTTTGGTCAGTGGGAAAGGAAAAGTTAAGTATGAGAGATGTTTCATAATCAATGACGACTCTGTAACCAGCCAGTCCAACTTCGACTTACAACATGTTGCATTCCTGAAAACGTTACCTTACAATGCTGTAGGACATAAAATTAAATAGAATTGGGAGACAGGAAGGGAGAGTCTGTTGCTGACTGTCTTCAGATCTTTATGCACATTATTTTATCTCTATCTCATAAAATTAGAGTCGGACTAGATGACTTCAAAGGTTTTTTTTCCAACTCTTAAAAATTTACTTGATTCAGCCTTTCAGCACCTTTATGAGGTTCCTCAGTAATATTCACTGTATTCTGATTGCTTAAATTGAGTCCATGCCGTTAGTCCTAGGCAGATGTCCCTCTAGTTGTTTAATATTGATTGACTACCCACAGTGGGACTCTTAGATTAAGCACACAAAATGGGCTCTGCCCTTTAGGAGTTTTTATTTACCCAAGAGCAGGAATGTGGGTCAGACCTATTTGCATCTCGCTGACTTGGAATCCCATCCAAACACCTCTTGGGAAAACCCAGCGCTTTGGGTGGCAATGTTGTAATGTGGTGAAAGAACCCGGACTGAGAATCGGAAAACCTGGTTTTTAGCCCTGACTCACTGTGTGAGTCTCAGAAGCTGATCATTTGTCAAATTCCTTGAAACCCTTCTGGCAACCAATTTTTTGTATCTAACAGGAAAACCCGAAGCTGAAAGACTCTAGTTTGAATTTTAACTCTGGGTGTACAGGGATAAATCACTTGCCGTCTTTGAGCACCGATTTTTCTCAACTGTAATGAGCATAATTATACCTACTTTGCAGTCAGTTGGAAGGGTTAAAAGAGATGGCTGTCAAAGTGGCCAGCAAGGCGGACCTGGCATGGAGTAGCCACTAAAATGTTAGCTGAACTGGAATGAAAAATGCAACCTTCCTTAGAAAGATGTGAAGATTCAGGGCTAAACATCTTGCTGTTCCTATGGATGCACAAATGCATGAGTTTTGTTGTTGCTGCTGTTGTTTTTAACAACAGCAAAGTGATTCCATTGTGCTGCTTTGGTCTTTAGACTTCAAAGTTAACATTTTAACACTGACATGCTGTAAGACAGTTTTCGGGTAGTGACTGTTATGTGTATGTGTGTGTAAATAGGAATCTAAAACACTCTTTCAGCACCCCCTTCCCATATCAATGCCTTTGCAATTAAGTTTATTGAGATTCACATGTCAGAGGAAATATATTCTCACAACCTTTCTTCCCACCACCTCCTTTTGCAGTAAGGCATTAATTTACTTACCAACATTTGATTAAACTCTTAAGGTTCAACCCTAGGAGGAGGTGGCGGTGGACAAAGGATTATTGTCATTCATCATCAACACATTTTAGTCTTCCCCTTGAGTTGCCTATGAAGGATTAGCATTTCCCTGAAAGGAGGAGGACAGAATAAATTGCGTCTACCGCCAAAGAACTGCCAGCTCCTTTCAGCTGGGGGCACATACCGGGAGCTTTTCCCATATTAGTCAGCTTTATCTCAACTTTTGGGCAGTGCCTACATCTGAATTTCATGGGTTTCAGGGTCAGTCAAAACAGAATTGTAGGGCTGTTGAGGTCAGAGGCCACCTCTGTCAAAGGGTAGTGACCTTAACAGCAAGAGGTAGCCAGTCTCCTCCGTGCTCCCTCCTCCCCCACCCCAGTGACTTCATTCCAGTGAATGCTTGGCTCATTGCACGCCCCCCTGCAGAGCTTTTTTTTTCGACCTGGTAATAAAAATCCTCTGTGACCTGGTATTTTTTTTTCGTTATTATTGATTTTCTTTTATTCCTGTTTCTCTATAGAATAACCAAATCTCAGTCATAGATAATGCACTGGTTTGTTTGTACGTTGGGAAATGACAGAGGGAAAGGTAGTCTGCTATTTATTTACAGTGAGCAGAATGCCACCTCTGGTTTAGGGGAAGATCTGGTGCCCAGCTTAGAAACTGCCTGCAGTTCGTGAGCACAAAAATTTTCCAGAACTTCTGAAACTCTCTTCCACCCCAGTAGGTTCTATTACCACAGTCAAGGTTGATTTTTAAAACTGCAAAACTGCTTAGGAGAGGGGAATGGAAGTTAGGATAGGGGTGGGAAGGTGGGAAGAAAAGTAGGAAGGAGGAAGAGTGTGCTTTAGTAGAAAAAGCACAGACAGGCTCTGGAGTAGTATTTCTTTTATTGTGTTTTAAAAATTAATATATAGAGAGAGACAGAGTCTCACTATGTTGCCATGGTCTTAAACTCCTGGCCTCAAGTGATCTTTCCACCTTGGCCTCCCAAAGTGCTGTGATTGTAGGTCTGAGCCACTGTGCCTGGAGTAATTTTCAGATCCCAGCTCTGCCACTTAAACTGTAACCATCAGCAAGGCATTAAGCTGCTCATAGTCTCCATTTCTTCACCTGTAAACAGAAGCGATTATGCCACTGGTATTGCAGGGAACTTGTGAGAAGCAGACATGGTGAGTCTAATGTGCCTGATACAGAGAAGACTCCAATAAATGGGAGACTCCGTGGATTAAGGCAGATCTATTTCAGAAATATGCCCCTGAGTGTGAGGTGAGGAGGAAAGAGTGTTGCAGACTTCTCATTTAAAGATCATCCTTCTGCCTCAACTATATTTTGGTTCTTAAGACATCTTGCAGTTTATTGTTTCTGAGAGGTGTAGCATATGCCAAGACCTTCTAGATACCGTCCCTCACGGGCACAGTTTGATAGTTCCTTAAGAATTCACTCTTTTAAACTTCACTCAGAGGCTTTTCTTTTCTAGGAGGAGACTTATAAATACCAAATATCAGCACTTCAGCTCTTTCTGAGTCTGATTCTCTTACCCCTGCTGTCACGGTCAGACCTCATTATTTTTCATAATAGATTTTAAACAGCTGGTTTTTAGCTCTTGAGGCATTTATGATGAGAAAGGGAGGCATATAACTGGGGAGTCCTATTTCTCCCGCCCACCAATTCTCTTCACCCACACTCCTTTCCTAGCAACAGCTCTTTCTTCATCTCTTGTGGCCCACGTCTTCCGTCCCACCTACACCAGCAGCAGCAAAATATGGGGGTGAGAGGGCGGCGGCGGGGTTGGGGGAGGTTGAGACACAGGAGGGGGATTGGGGGAAGAGCTTCAGGGAGGAGGCTGGTGAAGCACAAAAGGTTCTGACCTCCTTGGAACAAGAGGAAGCCCCAAGCACTGTGTCCAAGCTGGCTTAGCTTGGGAGGCTGCCAAGGAACTGAAGCAGAGAAGTTCCAGGTTAGAAGGGCAGGCAGCAAAGTGGTAGGGAGGTGGGGGTGGCTGAAGGGCGAACAGAACAGCGCAGTTTAGGGAAAGGTTTGTCAGCTAAGGGAAAACTATGCACAGTGTAGGTTACTGTGGAGTGTCACTACTTGCACAGAGCATGGTTCTCCACTCTGGACAGACAACACTGCAAGAGAGAAACCTGGGCCACATGTTCAGGGAATAGTAGTCCCTGAAGTTTAGAACTTGAGGGTGGAAGGGATCACGTTTCTTAACCTTGACTGCATATTGAATCACCTGGGGAGCTTAGAAAAATACTGATGCCTGGGTCACATTCCAAGTCATTATTTATTGTGGGTGGGACCTATGCATCAGTATTTTTATCTTTACTAATTTATTGAGACAGGTCTCTGTCACCCAGCCTGAAGTGCAGTGGCCCATTCATAGCTCACTGTAAGCCCAAATACCCGGTCTCAAGTGTTCCTCCCACTTTAGCCTCCTGAGTAGCTAGGACCGCAGGTGCATGTCACCACAACTGGCTAATTTTTAAATTTTTTGTAGGGATAGGGTCTCACTATATTGCCCAGGGTGGTCTCAAACTCCTGGCCTCAAGTGATCCTCCTACCTCGGCCTCCCAAAGTGCTGGGATTACAGGTGTGAGCCACTGCACCTGGCTTATACTCAGTATTTTTAAAAAGTTGACCAGGGAACTCTAATGGCGCCAGGGTTGAGAGCCACTGACATCCAATCCTACTTTAGAGCAGGAATGCCCCCTCTACAACAACTTTGGTGAAACCAGAATTTGACCTCAGTTCTCCCTCACTTCAAAGTCGCAAATGGGCCAATTTTTTAAAAGCTTATATTGATGATGATTTGCATACTTAAGGCTCTTGCCCGAGTCTGAATTCTATGCCTCTGCTCTCACTAGACTTCAGAGAGCTTTCCCCTAGGCTTCAGAAGACCTATGGCAACCCTTCCCCAAGTCTCTTCCACTGTAATAATGGGGGTATTTATGCTATCCCTCTTCCTAGGATTTAATTTATATTCTTTTTTTTTCTTTTTTGGTTTTTTTTTTTTTTTTTTTTTTTTTTTTTGAGACAGGGTATCACTGTCACCCCAGCTGGAGTGTAGTGGCGCAATCTTAGCTCACTGCATCCTCCCACCTCAGCCTCCCAAGTAGCTGGGACTACAGGCATGCACCACCACACCTAGCTAATTGTTGCATTTTTTGTAGAGGCACCTGGTCGCCCAGGCTGGTCTCAAACTCCTGAGCTCAAGCTCAAGTGATCTACCCACCTCAGCCTCCCAGAATGCTAGGATTACAGGCGTGAGCCACCATGCCCAGCCTTAATTTTTTCTAATCTTGCAAGTCTGCCTTTAAACAGTGCAAGAGGTTGGGACAAAATAACTGTTTTTGCTGTCTTTCCTTCTCTAGATTCACTTCAGACATTTTGACTTTACTTTAAAGCAAATATTAAGGCCAGTTTTGAAGAGAGAGGAAAATTGCCAAACACTACTATCCAGAGTTGTGTAAGGGAGGATGGGGGTTGGACTCATGAGCCTCACTCTGTGTTATAGCACCAGCTGGTGGAGCCAGTGCCTTCTCTCCTGTGGCTCCCTGCCTGAATCACTGCCCAGCTGCCAGTCTACTCCGTTTTTTGTTTTCCCTAAGCGGCCCGTCCATCCTCCTCATCCAGATCTGCCAGCCCTGGTCCATCAGTGCAGACTGTAAGTTGGAATGTCATAATCATGTAACACAACTGCTTGAGGTCCAGAGTGGGGAGGTGAACCATTCAAGGTCACATGGCAGTTTCCACAACTCCCCCTGGCCCCCCCACTGCCATTTAGGTTGGGCTTACTCGATGGCAAACATTTTGGGTTGGTCTGTGCCTGGGTTTCAGTCTCAGAGGGGCCACAAATTCTCTTTCTACCCAGAGCTGGGGTGTACTAGAGGCCTGACAAAGGACACAGCAGGATGGAATCTGAGGACACCACAGGCCTGCAATGTGGGTGAGCCATCCTGGCTGCTCTTCATGACTTCAACCAGTTTCAAGCTGGCAGAGTTCTTTTCAGAAAAAGCCCTAAGAGGGGAGGGTCCCTTTATTGCCAAGATTCTTCTGTTCTTCCCCTGACAAGTGACTGGCCCCACTCCCAGCTGCCAACCTTGCCCAAATTTCCCATTCTGGTGACTGGCTGGGAGCTATCAGAGGGAAAGAAGGTGCATTTGAGTCATGTGCTCACAGCAGCTGTTGCCTTTTCCTATTCAGATCTTTCCCAGTTCTGAAGTTGAAAGTTTTAAAACAATTGGGAACATAGGTACTGCTCGGTTCCCAAGAGGTAGGCACCTTGTGCTCTGGAGAGAAGGCCCAGTGGTCTTTTGCCTTCATCTGAAGCTGCCTTCTTTTCCAGGGTGCTAATGATGCCTAGGTCTTGGTTGTGCTAAGAAAGGGAGGCACACATTTTCTTCCTTGCAAAGTTCCTGGAGTGACCTATTCTCTGGGCTTCAGGCCCTTGTTGATTATGACTAGTTTTGCCTAAAGATTTGTTCAGTTAATGAACTTGTGGCTGTTACGTGTAAATGGGTGTCCTATGCTGTTGTTACCTGACTAAAGAATTTGGTGATTACTTTTTTGTGCTTAGTAAGTCAAAAGTCAGACTTCCTACACCCTTTCATTTATTTAAGGGAGCTCTAGCTTTGAATTGTAAGAGACAGACTGGTCTGGTCACTCTCAGGTTTATTTTTTGCAGTGACTAAATCTGAAATTTCATTCTTCCTTTTCCTTACTTTCTTTATATGAAAGCCAACTAATGGATTGTGGTCAAAAGATCAAACTAATTGACCATCAGAAAGTGAAATTCAACATCTGCTTTCTTTTTGTAGAACAATATAGCTAAATATAAGGGGATGCTCTGTATATAATTTTAATCTTAAAAATCATGTTCAGGTATAAATATATTATGTAATAGCAAGTAAGAACCTGGCTTTAAATATAAATCTTTCAAAATGCAAATTGAGTTGTCAAGTTCTCATGCCTTTTAGTTAATATACTCACTACTCCCATTTCTGGAAATCTGTGGTTCTGAAATTCTCATAGATCCTAGACTCTTAATGTTTGAGAAAAACACCATCATTGTACTTCTATACCCCACTCCTTTCAGCCTCAGAATAAAAATACAGTGCTGGAGAAGAATTTGTTAATACTTATTAAGTATTCAGTAATGTTACTGTTCTGTTCCAGAAGTTTATTAGCATTTAAAGCACTGCACTTGAAATATCTTTACACCTAGTGATCATTAAAGCATAATGAACTAAGTACCAAGGGACCTCTTAATGGTGTTGGTATTGAAGAATAATATTCCCTATAAGAGCTGAAAGGTACCTGCCTTTGAGTGACACTAACCACTGTGCAAACTTAGGACACATCTCTGTGTGTAGAAGAACTGGTCCCCTACAAACCTCTATCAGGCTGTAGGTACTATTTTTACTTAATCATTATTCAAGGCCAGGATGTGTGGCTTATACACATTTTAATTATTATTATATGACAAGATGATGGGGAACTGGATAAACACAGCCATATAAGACTACTTAGTTTTTTGCCCTGCCTACTTACACCCTAAGTATTCAGAATGTTTATACACACACACACACCGCCCCCCCCCCCCCACACACACACACACACACAGGTCATGTCAAATGAAAAGTCAAAAGAAAGCAGGTCGTTTCAATATTTTTTATTTGAGTGTGAAACCATTCATATCTTGCACAACTGTACAGATAAAACTATTTCCATTTTAGCTGTAGACACAATTATCACACTGAGTGGTGTGATCAAAGATTTTATTTACAGAACAGTTGCTGAAACATCCGATGTCATATTTCCATTTATTTCTTACCCATAGGGTAATAGGTCCACCATAATTGCTTGGTGCATTTTATAATACAGAAAGAAAACCTATATTAATCTCTAACAAACCTCACAAATTACTACAAATCTGACAGAAAAATGCCTACAAAAAATTCTCCAAAAGTACAATACATTTTTATTTCCACACATACACAGTATAGTATAGGCTCAAAGGCACAGCTTTGAATTTTTTTCTATCAAAGTGTCGGATATTATTATAGTTTTATGAAGGAACCGTGAAAGTCACTTTCACACTTGGTGCTTGGTAAGTTAAAGTTTGTTCCATCCAGTTTCACAAAGTTAACACAGCAGAGCTGAGTGTGATACTCAATGCCATAAATCCACATTCTCATAGAACTTAAAAAAAAAACAAAAACCCTCTCCTGCCTTTTGCTGACACTAGCCATTGTGCAAACTTAAGACAAATCCTTGTATGTAGAAGAACCAGTCTCCTACAAACCTCAATCAACTTAAGGCAATACAGAACAGACCTCTTCCTTCCCTCAAGACAGTGCTTACATTCCAAGACAATGCAGGTACTGTGACAGATGTGGGTATGACAGAAAATCTAGAGTTTCCAGATAGCTCCCCATTTAGCCCTGGTGCTCCAGGAAATAGGGATGGTACCACCAGGAAGAAGGGATGTGCAGAACACGTCTGAGGGCTGTTCCTTGTACAGTACAATGACAAGACAGATGGCAAGGTGAATGCTCTTGGTAAATTATGTGCCCATCCAAGAACACAAACCAGATTCTGTCTCCAGTATCCATCCTTCAAGACTAAAGAGATTTTGTCAACAGGAAAATCAGTAGCTTACTAGAAGTGGTTGCCAACACAAAGCAAAGTCATGGAACAGAGGGAAAAGGCACAGAATGGCCTGCCCGAGATAGTGCTCTACAGAAACAGTCAAGTCTGGCTTGGCTACAGAAACCCAGTCCCACTGACTTTTAGTAAGTCCTGTTTCTGAACTAAAGTTTATTCATCCCACATTGATCCCATCCTCATGTTCATTAGGAAAATGGGCACTTAGGAATAGCCCATGAGTTACAATGTATAGAGATAAAGTCTTCTGGGGGATGGGTGTTGGGTTTATTATTATTATTAATTATTATTATTAATATTAAATATGGATGCCTATGATAGCAGTCATTTAGCCCATCCTGTAGAGGCCTCTCCGTTGATGTAAGCAAAGCCAGGAAAGTGTTGCATGTGCTCATATTCAGAATTCCTGCGCGTTGTCAGAGGTGTATACATGTCACTAGAGTTTCCGTACCTCGCAGAATGCACAGACGGGCTTGTGTAGCACGTGTTGGCTGAGGGCACCTCTGGCCAGCGGGGAGTGACTGGGGTAGGATGCAGTCTGGGAGTACTGCTCATCAAACAAGGTTCCATCCGGGAAGTGGGGCTATTAAAAGGGTACTTGTTGAGGGGAAAGAAATTCCACAAAGTTAAAATTAGCTTGAGGTTGCATATACACAATATCAGTCATGTTTATAGTTTAAGTTAAATTTCTTAAGATGCTATTAATGAGAGTTGATGGAGAAGAATCACTGAACTTCTACAAGACTGAATATTGGTCTTAGGGAAGTCAACAGGAGAAATGCAAAAGATTTCATAGCCTGAGTTGGGCTGGTGTTTACTCATGCGGTTATACTGGCTTTCTGTTCCTAATCTACAATATCTTGGGAAGTCAAACCCAAAATGAGAAACAGCCACACCAGGAATACAGGAAAGTGTGTGTTTGTCACACACACACATACACTAGTAACTGCATGTCCAGATAAATAAATATGGATGTACAGATGGATGGTAGTGAGTTTTATCATTAGTTATGGAGATGTGATAGGTCCTAGTCTGTCAACCCAAGAGCATAACACTGCCAAGTAAAATACAATGATGTTATTAAAAATAACATTTTACAGTTGAATTCAATTATAAACTTCAGCCTAAAAGCAGGCTTTTGAAGAGGAAGCAAGTCAACAATTTCGAAGGTTATTATTAGTGCCTATCATTTAGAGAACATTTTTCTTTTTGGCTCACATTCACTGAACTCCTGGAAGATACATGAATAGGAATTGGGCTTGGTGTGAATGTGGAGGAAGGAGTCAAGAGAAACCAGTTGAGAGGGGCGGGGAGGGGAGCTTTTGTGCAGGTCAGAGGAACAGGTGTTAGTAGCTACAAGAAGAGGGGAAGTAGTTCTAGAAAGGATTAGGAGTAAGAGAAGTGCTTCTGAAGTGCTTCTTCTTTTACATTCTTTTCTGTTACCAAGACAGCTATGCAAATAAGCCCGTTAGTAGGATCAGAGGGGAGGAAGGGGAGGAGCTATGGGCTTCCTTTGAAAGCTCCCAGTCTGCAGGCCAGTCAGCACAAAGATTTCTTTGCTGTGCTGAGGGCTACACCAACAAGGACAGGAGCCAATCAACAAGGATGGCCAGAGCAGCGAGGAGGAGAGAGACTGTGTGAATGTATGAATTCTTCTGCTCCCCATCTGTCTTCCCTGACAGTTGGAAAGTGGAGGCCCAGGGGATTAGGTGGGAGGCTGCCTCCTGTGAGGGAGACAGACAGGCTGAAGCCTAGACAGCAGGGAGAAGGGGTTATGACAACAATGGCTGCTCCCTGGAGTCTAGGTGGCTACAGGGAACTGCTCTTCCTCTGTGAGTGAGAGCCTAAGGGGAGCTGGGGAAGGCGCTTAGGCCGGAAGCATGCAAAGAGAACCAGCAATTCAGAGGTCAAGAAAGAGGGATCCCAATTTGAGTAGGGAGGGATTTTTCCCCCTACATAGGATGGCATGCCTTACATAGCAAAAGTACAGCCACTTCAGAACCAAAAGAACAGTTAGGAAAGAGGGAGAAGGGCGTAGGTGGTGTCTGGGAACTCAAGGGAGAAGGCACCAAGGGCTGTTGCCAAGGAGACTATGGACAGCACGCCAAGGCTTTCCTAATCCCAAATCAGATCAGAAACACTGGCGCATACCCCTGTGCTCTGCGTCATGGGAACCTACAGGATGCTGTTTGTGTGGCAGCAGTGGTGGACCCTCAGGCCTGCACAGTGGGATTCTAGCACAGGAACCTCTCTAAATCCCAGTGAGACCATAGTAAGATTGGGCCCTGTCCCAAAAAACAAGATCCCAGGTGTATTAAACAGATAACATTAGGAACTATTACTACAAAACAATCCTTACTTTTTCAAAAAGGTTGCTTGCCCCACCTGGTCTTCTCTCAAGTCAACTCCTGGGTATCACCTCACCTCCTGGTGCTCTCCCTGGCACAGAGGCCTCCCTTCTGGTCCCATGGCATGTCAAGCTGGTTCCCATCTCAGGGAACTCTGTCCTACCTGTGTTCCTTGTACCTAGAACCTTCTCTACCACCCCTACCCCTGGCTCCTGCCATGCCTGCCCTTTTGTCATTCTTTAGATCTCAGCTTAAATGTCACCTCCTCGGAGAGACTTTTCTGGAATCTTATCTCAAGAACCTAAACACCCCAGCCTGTGCCTCTCGGGCCGGGGCCTTACCATCCTGCCTGGCAGCTAGCTAGGTCTTTCTTTTGGCTTATATTCATATGCTCCTGATGGGGCTTTGCTGTGTTCAACACCATGTTCCCAACATCTGGCATGGTGCCTAGCACCTAGCAGGTGCTAAATAATAGTTGGCAAATGAACATTGGGACGTTACTACTAGAAAGAATTTTAGGGATCCTGTGATCCAACCCCATGTTGTACAGATGAGAAAGCCAGGCCCCATGAGATCAAGTGTCCTGCCCAAAGTCACACAGCAAGCTAGTGGAAGAGCTGGCATAGAAACCCAGTTGGGGAGCACGCTTTCCTCACATTGATATGACCGTCCCAAAGGAGGCTGACCTGCCACTGCCAAGTTACCCAGGAGCAGGAGAGCACTCCCTTTTTGGAGGCCAGCCCATTAGACTTTAATCCCTCTGCTCCTCTTCCTTCACTAAGCTGCCTCTTCCCCGACAGAGCTCTGGGGCCTTAGAATTCTCACCTGGCCTCAGCTTGCTGGTTCTGACAGAGTCCCCCTTGCCTTGGCTCATGTAGGTAAAATGTCACAGAATGGACTTGGGCTCTTTTCCACAGAACCCGAGAGAGTGTGGCTTTTTTGCCTAGTCAAGGACCCTCGACACAGCTGTGCTCAGAAGTTGTGTCATAGACTGAAAAGAGTAATTGCCTGGAAACAAGACTGGCTGAAAATATCTCTAATGTGACAATAAAATTCTGTTACCACAGAATCCAGCATGGAAAATTCTGTCCCGTTAGGTCAGCTAATTGCAAATGAGTCAGTGACTCGTTTTCCCTGTAGTGAAGAGACCATTGAAAGACCAGTTAGCTGAAGTGCTCACTGCCTTGGCCTGGTCATTAACATGACCAATGAAGCTTCTATTTAGTCTGGTGGGAGTGGCAGAGGCTGGCCCGTGGCACCCGCCTCACCTCTCACACTTTACATCCGGTTTCATACAGGGTCCTTAAGCATGCTGGGCACAAATTCCAGGGTCCAGAGATCTCTGTCTGGAATAAGGCACCTTTTGTTGAGGGCCCATAACAGCAAGTTACCATTCTTTGGATCAAATCATATGCTGTTGCTACTGATTTTAAAAAGGACATAAGTCACCAGTTTACCATCCCTTGAAAGGAGTGTATGAGAGGTGCCTGTGTGCACATGTGTGTGCCTGCACACACAGTCCAACGTTCATCAGATGCCTATGGCAAAAGCCCATCTCAGCTGTGACTGACTCTTGCTCTCTTTGGAACCATATTAGGAAGATCTATTTTGAGAAATGACTCTCCACACCAAGGGCTGACTTTCCTACACATGGAGAGGGAAGAAAGAGCCCTTTATTCCTGACCCCTTACCAAATGAGCTGCTACTTGAACAAGGGGTGAAAGGTGGCCCAGTCAGGAGCACAAACTGTTTTCCTATGAAAGGCGGCTCTCACTGCACCAAAGTACTGCCAGAGGGCTCACCCCTAGCCTCTTAGCTTCTTCTGGAGAAGGATGTAGCTCCCAAAAAATCTTTGTCAGACAGTCCACATCTGCTGAGCTTTTTTTTTTTTTTTTTTTGAGACAGGGTCTTGCCCTGTCACCCAGGCTGGAGTGCAGTGGGGTGATTTCAGCTCACTCCAACCTGTGCCTCCCAGGCTTAAGTGATCCTCCCACCTGAGCCTCTCAAGTAGCTGGGACTACAGGTATGTGCCACCACTCCCAGATAATTTTTAAATTTTTTGTAGAGGTGAGGTCTCACTACATTGCCCAGGCTGATCTCAAACTTCTGGGCTCAAACGGTCATCCCACTGGAACTCCTGGGCTTCCAGCCTCCCCAAGTGTTGGGATTACAAGTGTGAGCCACCATCCCTCTGCTGCTGAGCCTTTAGAGTCAGGATTAGTTAAGTTATTACATGTGAAACACTTAGAACTCCTATGTAGTAAGTTTTCAAAAAGTGTTAGCTGTTATTAATGTTCTTTTTAGAATCACAGGGTCATGGTCCATTAATGATAGGAAGAGCCTTAGTGACTGACCATCTGGTTCTACCTCTGGGTTTACAGATGAAATAATTAAGGTCAAGAGAAGGGAAATGATCTACTGCAGTCACACAGCAACTTAGTACCAGAGTAAGAATCCAGTCATTCATTCATTTCATTGACAAGTATTTACTGAGCACTCACTGAGGGCCAAGTTCGGTGCTAGGCCATGGGAATATAATGGGGAGAGAAAAAGGACTTGGTCCTGGCTTTCACAGAGCTAGTACAGTGAGGGAGACAGATCTTAATTATAAAATTACCCTAAATATAATATTATAACTATGGTGTTACAAAGGATAATAATAAAATGTGTTAACTATGAGCCAGGCCCTGTTCCGACCTTTATTAACTCACTTGACCCTCACTGCAACCCTGTAAAATAGATACCATAATTATCCTCATTTTTCAGATGAGAAAATTGAGGCACAGGGCTAATTGGAGGCAAAGCTGGGATTTGAACCCAGGGAGCCTGGCTCTACAGTCAGAGATCTTACAACACTATCATTGATTAATTTTTTTTTTTTCTTTTTGGCCCAAGACACCAACCCAAAGTACAGTGCCCTAAGCAAACTTTGTAGCACCCAATGGTCCTGGGTTGGTTTGAGCCAGGCTGCTGAAGATTCTGTGAGAGGGGGTGATTAGCTGATAAGGCTGGGCCTCTGCCTTTCAGATGAGAAATAAGGGACAGCTTTCCAGTCTAAGTGTGATCAAATGGCTTTTGAGCTCAAGGTCCCCAGTTCCACTATGGCTGCTTGACAGGGTAGAGGTTCTATGAACATGTATTGAATGAGGCTCAGAAAGATTTTGTAGCTATGTACTTGGTCTGGTTTATTTTCTCCTTTTGGTTGGGCCTGGGAATGGGGAACCTGGAAAGAGGCAGCTTACTTTGATGTGAACAAGTGCAGCACAGTTGCAATGTTTTTCCAAAATAATTCAAACCTCACGCTGTGAAACCTCATTCATCTGGACTCACTAAGTCAAAAGTTACAAGAATCTAAGCAGGGCTGGGAGGTTTACCTTTGTAGTACCCAGGAAGAAAGTATATATTGTGCAAATAAGTAGTGTAAACAAGGGCATACACATATTCTATTTTGAAAACAAATGACTTAAAATTATTTTGAGCATATAAATGCTGGGAAACCTACAATTACTGCACTTCATAGATGTATCAGCCCTCTAAGGCAAATCTAGCTGGCATTTATTTGCAGTAGTTTCAGTTACTTTTGTGCTGATGACCAATTGCATTTCTCCAACCATATTGTATACTTGGAATTTGTCTTCCAATTCAGACTGTCCTTTTCCCTGGTGAGTCTGATGTAGTGAAGTGTGATATTCAGTTACTCAGAATTGGAACAGCTTGACCCCTGCTCTGGAAAGCTAAAACTAATTAGCCCTGCAGTGGATTTTCTCTATGCTGAACCTTAAACCAAAGAACCAATAAACGTAAGAAATAAGGTTATCTTGGGGTGTGTGCTTCTCTTTGGCAACTTGAAACTTACTGAGAATAGCAGCAGTAACCTCTTGAATTCACCTTCCACTCTCCGAAACAGTAGTATTAAGTACCACTGGTTTAGCATTGGGTTTGAGAGCTGGAGGATTTGCATTTGAGTCTGCTTTGTCCCTTACTGGATGCATGACCTGGGGCACATTACCTTCTGAGGCAGTCTACTTATCTTTAAAAACTGAGGGAAAAGTCTAGGTGTGGTGGTTCACGCCTGTAACCCTAGCACTTTGGGAGGCCAAGGCAGGAGGATCACTGGAGCCCAGGAGTTCGAGACATGTCTGGTCAACATGGCGAGACTTTGTCTCTACAAAAACACAAAAATCAGCTGGGCTTGGTGGCATGTGCCTATAGTCCCAGGTACTTGGGAGGCTGAGGTGGGAGGATCACTTGAGCCCAGGAGGTAGAGGTTGCAGTGAGCCAAGATTGCGCAGCTGCACTCCAGCCTGGGTGACAGAGTGAGATCCTGTCTCCAAAAATGCTTTCTTCCCAGGGTTGTTAGGGCAATTAAGTGAGTCTGTATATTTAAATATGCCTAGAACAGTGCTCTGAATAAATGTTAATGAAAAACAAAACAAAGGATACTTTGTCTTTAGACAGTACCTTCCCCCAGAGAGTATATTTTGAACACTGACCTCACTCATCAACCTGGGTAGAGACTGATATAATTAATTTCTTCCCACCCCATTTTACAGATGGAGACTAAGGCATAAACCATGAAGTGTGGAGTGTGTGTATATTGAGGGGAGTGTCAGAGGCACTCGTCTAAGAGTCACAAGGCATGGTGGCGAAGAGCCTGGCCTAGGACCCTTTGGACTCTCACACCTTGTCTGGATTAAAAGGGCCCTTCCATGGGCTTTCACTTGTCCTTGGGCCATTCTATTAAGACCAGATATTAAATGGCAGTGTTCCAGTTGGGGACTGTTGTGGCTTCCAGAGCAGGACCTCATAGGCCTTGAGGAGACCTTGGCTTCTTTTTATGGCAATGGCTTTAAAAATATCACCCCAGAAAACCAGCTCCTGCCATTTCATGAGGGGGAATGAGGAAGTGAAGAAGGAGGGAAGACAATGCCCAGAACTATGGCTTGATGATGCTGTCTCCCACTGGAGCATAAGCTCTACCAAAGCAGGCATGCTCTGTCTCCTTCTCACTGTACTCCCAGTGGCTAGTGCAGTGCTTGCACATAGTTACCCAGGAGCCATTTGAGAAATAAATTAATGAATGAATGAGATGCTTGGAGTGTGCGGAGTGATCTAGGCTGTTGCAGCCGTTCTCAGTCATGCAGTGGATCACAGTGAGGAGCACAGAGTGCTCCCAAGAGACGGAGCTCCTAAGGAGCTGGCATCTCTGTGTGACGCAGTTGGAGACCTATAATGAATGCCCCAGGTGATGATTTATTGGAATCAACTTCTTGGCTTGTCTGGGGATTAAACCAGGGCTCCCCTTGGTACTGCAGATGGAAATCAAAACAAACACCTGTTTGCCCAGAATGCCCATGTGTTGTGGATACGTTCTCCTTGGTGTCCTCCCTCAGAGACAAGTCTTTGTGCTAACAGCTGATGTAATTACAGCCTCCATGCTAGCGTCAGTCCTGCCATCTCATTCCTAAACTTCTGCAAGTGCTTTGGAGCAGAGCCCCCTGCCTCCACCAGTCCCCCTTGGTTCATTTTGTGGGGGCCCTGAGAGCTCTCTTTCTTAATCATAGCTCTGATCTTACCACTCCGTAGCTTCCTGTGCCTGCAGAATAGAGTGAGCGTGCTCAGCACACCATACTATTGTTCATGCTGACGCCACCTCCCATGTACTCATCTGCTCAGTGTACACTTAGTGAATGCCTGCATCTGAGAGGCGGCAGGGGGTGGTGCCTGAGAGCTTGGACAGGAGTCACAGCGCCTGGGTTCAACCCCTCAGGCAGGTTACTGTGAGTCTCACTTCCTCTTCTGCAGGGGTTATCTAAGGGATGTGGAGAGTGCTCAGCGCAGAGCCTGGCATACAACACGTGTTCAGGAGAAGGTAGCTCCTCTTTCTGATAGGTGCCAAGTGCTGTGACCTGAGGATACTGGACTTCATCTTTGCCTTCAGGGAGCTTAGGGTCTCCGTGCGCGTCAGACAGGAAAGTTGGTGATGATAACAGGGTGTGAGAAATGCTACTGAGAGAGGAAACCCAGGGAGTGGCACCTAATAAGGTCCTGGAGGACTCAAGGTGGTACTTTCAGGAATGCCACAAAGACGGCAATATGATTGCCATGAATGCCCATCATGAATGCCCAGCCGAAGAGACTGGGGAAGAGACACCCAGCCAGAGGGAACAATTTCTGCAAAGACATGGAGGAACTCGGCACATCCAAGACAACCACATGTGGGCTGGCATGGCTGCGGGGAGGGAGGGAGTTTGTGAGTAGGCCAGAAAGGTAACCAGTCTTAAGAGACATACTAAAGAATTGAACTTGTCCTGGAAAGCAATGATGTGCCAAAGACAGGGAAAGTGTCACGGTCAGTTGGGTTTTTTTCCGAAAGCCTCCTCTAGCAGCAGTGTAGGGGGTGGACCAGAGATGGGGCACATTTTAGAGGCATAGAGACCACCAGGAAGGCTTCTGTCTTCATCTAAGCTGGATATGATAAAGGCCTGAGCTGAGACGAGCACAGAGGGCATACAGAGATACTTAGGATGCAGAGTGGAACTGGCCACCAGTCGGATCAGAGCCAAGGCACAGGGAAGTGTTAGACAGGTAGAGTGTCCAGCGGTGGTTTCCCAAATGCAGCCAAGTGCAATGGCCTGTCTATTCCCCACAGGCCACAGAGGGCTGATTTGGCTTATTAGACAGTGAGGAGCCCAAGGAGATGTAGGGCCTGAGAGTGATTTGAAAAGGGATCCATTTCAGGAGGATTCTTCGGCTTAAGATTACCTGTGCGGGCTGGATGAAAAGAGCAGACACGGGACACCCCAAGGCCAGTTAAAATGATGTTGAGAGACCAGTCCTGACAAGACTCCATGAGGGTCTGCACCAGGAGAGTGGTGATGGGAAAGGAGACCCAAGGCCCAGGGTGAGGGTAGCTGCCCGAAAAAGGGCAGCAGACATGCAGCCAATTAGATCTTGGCATGAAGAGGTCAAAGAGGGGATAGAATGAAAAAAAAAACTGTTTAGCGACCAGGTGTGTGAGAGCAAATGGAGCATGAACACTGGCCGAGCACCCACTGTGGGCCAGCCATTGGAGGCCAGAAATGACACTGATGAAAAGACTGTCCTACAGTAACCAAAACAGCATGGTACTGGTACCAAAACAGAGATATAGATCAATGGAACAGAACAGAGCCCTCAGAAATAACGCCGCATATCTACAACTATCTGATCTTTGACAAACCTGAGAAAAACAAGCAATGGGGAAAGGATTCCCTATTTAATAAATGGTGCTGGGAAAACTGGCTAGCCATATGTAGAAAGCTGAAACTGGATCCCTTCCTTACGCCTTATACAAAAATCAATTCAAGATGGATTAAAGACTTAAACGTTAGACCTAAAACCATAAAAACCCTAGAAGAAAACCTAGGCATTACCATTCAGGACATAGGCATGGGCAAGGACTTCATGTCTAAAACACCAAAAGCAATGGCAACAAAAGACAAAATTGACAAATGGGATCTAATTAAACTAAAGAGCTTCTGCACAGCAAAAGAAACTACCATCAGAGTGAACAGGCAACCTACAAAATGGGAGAAAATTTTCGCAACCTTCTCATCTGACAAAGGGCTAATATCCAGAATCTACAATGAACTCAAACAAATTTACAAGAAAAAAACGAACAACCCCATCAAAAAGTGGGCTAAGGACATGAACAGACACTTCTCAAAAGAAGACATTTGTGCAGCCAAAAAACACATGAAAAAATGCTCACCATCACTGGCCATCAGAGAAATGCAAATCAAAACCACAATGAGATACCATCTCACACCAGTTAGAATGGCAATCATTAAAAAGTCAGGAAACAACAGGTGCTGGAGAGGATGTGGAGAAATAGGAACACTTTTACACTGTTGGTGGGACTGTAAACTAGTTCAACCATTGTGGAAGTCAGTGTGGCGATTCCTCAGGGATCTAGAACTAGAGATACCATTTGACCCAGCCATCCCATTACTGGGTATACACCCAAAGGACTATAAATCATGCTGCTATAAAGACACATGCACACGTATGTTTATTGCGGCATTATTCACAATAGCAAAGACTTGGAACCAACCCAAATGTCCAACAATGATAGACTGGATTAAGAAAATGTGGCACATATACACCATGGAATACTATGCAGCCATAAAAAATGATGAGTTCATGTCCTTTGTAGGGACATGGATGAAATTGGAAATCATCATTCTCAGTAAATTATCGCAAGAACAAAAAACCAAACACTGCATGTTCTCACTCATAGGTGGGAATTGAACAATGAGATCACATGGACACAGGAAGGGGAACATCACACTCTGGGGACTGTTGTGGGGTAGGGGGAGGGGGGAGGGATAGCATTGGGAGATATACCTAATGCTAGATGAGGAGTTAGTGGGTGCAGCACACCAGCATGGCACATGTATACGTATGTAACTAACCTGCACAATGTGCACATGTACCCTAAAACTTAAAGTATAATAATAAAAATAAATAAATAAATAAATAAAGACTGTCCTCTCCTTGGGGACACACACGCTGCACACACAGTATGCATAACAGTTTATGAACTGTGTTAACCAGATTTGGCACCAAGTATACCAAGGCCTGGCCAAGAAACCAGGACCACTGACTCACCTGTGCAGAGCTCCTGTGGTAAGGGGCATAGTGGAGTGGCCCAGAGATAGCTGTGTCATGAGGGAGGGCCGGATACTGGCTCTGCATGGGGTGAGGATGCTGGTTGCCATAGCTCCCATAGTTATAGCTTCCCGTGTATCTAAAATGCATCAAGCACATTGAATAGTGTGAGTAATAGCAAGAACAGATCAGTTTGACACCTTTTTAAAAACCTCATCTATTTTTTTTCCTTTTTCTTCTTTTTTCTCTTTTCTTTTCTTCCCCCCTTCACCCCCAATCCCATTTTTCTTTCTTTCATCTGTTTTTTTTTTTTTTTTGAGTCAGGGTCTCATTCTGTTGCCCAGGCTGGAGTGCAGTGGCATGATCTTGGCTCACTGCAACCTCCGCCTCCTGGGTTCAAATGATTCTCCTGCCTCAGCCTCCTGAGTAGCTGAGATTACAGGCATGTGCCACCATGCCCGGCTAATTTTTATATTTTTAATAGAGATGGGGTTTCACCATGTTGGCCAGGCTGGTCTCAAATTCCTGACATCAGGTGATCCACCCACCTTGGCCTCCCCAAATGCTGGGATTACAGGCATGAGCTACCGTGTCCGGCCTCTTCTTTTTGATTCTTACCATTTCCACTCTTGTGGCCTTGTTATGGTTAACTTAAAACCCCAGGTTGATTTTCCTTCTCCCTCAACACCTAGAAGATACCTCCCTTACCCCCCAGCCAGCGTTCAGGGATGAAATCTAGCCCTGAGCCAAACATCATTAGTGATGGAAACCTCTACTCCTGCTGTGTTTAAAACCCCTGTTGTATCCTGAAATCAAATAGGGATAACAAAAAACAAACCACTGTGAGATTTATGTTTTTGTATCACTCAGGCCTCTGCTTCCACATCATGGGGAAGGATGTAGTGGGTTTCTGTAAGCTGTCTCCTGGGGGGAGAGCACCATGGCGTGTTCAAACAGGCATCAAAGACCCTGGTTCTAAATCAGGCTCCACGACTTTCTAGCTGTGTGACTTTCATGACCCTGTTTCTCACATCCATAAAAATGCTGCGCACGGTCATTCTGAGGATCGTATGTGTGAACACACTCCATAAACCAGAAAGTCCTGTGTAGACATAGCCTATTATTATCACTGTTCTTCTTAGTAAAATATTTATGGTAAAGATGCTGACCTATGACCATGTGAGTATTTTTTCTGCTATTTCTGCTGAATCAAAAATCTCTCTGAAACAGAGTTTTCAGAGTCTATTCTAAATGTGTGGAAATACTCTCAAAGGCCCCCTGAGAAAATAATGGTTGCCCGATTGACTGCTCAGGGGCACTTGAACCTATGGAAAAGTACACCAACATCCAGGCCTGTGCCCACTGTCAGGTCACCGCCGTGCTGCATTATGCTGGGCCAACTGTGGAAGGGACCTGAGAAATCCTCCCCCTCCTCCTCCCATGTCCCCCACAACTGGTCTGTTGGAACCTGGCCTGTGAGTGGTGAGGCCCACTGCACCACATGGTAGGAGCTCTCTTTTTTTTTTTTTTTTTTTTGAGTTGGAGTATATCGCTCTATTCTCCAGGCTGGAATGCAGTGGCGCGATCTCAGCTTACTGCAACCTCCGCCTCCTGGGTTCATGCAATTCTCCTGCCTCAGTCTCCTGAGTAGCTGGGGCTACAGGCACCCACCATGCCCAGCTAATTTTTCTTTTCTTTTTTTTTTTTTTTGAGATGAAGTCTCCCTCTGTCGCCAGGCTGGAGTGCAGTGGCACAATCTCAGCTCACTGCAGCCTCCACCTCCTGGGTTCAAGCAATTCTCCTGCCGCAGCCTCACGAGTAGCTGGGACTACAGGCGCGTGCCACTACGTCTAGCTAATTTTTGTATTTTTAGTAGAGACGGGGTTTCACCATGTTCGCCAGGATGATTTCGATCTCCTGACCTCGTGATCCACCCCGCCTTGGCCTCCCAAAGTGCTGGGATTACAGGTGTGAGCCACTGCGCCCAGCCCATTTTTGTATTTTTAGTAGGGAGATGGGGTTTCATCATGTTAGCCAGGCTGGTCTCGAACTCCTGACCACAAGTGATCCACCCACCTCGGCCTTCCAAAGTGCTGGGATTACAGGTGTGAGCCACTGTGCCCGGTCAGGATCTCTTGTTAATATCATAAGTGCTTTTCAGATCACTGCTCATTAGACATTGTAAGGTTAGTGTCTTTTGATAAAGACAGTGCATAATGGCAAAGAGCTATGAGGATTCAAGTAACACTTTTGTATGGATTTGTAGTTCATTCATCACAGCAACATCACTCCACGTATTTGAAAAAGAAAAAAATATGGGCAAAACAAATGATGCATTTTTCCAGGGCATAAAACACCGCTAGAACCTATGGGAAATCCCCTGAACCTCATGAATAACTGCAGCCTAAAGGGACCTCCAGCCCTCAGGTGGGGAAGCCCTTCTCTAAATGGAATCATAAAAGACTTGAACCTAAGATGAAGCTCTGTAATTCTGCGAAGTGTACAAAGAGCCACCCAGGGGAACTGCTGAAAGGGGTTTTCAGCTGAGGCGTTAAAGGAGTAAAGAGGGAGGAACACAGGCTTTGGAGTCAGACATTTGCTCAGTTTAGGCCCTACCATGTGCCAGCTGTGTGACCTTGGGGAATGGAAGATAACCAAACAAGTTTCAATTTCCTCATCTAAAATGGGGTCACTAACACCTTCTTACCTACCTACCTACCCTGGTTGTTGTGGGGATTACACAATACAGTGCTCAGGATATTGTGGGAACTCAGCAAAGGGTAGCACCCTTCCTGTTCTTTGAGAAAATAGCTGCTAAGGAAACCCCTCTTTAGATCTTTTTTCTTTTTCTTTTTTTTTTTTTTTTAAGACGGCGTCTCGCTCTGTCACCCAGGCTGGAGTTCAGCGGTGCGATCTCAGCTCACTGCAACCTCTGCCTCTCAGGTTCAAGCAATTCTCCCACCTCAGCCTCCCAAGTAGCAGGGATTATCGGTGTAAGCCACTATGCCTGGCTAATTTTTGTATTTTTAGTACAGACAGGGTTTCACCACGTTGGCCAGGCTGGTCTCGAACTCCTGACTTCAAGGCCCACCTTGGCCTCCCAAAGTGCTGGGATTACAGGGTGTGAGCTGCTGTGCCCAGCCTCTTTAGATCAAATTTTAAAAGTCCAGCAGCATCCCTGGAAAGTTACCTACCCATGTTCCTCTCTGTGGGGATAAACTGGTATCCTGTGTGTGACGGAGGAAGAAGGCACATGAGTGTTCCTCATACAGGGCAGCTGTTGGGAGTTCTCAGCTGGGGACCCAGCAGCCGTCGTCACTGTGTATGTTAGAGACCACGTGTAAGACTGCATTGCTCCTGCAGAGACAAATTAAGACGTCTTGATCATTAACAGTTCTCATATCCCTTGTTCTTCCTTACTTTAGTGGCTTCCCTTTGTTCTTAAGTTGAAGGCCAAAATCTTTATAAGACATGTATCTCTGACTCTGCTGAGCTCACCAGAGGCATCCCCCATCCCCTGTCTTTGTTTTGTCTGGTCCAGCCACAGTATCTTTCATTGTCTCCAGAGTACCACAATTCCCAGCAACTCAGGGCCTTTGCACGTGCTGTTTCTGCTGCCTTATTACCCACTCATTCTTCCTCTCACAGTCCAAAAAGCTGTCCTCTTCCTAACCCCAGACTAGGCCAGATCCCTCACTGTACTGTAGGCCTAAGTGGTGCCTACTGCAATTTGTAATCCTACACCCATTAGTGAATGTGATTAGATTAATGGCCCCCTCACTAGACAGAAAGCACCATGAGGGTAGGGGCCTGGCCTATTTTGGCCACCAATGGATTCCCAGTGCTTAGTACAGATCCTGACTGCCAAAACACTCAATAAAAATTTTAGAAGGGAGAAAAGGGAAGGGAAGGATAGGAAGAAAGGAAGGGAGGGCGAGAAGGAAAAGGAAAGCCTGGGGAAATACAGCCCAGATAGGCACTGCAAATTAACTTTTCAGCGCTCAACTCAACAGGTGTTAAGGATCCAACAAATTGCTTTAAGCAAACATAAGTAGATTACTGGGCTCTGCCAGCTCAGGTCTTTTTGAAGATTATTAGACAGTGACCTGGACAGTGACCTATTCCATACAAATTATGAATTCCCTTTGTCTATTTTTTAATTTAATTGGATACCTTGAAAGTGCTAAAGACTGGGGGATAAAAACCTGACAAAATTAAATGCTTAATATTTTATGAGATGGTTAGTTTTTTTTTTGTTTGGAGACAAGCTCTCACTCTGTCACCCACGCTGGAGTGCAATGACATGATCATGGCCCTCACTGCAGCCTTGACCTCCCGGGCTCAAGGGATCCTTCCCCCTTAGCCTCCCAAGTAGTTGGAACTACAGGTATGTACCACCATGCCCAGCTAATTTTTAATTTTTTTTTTTTTTTTTTTTGAGATGGAGTCTCACTCTGTCACCTAGGCTGGAGTGCAGTGGCATAATCTCAGCTCACTGCAACCTCCACCTCCTGGGTTCGAGTGATTCTCCGGCCTCAGCCTCCTGAGTAGCTGGGATTACAGGTGCACACCACCATGCCTGGCTAATATTTGTATTTTTAGTAGAGACAGGGTTTCACCATGTTGGTCAGGCTGGTCTCGAACTCCTAACCTTGTGACCCACCCGCCTTTGCCTCCCAAAGTACTGGGATTACAGGCGTGAGCCACCGCACCTGGCCTTTAAATTTTTTATAGACACAGGGTCTCACTATGTTCCCCAGGCTGGTCTTGAACTCCAGGTCTCAAGTGATCCTCCTACCTCGGCCTTCCAAAGTGCTAGGATTAGAGGCATGAGCCACCGCTCCTGGGCTAGAATTTTTTTTAATGATAATTTGATAAATCATTAATAGCAATACTAAACTCATCAGACAACTTAATTTCTGATAAATTTTAAAATATGTTAGTATGGTGGAAATAATTAAACTTGTTTTAGAAGGCAGAGGTAATGGGATTCAACATCCCCCTTTAGGTACATGGAAAACATGAAAGAATTTAAGGGAGGACATTTTTAAGGTGAAGTAAAAGAGAAAATTTGATCTCCCATTCTGTATTTTCTGCAGCAGACCATTTCTATCTAAAAATTCCTCTGGAAAGATAAAGGAAAGGTTTTCATTTTAAAAATTAGTCCATTCCATCCCAGGGACTTTGCAAATAGCATATGAGAGGAGCTGCATTGATATGGAGTAGTGGGAGGAAGCAGAGTTGGTGGATCAGCGCTGTGCCAGTTATGTGACAGAGACTCGGTAAGGAATACCCTTGAAGAAATGTGGAAATGGTGTCCTATTTTAAATACATTGGCTTATTGTTAAAAGAACCCTTTGGTGAGCCCTTTCATAAATTGAAGAATCTTTTAGAATGCAAATAATGTCCTTTGTTGTAATGAGGTGACAAAGATTTATTCTAAGAGTATGAAAGGAGACACCATTATTGAGCATCTCTTACAGACCATGCACTGTGCTGAGTGCTTGTCACACACCCTTAAAAGAACGTTATCCCCCATTTATAGATGAGGAAACTGATGGTTAAATCCAAAAGAATTTAAGGGAGTGTATAGCAATATAAAAGATTCGAGACAATAAAATGGAAGTGGGAATGAAAGAAGAAAGAAAAGCAGAATTGGAGGCAAAAAATGCAATTCAGAATGAGGTGAAACATGCCGCCCAAATTCTTCCTATATGTGAACTTTAAACTTAGATATGAGTTTTCCAGGAGCCAGTGCTCCTGGAAGCCTGAATAGTTAGGAGCACTAAGACTGACGATCGCTCAGGAGTTTACTGTCCTCCAAATTCAGAGCAAACAGCAATATCTTTAACTATGAACTGTTCAACAATGTCCTCAACACCCTTACAATGGACTTCATCTTGATTCTAAGGACGGTTCCTTTTGTCAACACTAACTGCAGGCTAATGGCATCACACAAAAGTCCAGTTCAAGGAAACTTAGAATGTTAAATAACTTGCGCAAGGTCCCAGAGTGAGTGGGTGGTTCAGTCGGGCTGTGAACCCACACACTTTGTGCCACACACTTTCTACTCTCTACCGTTGTGTCTCTTTGCTCTGGGTTCTGGTTCTGCCAGGTACTAGCTATAAGATCTTGGGCAAGCCTGTTAAACTTTATGAGCTTCTGTTTCATCATCTTTAAAACAGGAGTAATAATATCTATCTTGCAGGACTGTTGTAATATATGTCAGAGAGTTTGGCACGTGGTAGGCTTTTAATGGTATGCAAACACTCTTCATTATGAATTCAGGTATTCTTACATGAGAACTTCTTAAAATAGATATTTCTGTATTTCTCATTTCAGACCCCAGGGAAGAAAGGCAAGTTTCTTGGGTGAGATTCTATTACCAGGGATGAAACATTTGAATAGCAACAGTAATTTAGCCAATTACGGCAAATTTCTAAACATGTTTTTCTATAAAATTACTAGTGTCCTTACTCACCAGCACAGCTGAAAGTACCCCTTCCTGCTTTGCACATCTATTCCATATTCTTCCCCCAAAAGATAATGACTTTAGCAGGCTACATGTTAGGCTTGATTTATAAGTACAAGAAAATGGGAAGGGAAGATCCCCAAAATGATCACAACTCAGATGACTGGATTATGCATAATTGCCCTCCTCTATGTTTTGAACTTCATGTGAAATTATATTACTGTTACAGTTTTTTAAAATGTCATGTTTATTAAAATGGGTTATCATTGAGTGGTGGGATTGAGGAGAGTTTTACAGTGTTTTCCCTTATTTTACTTATCTGTATTTTTCTGTAAAGAATGTGTATTGCCTCCGTAAAAAGAAAAACATTAATACATTAAACAAAGTTTAGAGTTGGAAATGGAAGCAGAAAGGGTGAGAAGTTTGGGAGAACAATGAACCAGCCACAGCAAGCAAGTAATTAACCCTTGAAGCCTCTGGGACCTCAGGCGAGCACAGCGAGGTCAATGGATATTGAAACGGGGCAGCCAAGGAAACCAAAGCATGTTTTTTTCCAAGCAGTGGGAAGAAGTCATGATAATAGCCATCACCTGAGAGAATGCAACAGCAGTTACTTTTGTGTGAGCCCCGGAGCACAGCAACTGTTCCTTATTCATCTCTGTATCCCCAACAGAGGGTGTGCCAAATAGTAGGTGTTCAGTAAATTTTCGTTCCATTGAATTTGTTGTTGAAGGAGTAAATGCTGCTAGAAATAGACGTTATCAAACAAAAAGCTAGTGGAACTCTTGGAAAAATGGGCTCCTGTGGTCTGGGGAACAAAACCCCTAAATGGACATGTGCCAGCAATCTAACACATCCACTCAGGCAGGCTTAAGCAGATTAACACCTACTGGCTTGGGTGAGAAACCCTTTTTGCCTGGGGAGCAGAAAAGAACACCCCTTGAATTCCCTTTCCTACCAGTGAGACCTCCAGTGAGAATTGCTGCTGCTGCTTTTCTAAGGAAGCTAATAAAAGAAAATCTGCGCAGCTTACAGTTTGTGCTTAGTTTTTAAGACAATTCTAATGCTTTTTGTCGGTAAAACAATAGCAAATCTTCCCTATTTGTTCAATTCCCATATTTTTCTCTTATTCCCCCCTCCCCTCCTCACATTTCTATTTATTTAAAGGTCTGAGGATAGCGGTGGAAGCCCCTGATAGTTGAGAATCCTATAAAGATCCCAAGAGGAGCAGTTGTTGGTCACCTTACAGTATTGAAACTGCTACAGGGGAACATTTTCTTCCCCTCCCATCCCCAACAAAACACTCTTCTTCCCCAAGGTTGCTTTGTTTTGGAAGGGGTTTTAAGCACAGGACAGGAAGGGTGCTCGGAATATAATAGACAATCAGTAATGATTTGTCAAATAAATGAATTAATGATCATCCAACATAAACCATATCTCATGCTCATTTCCTTTTATACATTGACCCATTCAGTCTTGACAACAACCTTTTGAGGTAAGTAGTATTACCTCCTTTTTCAGGTGAGAAAATTGAGGCCCAAGAGGTTAAATGACTTGCTCAGGTAAGTGGCAGAGTTGGGATTTCAATGCAGGTCTGCCCAACCCCAAACCCTTTCCATAGCAATGTTTCTTACAGTTGAATGTGTATTTGAATCACTGGAGATCTTGTTAAAAATGCAGATTCTGATTCAGTAGATTGGGAGTGAGGCCCTTATATCAAACTTCTAAATGATGACAATGTGGTTGGTCTGTGAACCACACTTTGAGTAACAAAGCTCTATAACATACTGCCTCCTGTCACACATTCTGTATGTTAAGGGCCATTAAAAATCAGAAGCTGGCGAGGCGCAGTGTCGCATGCCTATAA
The DNA here is from genome assembly GCF_000001405.40 of Homo sapiens. Classification (NCBI taxonomy): domain Eukaryota; kingdom Metazoa; phylum Chordata; class Mammalia; order Primates; family Hominidae; genus Homo; species Homo sapiens. Next base: position 106,742,454 of record NC_000012.12, on the reverse strand, counting down.
TCCCAGCACTTTGGGAGGCTGAGGTGGGCTGATTTCTTGAGCCCAGGAGTTTGAGACCAGCCTAGGCAACATGGTAAAACCCCATTTCTACAGAAAATACAAAAGCTGGGTGTGGTGGTGTGTGCTTGTAGTCCCAGCTACTTGGGAAGCTGAGGCGGGAGGATCACTTGAGCTCAGGAGGTGGAGGCTGCAGTGAGCTGTGCTCACGCCACTACACTCCAGGCTAGGCAACAGAGTGAGACCCTGTTTCAAAAACAACAACAATAACAACAACAACAACAACAAAAACCTGAAGCTTTGAGATTCTGCTACAGACTTCTGAAAATTTAGAGTGCTTCCCAAGCTACCTGGCTGTACCCTTTTTTTTCAGATCTTGGACTGAATCCTTTAACCCAGGGGTCCCCAACCCCAGGGCCAGTACCGGACCGTGGCCTGTTAGGAACTGGGCCGCACAAGAGGTGAGTGGTGGGCAAGCAAGCATTACTGCCTGAGCTCTGCCTCCTATCAGATCAGAAGCAGCATTCGATTGTCATAGGAGTGTGAACCCTATGAACTGCACATGCAAGGGATCTAGGTTGCACACTCCTTATGAGAGTCTATGCCTGATGATCTGAGGTGGAACAGTTTTATCCTGAAACCATCCCCCCCACCTCTTCCCCAGTCTATAGAAAAATTGTCTTCCACAAAACCGGTCCCTGGTGCCATAAAGGTTGGAGACCACTGCTTTAACCTTTTCCTTAGGAGGATTCTGTGAACCATCACAGATATTGCTCAAGTTTTAACCTAACCTACGCCTTTTGTTTGTAAGCTCCTTTAAGTGTGTCAAGATTCTAGAGCTGCTCTGCCCTATCCTATAGCCACTCGTGGCTATTGAAATTTAAATGAATTAAAACTAAATACAATTTAAAATTCAGTTTCTTAATTCCACTAGCCACATTTGAAGTGCTTAATAGCCACAGGTGGCTAATGGCTACTGTTTTGGATAGCTAAGATAGAAAAAATTTCCATCTCATCACAGAAAGTTCTATTTGGACGATGTTGCTTGACAGGATTTGCTACTAAACAAGCATTTCCTGTAATCTTCATGATTGAGACAGGGAAAGAAGACTATATATTGATATTTACCTGTATCTCTAGGTATGTCATTGGCTATCATCTTTTTTTTTGTTTTTTGAGACAGAGTCTCACTCTGTCATGCAGGCTGGAGTGCCAGTGGCGTGATCTTGGCTCACTGCAACCTCCGTCATTGGCTATTATCTATCCTTAAGACAGCTGTGTCTAAAGAGACCTCCTATTGAAGCTAGAAACCTCATCTGTTTGAGTTACACTTTACCAATAGTTCCATGGTCAAAATCTGATTGACAGAACTGACCGGGGCAGCAAATGAATCAGTTCCTTCTTATGTTGCTGCATAATCTAGCCTCTGCCTATCTCTGCAACTTCCTCTCCTGCCACTCTCTTCCTTATTTATTATACACATTTGTCAGTTCCCACTATGCCAAGCTCTTTGCTGCCTGAGGCCTGTGCACATGCTTTTCCCCGTCGCATAGAAAGTTCTTTTTCCCTCCGCAACCTCTATGTAGCTGGCTCCTTGTAAAACTTCAGGTCTCAGATAAATGTCACCTTGTCAGGGAGGCATCTCTGACCACCAACTAAGATGCGTCCCCACTTTATACTTTTTCATAGCACACTATTATTTTCACACATAGCACTTTGACCATTTGAAATTACACCTTTACCTGGCAGTTTACTTCTGTATTGACTCTTACCACTAGAATGTAAGTACCATGCGGGAAGTGACTATTACTCTTTTTCACTTCTGTACTCCCAGGATTTGGTACAAATTAGACACGAAATATATATTTGTTGAATGAATGAACAAATGAATGAATGAGGGAGCCTAAAGTCCCAGCAGCAAGCTAAGATTTGATTTTGTGATCCAAAAAAAAAGAGTCAATTAAACAATCTATTTTCAATCCCAGCTTATTTTTCGTGATTCCATTCCTTTAAAGAAAAGGAAGTAGCAGGGACGAAAGAAGGAGGAATTCACTAGCACTGACAACTCTGAGGTCCTGTAAATGAGTCATCGCAGACTCTGTGGCAGGGCTGAAGTGTCCATCCTATCCCACTCGGTTTAGCTGCCCTCAGAATAACTAGGCTTTTGTTATTTGGAAAGACTAAGGGTCGGTTATCTTTGTTACATCCTCAACTGATGTAGAGAAAATGCAGCTGGGCAGGCCAGATGTTCTACAGTTAGGGCCATTTATGAGGAATTCGCTTTTATTTCATTAAGTATCCTAGTATCTCAATGATTTAATTTGCTGGTTTTGTGTTGCAGGGAACCCATGGTGGGAAGTTGAAAACATGAGTTTAATAGTTAACTTTTATTGTCATTGCTGAAGGAGGGAATACTTAAAATGACATCATAAACGAGGTTTTAGAACCCTTCGGTGGCCCGATGGGACAGAGTAGGAGCTTAACGTTTTGCTTTAGATGCCATTAAAGAATTGCAGCCCAATGTCATGTTAAATAGACTGATCAGTTTGGCACTGCCTGCCATGCTCCCAAGGAGGAAAGGAGCCAGTTTTCCTTAAAGAAAGTTAAGGTTTCTAAACTTTGCCAACTTTGCCAGGTCATGAGGGAGCGTAGCAAGCCTACAAATTTGGGGAGAAAATGGACAGACAGGCTAGATCTTACCTTGTGGAAATCTGTTGGAATGGAATCCTTTAACCAGCCTCTTATCATGACATTGCCGTAAACCCAACCAAAATTGGCCATATATCAGGTTTAATTTTAGGTACCTGAAATTTATTTCATTTCCCTTTCTTTCCCCATTTAAAAAAACAATTAATAAGTACAGTCAATAAAATATATTTAGAAATGTGGACATGGAACTAGACGTAGCTACAGATAAGCAGAGTGACTGTTTTCCTAGTGAGTCATAACTCATTATCTGTACTACCTTGTATTCCCTAGTCCTTGTATCGAAGGATGCCAAAAGGTTATGTGCAATGAATTAATTTTAGCTTTGTGCCACCGAGCACACATAATACTGTTCCTTTTTCACAGCTGAAAAATGGAGAAGTGTCCATCCAAAGTGGGACATTTATTTGTTAAAGAGTCCCAGGTACTTGACTGGCCTTGATTCTCAACAAGTCAAACCTGGTAATATTTACATTGTCTGATCAACGATATGCTGGAAACCCAAAAAAATAACTGGGTCACATAAAATTTCACATATTAATAAGATTTTAATAAATTTTTAAAGCTAACCATTGTTTCATTTAATTTTCCTCACCTTTTCTTTCTTTCTTTCTTTCTTTCTTTCTGGTTTTGGTCCTTTTTACGAAATTGATTTTTCTGTTTTTATTATAAACTACTTCAAAACTTTTTGGAAAGTAGATGGGATATATAAGTCAAGCGATAATTTTAAAATAGAAATAAAAATTAACTGGGCATGAAAACCATGTGCTGAGTTGACTTTTTTAAAAAAAGAAACATGGCAAATACATTTTATAAGATTTACATAATTGTTTTACAATTTACACTATTGTTCAATGAAAATTTAAGAAGCCTACCGTAATAGATTTCCTAATATTTAGGTTTCTAGCATGGGTAAATAGTTTGTGCTTTATAATATAATATGCCTATATAATCATACATGTTGTTAGGAAATTGGGTTTCTTTTCTCCAAGACCATGACCCACATTACATGCCCAGATCCAGTCTAATTTAGCAATGGAGTATTTCAAAAGTGGTACTTGAGAAAAATATCATACATAGTCTTATATAGGATGACATTTTTAATGCCCCATGGAGATATCTGAGAACAAAGCTGGAATGTGCCAAAATCTTCAAAGCTTAAAATCATCTGAAGAGAACCTGTTTCACATTTGTATTTCTAAGAAGCTACGTTTATGGCTCTTGAACACATTGCACAGAAATATCTGAAGCCATTTATGATATTCCTGTGGCCTTGTCTATCACACCTGCCATAACTTGAGGCCTCCACATTGCTTCAAAGAAAGCCAGGCACACTCACTAGCTGGATGAGAACTATGAGAAGATCCTAGACATCTTTCTTTCACACTCTTCCCTCCCATCCCTTATTCCCTTTGAGTCTGTCTCCTTATTTGAAATGTTGCTACACTTTGAGAAACATTTCATCCAAATGGTTTCTGCTTCATAATGCAGAACTGTTTTATTTGTATAATTTCCCTGTTTATTTCAGAAGTTAGGATATTATCACTAGCAGACTCGTGTGTGTCTCCCTGGTGATGACAGGGATATTTGGGCAGGATTATTTGGGTAAATGGCTCTTTCTTTAGGGAGAAAGGAGACTCAGGATGGTTGCCCAATAATCCCAATCTTTGAAGAACTCCTGAGAGCTGCATGAAGAGCTGCGAATGGTACTTAAATTCTCTTCCCTTTTAATGTTCAGTGAACAAAGTCATTCTTTTCACTACACGTACTTTTTCTGAGCCTTCTAAGCAGGAACTACAACAACCCACTATGGAAAGAAAATGGGAGGGAGGTGGGAGCCTGATCACATTCTTCCTCCTCAAAGCAGAAAACAAAATACAGTTTGAGGCGCATCTATATAAACAAATACGGCGATCTCAAATCTAAATTTCCACAGAAGAGGGCTCTCTAGCTGTGTACCCAAAGTGAAATCAAAGCTTGATCTAATGCCATTTATCAACAACCCAGCTTTTCAATACTTTGAAGAATCCAATTTCCTTAGCTGTCCCTGACAGAGGGCCACTGAGTTTATTGACTAGTACACAAGATAGCAAGTCCTTCCAGTTTCTTAAGCATCCGCTCAATCCTTCTCTAAGTAGGTGTAGTTCCATAGAGAGAGGAAACTTTGGGGAAGGAATTAATCAAAAGTCTCTGGGATATATACTTTTAAGTTTCCTAAAAATAACATGCTCTCTCTTGCCTCTACTTGGAATACCTTTTCTCCCCTCTCCTTCATGCTCCCATGATACTCTGACCCTTCTTCCAACCTAGCACTCCTCACACTATATTGTTACTGTCAGTTTGCTCATCAAGAACCTTAACCTCTAAACATAAACTCCCAGGGGGCAGGGACCACACTTCTATTGTTTGCTATTATATCACCACCTATCCGAAAGTGTTTAGCACATAGAAGCCACCTGAGAAATATATTTTGGAGAAATGGATAGATAGGTGAGTAAATGAGTAAATGCTCCTGAATGGAGCAATCTGACCCTATTTATTTGGTCCTCAAAAAAAAAAAAAAAAAAAAAAAAAAAAAAAAAAAAAAAACTTTAGTTCCGAGTCTATTCTGGAAACAGTCCTAAATAGAATTAGGATATAATTAAGTCCATGCTGTGAGGGTCTGGAGGAAGATTCTAACTTGGAGGGTGAGGGAAACATCAAAGGAGGTGAGTAGGATTTTATCAGGCAGAGGGTAGAAGGAGGCTAGCCCAAGAAGAAGGAACAGTGTGAGAAGTGATTAGGAGAAAGAGAGCTCTTTAAGGCTTTTAGAGTGAGGCAGTGGGTTCTTTGCCCCAGCACTTTGAGGAGGCACAGGCTTCATGAAAACGAGACTTAGTGAGTAGTGTGAGAGGACAGAGTAGAGTCTGGAGGCAGGGTACCAGCTTGAGAGTCACTGTGGATGTCCATGAGAGGTGGGGGTGGCCTGAACCAGAGGCACAAGTGGGATGGGAAGGAACAGATCAGTCTAGATTAGTATTAGAACAACTGGACTTGGGAAGTGTGATGGAGAATGCCCGCTGTTGCCCCCAAAGCTGTTCCCCTTTCCCTGCCTGGGTACATGCTATTCTACATTTCCCAGCCTGTCTTGCTGTTACATGAGGCCATGTGATTAAGTCCTCGCTGATGGAATATAAGTGGAAGTGACGTGTGCCACCTTCAGGCCAGGGCTTTTAAGAGAGTCGGTTTTCATCCTCCGTGCCCTTTTTCCATTTCTGCCAGCTGGTTGCAGACTTAACAAAGCCCTCAGGCAGTGGTCCTTAACCTAGTGAGCATCAAAATCACCTGGAAGTTTGCTGAACAAGATTCCTGGGCTCTGCTCCTAGAGTTTCTGATTCATTGGGTCTGCAGCAGGACCAGATAAGAGCATTTCTAATAAGTTTCCAAGAGATACTGATACTGCTGGTCTGTGGATCAGTTTGGGAAATACTGCCCTGGGCTATGTGGGAGCTTAATATTGAAGGAGCACGTGTTTCCAAATGACTGCATTACAGAGAGCCTCCTTTATGACTGAATACCCTAGCAGTACTGTCTTCAAGCATGAAATAGATTTCTGTTGTGTTAACTCCACCCGTGTTTGGATCTATTTGTCACACCAGCTTAGCCTACCCTAACTAATACAGGAGTTGAGGGAGAGGAAAGATTTGAAGCTGACTCCCGTATTTGTTGCCTGGGTAACAGGAGGGTAGTAGAGCAGGTTTGGATGGAAAGGTAATGAATTAATTATCATAGCCTGACCAAGCCCTCCACTCCATAAAGCCTGGAATCTTTGTGAGGTCTTCCCTGATACTTCCAGCCACATAGAATCTCTCCTTCCTTGGGAACCTCATAGCATTAGTTTATATCTCACTTATTGCATATACCACATTCTTCCTTCCATAACACTTGTCTCTGTACTTTTCTTTATCCTTGTGTTCCCTCTTGGTAGCAAGGCCTTGGCATATTAATCTATTTATTTCCCATAGCACCCAGCACAGGACTTGGCACATAAAATGTCCTCACGGGGGAAAAAAAAATACATGTGTGTACATATATACATGAATAAACATATATAGGATTCTAGATCCAAAGCTTTCAATGCAGTTTTTTTCTTTACACTTCAAAAGTATGGTTTCAGGTATTGAATCTAATGTTGCAAATGAGAAGTCTGCTATCAGTCTGGTTCTCTCTTCTTTGGAAGTTATATACATTTTCTTTGGGGAAACTAGTAAGATTTCTTTTATCTTTGATTTTCTTCATTGGGCTTAGAGGTAATTTTTTTTTCCATTTATTCAGCACATGTTCAATGAGAGCTTTTGGTCTAAAAAGCCTTGTCTTTATTCCATTTTATAAAACTCTCAGCTATTACATCTTCACTTTCTCTCTATTCTTTCTCTGGAACACTTATTAAATGAATATTAGAATTTCTGAGTTTATCAGTCCTTTTTCTTAACATCACTTTTATACTTACTATTTCTTTTTGCCACATTATCAGAGAACTCCTCAGCTCAGTCTTTCGGTTTACTGATCTCTTTCAGTTGAATCTAATTTTCTAATATTCAACCTATCTATTGAAATTATTATTTCAACAATTATATATTTCCTTTTGAAGATCTTGACTCTCATGGGTATGATTTCTTTTTCTTCTTTCTTTCCTTTCTTTCTTCTTCTTCTTTTTTTTTTTTTTTTAAACAGGCTATCACCCAGGCTGGAGTGCAGTGGTCTGATCATAGCTCACTGCAGCCTCGAACTCCTACGATCAAATGATCCTCCCATCTCAGCCTCCACCACAGGTGCACACCACCATGCCCAGCTAACTTTTTTAAAAAGCTTGTGTAGAGATGGGGGTCTCAATATATTGGCCAGAGTGGTCTCGAACTCTTGGCTTCAAAACATCCTTCCACCTTGGCCTCCCAAAGTGTTGGGATTACAGGGTGAGTCACCATGCCTGGCTGATTTCTTTTTAGTTCTCATCTTAACAATACTTTTCAGGTTGTCCTATTAACTTCATTCCTTTGGATATAGACTCTCTCTGTTCTTAAGTTTGTTGTTCCTCCTTCATGGAATTGGGCTTCCACGGATGCTTGGGTGACTTTTAATTGTGGTAATATATATCCATATTAACTTTTTTTTTTTTTGAGATGGAGTCTTGCTCTGATGCCCAGGCTGGAGTGCAGTGGAGCGATCTTGGCTCACTGCAACCTCCACCTCCTGGGTTCAAGCGAGTCTCCTGCCTCAGCCTCCTTAGTAGCTGGGATTACAGGCATGTGCTACCATGCCCGGCTAATTTTTGTATTTTTAGTAGAGATGGGGTTTCACCATGTTGGCCAGGCTGGTCTCAAACTCCTGACCTCAAGTGATCCACCCACCTCGGCCTCCCAAAGTGCTGGGATTACAGGCATGAGCCACCACGCCCAGTATAAACCATTTTCAAGTGTACAGTTCAATGGCATTAAGTACATTCACCATGTTGTGCAACCATCACCGCCATCCATCTCCAGAGCTTTTTCATCATCCTATACTGAACCTCTGTACCTATTAAACACTAACTCCTCATTTCCCTTCCCTCCAGCCCCTGACATTCACCATTCCATTCACTGTGTCTGTGACTTTGACTATTCTAGGTACCTCATATAAATGGAATCATATATTTGTCCTTCTGTGTCTGGCTTCTTTCATTAAGCATACTATCTTCAAGGTTCATCAGAGTTGTAGCATGAGTCAGAATTTCATTGCTTTCCAAGGTTCAATAGTATTCCATTTATGTATATACCACATTTTCTTTATCCATCATCCATCGATAAGACGCTTCAGTGGTTTCTGCCTTTTGGCTATTGTGAGAAATGCTGTTAGGAACACTGATGTACAAACATCTGTTTGGATCTCTGCCTTCTTTTGGGTGTGTATCCAAGCTTGGGTAATTCTTGGTTGTAAATTAATCTTATGAGACTCCTGTGCATATCTTGGACTGTGTGGGCCTCCACACAGTCTCACGGTAGCATCAGCCTCATGCTATGTGCCCGGCAGCTCTAGCTTAGCTGAAGACCCACTCACATCACAGCCCTTGCCTCCTTATGGTTGCCATAGCTTAGTGTAAAGTTTCCTGTCTGCCTCCCTTTCCAGAGAAAAAGAAAGCAGCTCAGTTTTTGATTCAGAGAGTTCCCTTTCTTGTTTTCAAAATGTTTGTGTATTTATGTTATATAGCATTATAATCAATTCAGTGGCTTAGTTTTGGGATTTTATCATATGCTTAATTTGCCAACTTGAAAACAGCAGCATACAGAATGTGTACCAATGAATAAATGAATACCTGTACGTCATTCACAAATCCAGGAAGATACCCAGGTTTTGGCATTATCTTTTGGAGATTGTGGGAGAAGAATGTTTTTCCAGAAAGCCCTGTTTTTCTTTTTTTGAGACAAGGTCTCACTGTATCACTAAGGCTAGAATGCAGTGGTGCGATCGTAGCTCCTGGGCTCAAGCAATTCTCCCACCTCAGCCTCCCAAGTAGCTGGGACTACAGGTGTGAGCCAAGATGTCTGGCTTTTTGTGTGTGTGGAAATGAAGTCTCACTATGTTGCCCAGGCTGGCAGAAAGCCCTTTCTTCAAACATTAACTACCCAAAGTTTTTGAAGGACTTTCCATTACCTGTAGTGCTGAGGCCAGTGTACTCAGGGGAAGGATTGCTAACAGGGGAAGAGGGAGGTGGCACTTCCACAGATGTGGCAGATTTTGCTGGAGAAAACGATGGCACTGGTGAAGGGGTTGGTGCGGCAGCCTCTGTCAAGATGATCTCTTCTCGGACTTCTGCTGTGGATAGAGATAGGGTAAGTTTTTAAAACCAAATGTAAAGGCAAGTGTCTCTAAAAGACTTTAAAAAGTGAAATATTATTCTAATCTGTGTGATGTCACTCTCTTGTCAAACTCTTCGATGGTTTCCCATCACCATCATGACACTCAAGGCAATTTCTGTATATAAATATGCCCACTTTATTTAATTTGTTTATTTATTTATTTATTTATTTACTTATTTTGAGATGGAGTCTTGCTCTGTCACCCAGGCTGGAGTGCAGTGGCGCACACTCGGCTCACTGCAACCTCTGCCTCCCGGGTTCAAGTGATTCTCGTGCCTCAGCCTCCTGAGCAGCTGGGACTACAGTTGTGCACCACCACACCCAGCTAATTTTTTGTATTTTTAGTAGAGATGGGGTTTTGCCATATTGACTAGGCTGGTCTTGAACTCTGGTCTGAAGTGAGCTGCCCGCCTTGGCCTCCCAAAGTGCTGGGATTGCAGGTGTGAGCCACCAGACCCAGCCCACATGCCCACTTTAAAGAGGAAAAAGACATGATTGGTTTGATACCACTTAACCTGTTCACCATAACTAAATTCTTTGAGATACAGAGTTAAAGAAACATAAAGCACAGAAGTAAGGATACAAATAACATTACCAAGTGGTGCAATTCCCAGGAAAATGCTGGCTTACCAGTGCTTCCTTCTCCCTTCATGGCTCGCATGAGCTCATTGGCCCGCTCCTGACAGTGCAGAGATTCTAACAGGTAGAGCACGTAGTCATCAAACATTAAGTGAATTAGGTGAAAAGACCCTGGTGAAAAAAAGGATCAAACAGAAAGTAAGTCGTGCTGTCTCGTGTATGCCCCCTCTGTCTGGTCAACTGCACAAGTTACACAGTGTTCTAAATGCTCTGCTCAAGAGTCTAATTTTCCACTCAATTATGATCTCCTCATGGTCATAGGTTGCAGTTCTTGGCTGTATCCTCACCTTAGCCTAGTGCTTGGCATAAGGTAAGTGTCATTAACACTTTGTGGCAAGTGAATCTTTTCCTTGCTGAAGTTATATCAGTATGACACCATCAAAAATGGCACCCACCGAGCCATCTCTGAGCTCTTGCTTACCCACTGGCCTCATCCTCATGTGAGCACCGCTCACTCTCTTCGGCATTTATTAACATAGTGTCTCTCATTTTTATCTCTTCCACCAGCATATTATTCCCCCAATTGGACTTTAAGTATGTCCATGGCAGGGACTTTGCCTTGTATTGCTATCTACTAATGTACCTGACATAATTCTAGGAGCCAATTTGAAAATTTAAATCTGCAACAAGTTATTTACTTATTTCCCTAAATGTTTTCAAGACCTCATTTAGCACATGGTTCTTAGAAAAGGTAATTCATTAAAAATAGTTGGTCTTTTCAAGTGGCAGTCTTCATTTTTCAATTTAGAGTAGATTATTTTGTAAAAGGGAATGTGAACAGTCATTTTTAAAGACTTTCCTATATGCCAGTCTCTGTGCTCAAAGTCTTATCTTCTCTAATTTAATAACTACAACCATGTGGCAAGGTGGGTATTTTTATTCTTATTTTGCAGGCCAAGCACTTATGCAAGATGACACGATTAATAGATAATACATTATTTCAAAACCAGCTTTTTTTTGCATGTCATGCTGCTACCATGCACAGTGGAATGGTGCACCTTCGGTAGGGGCTCAGTTAATGTCTACTGTAATCAAGGCCTCATGGACCCAGGGTCAGAGAGAGGGGCCAAGCCTTTATCTCCCATCCCATGTTTCCAGGTCCCAATAGGACATCTCCATGTAGATATCCTGCAGTCCCTTTAAAATGTCCAAAACTTCTCACCTCTCTCCAAGCTGACCAGTATACTGTTTGCTTTTTTCCCATTTCCTTCTAGTTTGCTTTTTTAGAGACTTTTTTTTTTGAGACGGAGTCTCACTACCTTGCCCAGGCTGGAGTGCATTGGCGCTGTCTTGACTCACTGCAGCCTCTGCCTCCCGAGTTCAAGCAATTTTCCTGCCTCAGCCTCCCCAGTAGCTGGGATGATAGGTGCGTGCCACCATGCCTGGCTAAGTTTTGTATTTTTAGTAGAGATGGGTTTCGCCATGTTGGCCAGGTTGGTCTAAAACTCCTGACCTCAGGTGATCCACCTACCTCGGCCTCCCAAGGTGCTGGGATTACAGGCATGAGCCACCACGCCCAGCCTTTTAGAGACTTTACGGGACTCTCTGGCATTATTTTTTTTGTCATTCTGTCTTCATCATGGATCATTACCATCACCATTATTATCATCATCACATCTACTGTTTATTGAGTGTTTACTCTGTACCAAAAACTCTGCTAAGCACTGAACATATGTTTCTTCCTTACAACAAACTGTGAGGTAGATGGTATTATCCTCCCTTACCGATGAGGAAATGAGTCTCTTCATTAGTAATCAAGTAGGGATTTGCCTCAGTTTGGTCTGGCTCCGTAATCTGTTCCCATTCCCCTATAAGTCATTTAGTTCAATATGTTCATAGCACAGATGAGAAAATAAGGCCCAGATGGCATAAGTGACTTGGCCCCTACAGGGGCCACTTGAGCTGGGAGCTAGGTCTCTCCAAGTCTCAGACATAAGGTAGTGGAGGCTAGTTGGGGGCTTGTGGAGCACTCCTTGGTGAAATTTATGTATTTTCTCCTTAACTGCACCTGGCTTCTGTATACACCCACACCCTTCATCTCAGATCAGTTAATTCTTTTGGTCTAGAAAGGCTAGAGAGGAAGATCCCTGGCTTAACTGTAAGGCCACTAGATGCTCAGCAGGTCATGAACATGACCCCCTCTCTCTACAGCCTGCCATAAACTCCTGTCCTTGTTCCCACAGAGCTCAAGGCCAAGGTCCACTGTCCTGCACCTCCTTCACATCCTTCTTCCATCTCCAGTACTATGTCTGTTTTTCAATGCCATTTGGTATTCAGCAAAGTCCAGGTTCTGCTCAATCACTGTGAGATGCAGTCTCTAAAACTAAACTTTCCAACTGTTTCTCTGAAATGGGATCCTGTGAACCACTGAGGAGGTACAGCACTGTGTGGGTAATTACATGCGCTGTTGATCAAACTGCCCAGGTTGAGATCCTAGCTCTGCCACTTAGTAGCTTAGACTTTAGATGAGTTCCTTTACCCTCCCTAATCCTTATAAATACTGAAAACAAAATCTGACATTTATTGACCTCTGCCTCTGTGGCAGCCACTGTGTAAACCACCAGAGATTTATTTTGGCATTTAATCCTCATCACAACCATGTGAGATAAGTGATACTTTCCTTTTACAAAGGAAGAAAGTGAGGCTTAGGGAGGTAAAGTAGCTGTCTAATGTCACACAGTCATTAAGCGGCAGAACCAAGACTTGAACCCTGGACTGTCTGACTCTGAAGTTGCTCCTCAATCGTTATGTGCTACAGCTCTCCAAAAGGACAGTAAAATGTACATTACAGAAGTACTAAAATGAGTAAAAGTGTATATTAGATGCTTAATAATTGGTAGCTATTATTATTATTGCTAAGATCCCTTTTGCTGCTATGTTCTAAGATCTCATGACATGATTGTTTTGTTCATAGAGTCAAACAAGTCAAAAGATAGCATCAAATAAGGAAAGGGTCTCCAAAATGAAGAAATTACTTGCTGGGATGTTGATCTAAAGTCAACATGGATAGAAAGAGAGAAATGTACTATGAAATAATGAATTAGCATGGAAAGCTTGGATGATAAAAATCCAAACCAGTAGTTTTAGGATGAACAAACAACTTAGAAATCATTTTATACCATTCTCTTGTTTTATAAGACAAGGAAACAAAGATCTGATGAGGTGAAGAAACTTGCCTAAGATTACTCTTAGAAAACATCAGAGCTGAACTTGGAAGCCGGTACTTTAGGGAAAGTGCGGATTTGACATGGGCCTTCAAGCTCTCTTCATTAATGCCTCTGATCAGCTACCAGTTTGTCTGTTAATTTTCCATTCTAAATTTTAATCCTTCAAACAACAAGAGTTTGTAGAGCTACTGCTACCTGCTTACCATTGTGCTAAGTGCTCTGAGTACAAAGGAGGCATAAAGCTCAGTCTCAGACTCCACAGAAGCTAAGTGTTCTTACTAAGCAGAAATTAATCATTAAGATTATTGGGCAGTAAACAGTTCATTGCCAGAGTGTCGCAGCGATGAGGATAGTGAATATCGATGAAGACAGGAAAATGAAAAGGAGATACAGAAAGACTGATGAGAGAGACAGAGAGACACCAAAGACAAGAGGAGAGAGGCAGTTACAGCGAACATCCCACTTTATTTATCTCCTTAGCATTTCTCACCATCGAAGTTAAATACTATAACCTGTATTTAACTTAATTGTTATTGCATGCCTCCTCCACTAGATTGTAAGCTCTATCTTGCAGAGATTTTTCTGTCTTGACCAGTGCTTTATACCCAGTGACTACAACATTGCCAGGCACACAATAGAGACTCAATGGATATGTGTTAGATGTATGAATCAAATAGGCAAGCATTGACTACTTCCATATGCACCGCGCTAAGTAAGCTCTTTTAACTTCTCAACAACACTGCAAAGAAGGTATTATCTTCAGTTAATACATGAGGACATGAAGGCTCAGAGGGCTTGAATAACTTGCTTAAAGTCACAGAGCTAGGGAGCAGCAGAGCCTGTTATGGAAAAAGGCATTAGGATTAGAGACAAAAGGAGATTTTATTTTGTTATTGTTATATGGTAATATAGTTGATTGCATTTGGTAGAATCAAAGCATTTCATCTTTCTTATGAAAAATATGCATCATAGAAAAATATAGAGAATTCTAAAATGAACACCAGTGTAATCACCACCAATTTTTTGTTAGAATTATTTCTAGGTACATTTTAGTTTCTTTTGCTATTATGAATTGTGTGAATGTGTATGTTTTAAGTTATATTTTCGAGTTAGTGAAATTAAGAATGCCAATGATTTTATAAAAACTGAATTCAGGGCCGGGCGCGGTGGCTCATGCCTGTAATCCCAGCACTTTGGGAGGCCGAGGCGGGCAGATCATGATGTCAGGAGTTCGAGACAAGGCTGGCCAACATGGTGAAACTCCGTCTCTACTAAAGATACAAAAAATTAGCCAGGTGTGGTGGCGCGCACCTGTAATCCCAGCTACTCGGGAGGCTGAGGCAGGAGAATGGTTTGAACCCAGGAGGCGGAGGTTGCAGTGAGCTGAGGTCGTGCCATTGCACTCCAGCCTGGGCAACAGGGCAAGACTCTGTCTCAAAAAAAAAAACAAACTAAATTCAGTAACTTGACTGAATTCTCATTGGTTCTATTAGTTTGTGGATTCTCTTTTGCCAGCAATCATGACATCTATAAATAAAGACAATTTTGTGTTTTCCTTTCTAATTCTTCTATTTCATTTTCTTTTCTTAAGGCATTGGCTAGGACCTCCAGTACATATTTATTAGATATCATATTAGAAGGCATTCCTGTCTTTTCATGATAGAAATGGGAAATTTTCTAACATTTCGCCATTAAGTGTGATGTTTGCTGCAGACTTGTAGATGCCCTTTAAGATATTAAATTCCCTTCTATTCCTAGTTTGCTAAAAGGTTTTTTAAAAACCATACCTGAGAGCTGAAATGTATCAAATGCTTTTTTTCTCTGTATCTATAATGATGATTTTATGATTCTTCTCTTTTTATTAATATAGTATGTTAATTGGTAATTTTTCCTACTAGGATTTTTGGCATAGTCTAATATTGATTTAAAAAATTTTGCCACTAAATTTGATCTGCTAGTGTTTTATTTAGAATTTTTTTCACCTATGGAAAAAATGTGTGTAGGCTGGGTGTGGTGACTCATGCTTGTAACCCCAGCAATTTGGGAGGCTGAGGTGGGTGGATCACTTGAGGTCAGGAGTTCCTGACCAGCCTGGCCAACATGGTGAAACCCCCTCTCTACTAAAAATACAAAAATTAGCTGGGCGTGGTGGTACACACCTGTAATCCCAGCTACTTGGGAGGCTGAGGCATGAGAATCGCTTCAACCCAGGAGGCGGAGGTTGCAGTGAGCCGACATTGCACCACTGCACTCCAACCTAGATAACAGAGTGAGACTCTGTCTCAAAAAAAAAGTGTGGTTGAGTCATAATTTTCTTTTCCTCTGCTTTTCTTGCCAGATTTTGAAATCGAGATTATGTTAGCTTTGTAAAATGAGTTGTATATTTCTTTATTTTGAATGTAATTTAAAAACTAAAAACTAATTTGTGTATGTGTTTTAAAAAGTTAAAAATAAGTTCTAGGTAAAAATATAACACGAAGTAATGAGAAGAGAATCTTCAAGGAATAAAGTATGCTAAGGTCTTTGTCTTTTTTAGGAATACTAAGTAATTTTTGACTTCATTGGAGAAATTCATAGTTTGGATTTAATAAATGTTTAGCATATATGTTAATAAATTAAGGTATCATTACTAAAAGAATACAATCATTTCCTTATTTTGCGGGGGCAGGTCAAACCATTTTATTGAAGGGAATGAGGTGGGCAAAGCAGCACTGAGGACAATGAGATCAGACATCCTAGGCTGGGCCAGGATGTCCTAAACTTTGCAGTCACTGAAAACAGATTTTCTTCTTCTTTTTTTTTTCCTTTTTTTCTTTTTTTTTTTTTTAGATGGAGTCTTGCTCTGTTGCCCAGGCTGGAGTGCAGTGGCACGATCTCAGCTCACTGCAACCTCTGCCTCCCGGGATCAAGCAATTCTCCTGCCTCAGCCTCCCAAGTAGCTGGGATTACAGTGCGTGCCAACATGCCCGGCTAATTTCTGTATTTTTAGTAGAGACGGGGTTTCACCATGTTGGTCAGGCTGGTCTCGAACTCCTGACCTCGTGATCTGCCTGCCCGCCTCATCCTCCCAAAGTGCTGGGACTACAGGTGTGAGCCACTTCGCCCGGCCTCTTCTTTTCTTTTATTCTTTGAAATATTGATTTTCATGTTTATTTTCATAGACTAAAGATTTTACATTTTTTATAAGTTTAGTTAAACTTGCCTATAAAAACATTTATGCCTAATTTTTTTTGGAGGAAGAGACTTTCTCCTTTATTGTGATTATCATTTGGTCTTTATTTCTACCATGCTATTTTGTGCTTTCATTTACCATCCATTTTCTATGCTTCTTTTATCTTCTCAATTCTTCTTTTCCATTTAACGTTTTGTCTCTTAAGTTTTCATATTTTTCCATTTTCCTCCATAAATCATGATTGTGTTCTTTTAGTAATGATACCTTAATTTATTAACATATATGCTAAACATTTATTAAATCCAAACTGTAAATTTCTCCAACAAAGCCTAAAGTTACCTAGTATTCCTAAAAAAGACAAAGACATTAGCATGCTTTAACTGTTCCTTGAAGATTCTCTTCTCATTACTCCATGTTATAGTTTTACCTAGAACTTATTTTTAACTTTTTAAAACACATATACAAATTAGTTTTTAGTTTTTAAATTACATTCAATAGTTAATTAAATATGTTTACATATTTTTAAATTTCTTTCATCTTAAAACAGGGTCCCTAAATTCTTTGATGTGCCGTCCATTAACAATTGGGGTCTGTGCGCCTCCTTGACTCATGGTAGGCTTGGGACTGCCTTTGACCAATAGAGTATGAGGGAAGTTACACTGTATCTAAGAAGGGATCATAAAAGCAAAGTGACTTCACATTTGGGGCACTTGCACGTGGAACTGTGAGCTGACACATGATCCTGACTTGCAAAATCCATAAACATAATAAAATGGTTGTCTTAAAGCCATTAAGCCTAGGTAATTTATTACACAGCAATGGCAACAATAACTAGAACATTGTTGTTTCTTGTATTCTAGACCTCAGCTATGGCTTTTTTTTTTTTTTTGAGATGGAGTCTCACTCCGTCACCCAGGCTGGAGTTCAGTGGTGCCATCTCGACTCACTGCAACCTCTGCCCCCGTGGGTTCAAGCGATTCTCCTGCCTCAGCCTCCCGAGTAGCTAAGATTATAGGCACCCGCCACCACACCCGGCTAATTTTTGTATTTTTAGTAGAGACGGGGTTTCACCATGTTGTCCAGGCTGGTCTCAAACTCCTGACCTCAGGGAATCCACCTCCCAAAGTGCTAGGATTACAGGTGTGAGCCATCGCGCCCAGCTGAAATGCATCCTTTAATAGTTTTTTGTTGTTGTTTTTTTAAGTGAACATCTGTGGGTGCCAAATTCTGTCTTTGTATAACTGATTATGTCTTTATTTTGCCCTCACTCTTGAATAATAGTTGACAGTTCTTTGTTCTCAACACTTAAAAGATATTACTCCATTGTCTTCTGGCATCTCTTACTGCTCATGACAGTCTAATAATTATTCTTTTCTCTCATAGCTTTAAATTTTTAAATCTTAATCCATGGATATTTTAAAAATATTAATACCATCAATGTGGATTAAATAAATTTTTCTAGCTCTATTGTGGCATGCATCTGAGCCCAGAGTATTTGCCTTAATTGTGATAATCAAAAAGGAATGGGCTTTGCGGTCAGGCAGGTTTGATTTTGAAACAGAATTCTGACATTTGCTGCATTGATCTTGTGCAAGGAAATTCTCCAAGCTCCCTTCTCACCTCTTTAGAAAGTGTCTATTATTACCTACATTGCAGAGTTAATGCAAGAATTCAATGATAGTATGTGCTTCCAAAATATTTCTTATAATAGTCATCATTATCTTGTCTTTGCTTCATTCTTATCTCTAATGTTAAGCAAATCCTTCAAGTACTACCTCAGCTTCCTGGTCTGTCATATTGAGGGCAGTAATTCAGACCTCACGGGGTTGTGTGAGAAGTAATTGAGAAAATGTAATGTCTAAAGTATATTCGGCCCTCAATACATGTTTCTGTGTTGTTATTAATTTTCTTTTACCTAAAGAAAGGTAAATGAGGTGGTGGCAGTGTAGCATGGCAGAAAAAAACTCCAGCTTTAGCATGGGAACAATTGCGGGTTGAATTCAATCTGCCACTTCCCTGAGTCCACACGCAAGTCCTCTCTTCTCTGGGTTTTTACTTCCACTCCTGACTACAGGGAAAGCAATTCCTGTCTCTTAGTGCTTGGTGGGGGCCTGAATGACATTGCGAACATTAAGGTCCTGCAATTTAGCAGATTCTGTCTAAAAGAGAGCTGGGCCAGGCCATCTAAGCATAGAGAAGCAGTTGGGAAGGCTTGGTCATGGCCTCTTGTTCTGGGAGCCGCTCCCTGACACATGCCCACATGGTCTCCCCAGCCCTGCCCAAGTGAGTGAGCTTTGATGCTAGGTCAGACAACAGGTGTGTAAAAAAGTGAAACTGTGGAAGTGTTGTGCAATTGTGCCCCTCAGCTGTCACACCCAGGCTGCTTTATAAACTGATATATGCTGGAGTACTTCCGGGAACTATTATTACCTTCCAGATGTTCATAACAGTGAGATAAGCAGGCATTTGCTGAAAACCCAGAATGAAAAGGTAAAGGCGCTGGCACCAACTTGAGATCTAGGTACTCTAGGAACTGAAATCAGATCAGTCGACTAAAAAGATGGTGTTTTTTAAAAACAAAACTTTGATTTGCTCTGCTTCATTAGGACTAAAAGTTTGCCTGATAGCCTACCTTTGGTAACTAATTTTGCTAGAAACACTGCTTGCAGCAAAGAAAGAAAGTCTGGCTACTTTAGTTCACAGCATAGGTTCTTTCAGTGAAAAAGAATTAAGGAGAAGAGAGTGAAAAGGAATTAAGGAGAAGAAAGGAGTCAACTACCTTTGAAAGAGGCTGTTCTGGGAAGAGGTGATAGAGTCCCCTACAGGATCATTGTGATATTCCACACGATCATTGTAATGGTCAGCCTGCTACGCTGACACACAAACCCTGTACCCATTCACAGCGACAAGGACCATGTGGGAGTTATAAGATATATAGAGCTGGCCCCTGTGGCTGGGGGAGGGGACCAAGGAACAGAGGGCTCTTTTTCCTAATTAGCTGTTTTCATACAGGGAACACATGACCCAAACACAACCACCAACTGGGTCTTTGACATATATAAGCAGAAAGGGGGAGCTGGGCTTTTGTCTGCTGCAAACTCTTTTAACTTGCCTGTCACCCCAAGCTGCAAAATTCAACAATGAGTCAGATGAGCTGGGCCATTTCAGATAGTTTGCTAAATGGACTTGGAGACAGGTATTATTTCAACCCACTCAGGGTTGAGAAATACTGTAAAACTGAGACTGGGTTAATATCTCTTTTTCTCCTTTTCTAAGTGATTTGTGATCATCTTTTTTTGCCATTTGCCTGAGTTTCCAGTATATCTATCCCAAAAGAGTGTGTGGTTCAAAAAGAAACACATTTCAAGGAACCATATTTCTTAGTAATAAATTCAACCCATTCATAAAGCCTAATCATTCTCCTGCTCAAGCTTTCTTTTTTACATTGACTGTTAACTCAGTAAGCACAGATGAATTTCAAAGAATATTGCAAGGGAATTACTTTCCCTGTCTAATGAAAGGCACCTGCTACCATACGTGGTCAGTTTAAGAATAAGCAAATTGAAGAGTAAAGGATAAAGCATGGAGAGGATGCTCGCTGTGTGGATGTGGATATGTGTGTTTGTGTGTGATATTGTTGATTCTCTGACTTGGAAGCAATGAAGAAATCTCAAATATTTTCCAACAGTTCACTTAAGGGAAAACAGTTCTGCATGAATGATTTTTCCAGAGCTAGAGGTAACATGTGCTAACACTAACTGTGCTGAACTGGAAGTCATCAAAATGCCATGCCTGATGGCACTGCCCAGGTAGCAGTCAGCAGAGCATTTCCATATACAGCTCAAAGAGAATTTCCATCTGTAGCCATGGTGCAGGCAGGTTCAGAGAACCTTCCAATGCTGAGATTAAAGAAATCCACAACAAAACACTTCTCCAAGTGGGTAAACACAGTCTTTCATGGACAGGGCTGTTTAGAAAAAATAGTGCCTTCTTTGTTTTCCCACATATTTACTTCGTTGTATAGCACAACTGGAAAATGGTGACAAGACCATAAAAAGCTAGATGGAAAAGTGTCAAATTAAACCCACAGCAAAACCCAGAGCTGATTGGCTTAATTGGAGATAATGAGAAACAAAACCACAACCCTTACTTGCAAAGGGAAATAGAGAACTGAAGCAATTACCCAGAAAATTTACCAATGCCCCTTTGCCGAAAATGCCTAGAAAATTGAAACCAAAATGTTTTGGGATTTCAAATGTCTGGATAATGCCTAAAAGTCCCATCTCAGTTTGCCAATGATGACCTGGACTCAGTACATACTGCTTTCTTTCTGGTGAAAAGTAGAAAACTGTCCTACAATGTATCATAACATTCACCCCGATTCAGTAATCAGGTTGCTGCCCGCAGAGACTGTTATCAGTACCTTTGGGCAGAGATTTCAAGCCCTGTTATACTAGAAAGCAGCAGATGAAGACTTGAGGTGGGGATATCTCCTGGAGGTGATGAAGACTTAAAGGGTCAGTGAAACAAAAGGGAAAGTGAATGCAAATGCCCTCTTTTAGGGATTAGACTAGAGTACATTTTTAAAGAAAACTTAAGGTCATCTGCCCACAGCAAGAGTATGGTCAATCAAGCCATTTGCAAGTGTTCAAACTCAGAGGTTTCTTCATGTGCCCAGTCTTGGGAAGTGCACAAATACGGGATTCTATGAAATTGTGCTTTGGAAGCAGCAATCACTGGGAACATCTAGGCATGGGGAGTACAGCCACTGCAATTTATTCTTCTTTAAGCTCAGATAGTACTATCTGTGGGCAAAACCACTCATTTTCAGATTGATACTCCACCTTTAGCATGTAATGCCATCTCTCTCCCTGAAAGTCCTAACAATGTCATGTCTCCCCAGAAGAGATGTGTTTCAGGGTGATGACCTTGCAGAAACAGCAAGTTAGACTGTGGTAGATTCCTCTGGGCTCCGTGCCCAGAGGAAAAAGTGCTTGGAGATGGGGAGGGCTGGGGTGGCCTTACCGAAGCTGGGGGCGCTGTGCAAGGTCATGTCCCGGATCACCCTTGTGCCGAAACAGGACCACATCAAGAGGAACTGCTGGGCCACTTTCTTCAAGGACCCTTGTCTCTTGGCAGCCACCTACAAGAAAGTAAATGGCTTTAATAGTGGTCGACTTGACCTTTCATTTATTACTGTCTCTTTGAAAAATGAGGCCGGTTGAAGTGGCTCACGCCTGTAATCCCAGCACTTTGGGAGGCCAAGGTGGGCGGATGATCGCATGAGCCTAGGAGTTTGAGACCAGCCTGGGCAACGTGGCAGAAACCCCATCTCTACAAAAAATACAAAAATTAGCTGGGAATGGTGGCACACCCCTGTAGTCCCAGCTACTCAGGAGGCTGAGGTGGGAGGATCACATGAGCCTGGGGAGGTCAAGGCTGCAGTGAGCTGTGATCGCACCACTGCACTCCAGCCTGGGCAACAAAGTGAGACCCTGTCTCAAAAATAAATAAATAAATACAGAAAAATGACAGGAAGGCTTATGGTCTTCAAAGTCAATGCTATGGAGCAATGGTTTTTGTTTTGTTTGTAGCAGCAAAAAAACTTTAAAAAATGAAATCTTATACCAAGACTCAGTGTATAGAGCAGATAAAAGAGATGCTGACCTGGTTGAATCAGGGATGGAAGACTCAAGAGTCCTGCCTCCTGACCCCTCCACCTCCTGGGGCCTCTCCTCAAAACCCTGTTCAGATAGCTTACCATAGGGCTTTGTCTTGGCCAAGTTCACAGAGGGCAGTGGTGGGCTGCAGGGCCCAAGGCTGCCCGCTAGGTGCCGGTTTACCAACCTTCACAACACAGCGGTCAACCATGGTATCCAGCCACTCAATGTAGGACTCGATGGGAGACTGCTCCTCCAAGAGATGGTCAAACTCCTGATATACTGTCAAACAAAGGAGAACCCCACACGCATCACTGCAGTTGTATTTAACAAGAGCTACGTCTTAAAAGAACAGAGGAACAAAACTTTGAATAAAGTAAAACTTTAAATAAATAAAACTCCAAGGTCTTAGCAGAGCATTCAAGACTTTATAAAACATGCCCCAACTTACCTTTCCAAGATCATCTTCCATGCCTGTGAACATGTTAAACTGTGGCTATCCCATATTACTTGCCATTCCGCCAGCAAGCCCTGCTTTTTTCATAGCCTTAGTCTTTTTTTTTCAGGCTTTTCCCACTACTTGGTTCCTCATGTCCCAGCTGAAATGGCCCTGGTATGAAATCCCTTTAACCTTCCATGCCCCTTGCCCGCAGAACTGATCACCCCTCCTCTGCACTCACATAGCACTTTATTATCGGTTTTCTACCTTTATTATATGACTAATGGCACTGTGGCATAGTTGGGTGGGCATGTGTGTCTCCCTGCTAGTTCTTTGTCTGATATCTTCATTAGCTGGTGCATTATCTGTGACATAGTTGTTACCCAACAAATTCTTGCTTGAATTAATGGGTGAGGCATTGCTGCTCTCTTGCTCTCTGCCCAGGGTAGGGCACATGTGATAATTCAAATGTTTCTGGACCACAACTGTATCAGGCAAGCAGCCTCTCTGTGTGGCATGTAGTAGGTGCTTAATAGATACTTGTTGAGTAAGTGAACCAGTCTCTCTGCCCCTCAGTTTCCTCATTAGAGAGATAATCCTACCACTTTACAACCTGTCTTCACTTTAAGTCAGATAACTGAATCTGGAAGTGCTTTTTTTTGTTTTTTGTTTTTTGTTTTTGAGATGGAGTCTCGCCTTGTTGCCCAGGCTGGAGTGCAGTGGCGCAATCTCGGCTCACTGCAAGCTCCACCTCCCAGGTTCACGCTATTCTCCTGCCTCAGCCTCCCGAGTAGCTGGGACTACAGGTGCCCGCCACCACACCCGGCTAATTTTTTTTTTTTTTTTTTGTATCTTTAGTACAGACGGGGTTTCACTGTGTTAGCCAGGATGGTCTCAATCTCCTGACCTCGTGATCCGCCCGCCTTGGCCTCCCAAAGTGCTGGGATTACAGGCGTGCACCACCACGCCCGGCTGGAAGTGCTTTTTAATCAATGAAGTGCTCTAGAAAATAGAAACATGGCTCTGGTGATCTCTAGTTTGAAACATCTCTTTTCATCACATTTTTGTGTTTCTGTATGCAGAGATCAATAAATCAAACCACAATTCAAGATCCATACGTTTCTTTCATTTTCATTTGAGCAGTTTTTGTTCTCTCATTTTAAAGGACTGGACACTTTGCTCTATTTTACTTAGTTGACGCTTGCTACAAGAAGTAAGATTCTGAGACCAGAGGGTCATAACACTAGAATGCTCAAATGTTTGTTGACTGAATGGATGAACAACCCATGGAGGTTGGTACGATTATTATCCTCCATTTTACAAGTGAAGAAAGAGACAAACAAAGATGAGTAACTTTCCAAAGGTTGTTCTTTCACAGCTAGTGAATTGCGGAGACAAGATTCAAACACATCCTGACTCAAGTGCTTGCCTCCTAACCACTTCACTATGCTAACACTAGACTGTGTACCAAGCATGTGGCACAGATAGTCTCATTTAATCCCTTCACCTTAGTCCCATTTTACAGAAATGGAAACCAAGGTCACAGTGTACTGGAGCCAAGGTTTGAATCAAGGTCTTTTGGGCATCCAGCCCCATGCTGTGTAAGAGCTGTGTAAGAGCAAGGTTTGAACCAAGGTCTGTTGGGCATCCCAGCCCCAGGGATCCCAGCCAACAGAACTT
Source organism: Homo sapiens (assembly GCF_000001405.40). NCBI lineage: Eukaryota > Metazoa > Chordata > Mammalia > Primates > Hominidae > Homo > Homo sapiens. Next base: position 106,718,122 of record NC_000012.12, on the reverse strand, counting down.
GGACATGGGTCTGGGATGCCCAGCAGACCTTGGGCAGTTACAATTATAACTCATTCTAATCAGCTTGCTTAAGTACTAATGTGCACTTTTAAAATCTAAGGTAAGCTGAGCATTGCCGGCTGAGATCTATATCACAGAGGTGATGGTAACCCCCTAAGCAAGAGTTTGCAGATTTGTCAGCTGGCTGTGAGGAAAGAAGAGCACTGCACACAGTTGTCCCAGCCCTGCTCAAGCTGACCTTTGGTCCAACTCCCTGTGTGTCAGGGACTTCCCAGCTGTCTGGTTAGGAGGTACAGGGTTGACGCACATGTGCTGGACTGCCTTGAGGCTTGGTACCCTCTCTCAATTCCCCCTTCACAGCACTGTATTACATGACATTGTTCTCTTTGGTAAGATGCAACACATCTGTAAATACATGTTTGAGGTCTTATTTACCATTAACTGTAAGCTCCATGTTGGGAAGGGATGTGTCCATTTTATTCACTGCCCTTTGGCCAGCATCTAATACAGTACCTGACTTAGGACAGGCATTCAGTAAGGACTAGCTGGGTTGAACTGAACCACAGCATTTACTTCCCCAGAAGAAGAATGCAATCACAGCTTTAAAGGGCACCATTCTGCCCTGGACCTAAAGGAACTTGAAGAGAAAGCCACAGAAGGTTCTTTCTTGAGAGAGGCAGCAGTGACCTCCATGGTGCTCCAGCAAAGGCTCAGAGCCTGGTCCTTTAAGCAAGCAATACTGATTGTATTTTTCCTTATGAGTCTGGTTCACATTTTCGTCCCTCATGAAAGGAGCTGAGGCGGGAAGAGAACTGAGTCTAACACTGCTAGGAAGATTTGCAGAGCTAAGAACTAGGTTAACTCTGGGTTTCCACTCATCTCTTTGGTATTCCATGAATCTTGCTGGACACCTGCTCTGTGCCTGGCCCATTGGGAGTTCCTAGGGGCACAGTGATCAAAGGTACCCCCAGTGCTATTAGGGTGTGCAGGGCCATGCTTTCTGTTGACTTTCCATCAGGGGACAGGAAAAAGCAGAAGAGGAAGGATGATTGTAAGCACTTGGAAAGATCCTGGAACCTCTAAAACTCACCCATATTTCCTTTTTTTTTTTTTTTTTTTTTTGTCTCCTGTGCACATGAATACAATATGAGCAGCACTAAGGCCTGGTGATGAAGCTGGGACTAGACGTGAGACCAGACTTGGGTTCAGCTCTATTGCTTAGTGGCTGCATGACCTTGAGTTAGGTTCACCAACTCTCTAAGCCTGAGTTTTCTCATCTGTAAAGTGGGGGTGATAAGAGTGTCTTCCTCATGGGGTTGATGTGGAGATTAAATGGGACCGTGCATGTATTGGATTTGACACAGGAGCTGGCTTAGAATAGGCAGTCAATAAGCTGAATTATTATTTTAGTGATGATCTCTAAAATTCTTACCAGGGGAAAAGTGGGCTTGGGGCAGCTGTGAAGGAAGAAGTAACAGCCTGAGTGAGGTTTGGGCTAAGCCAGGAAAGAAGCCCTGGGGAAGGTCCACATGTTCAAACATTTCGGCTGTTACATTTGCTTTTGAAAAGGGCTTAATGGGAAAGAGATCTCTAATAGGACCCTCTTAGGGAACTTTGTTTAAAGGCACCTCAAGTTTAGACTGGGTAGCTGAATAGAATTCCCTCAAGACAGCAGTGCAGAAGGCATATACTAAGAAATCTGAAGGGCCTTGGGGCTTTCAGAAAGACCCCTCTTCTTGGTGGGACAGCCTCTCTGCAGCTCCCCAAGCAGTGTCACTATTGGGATCCTGGGCCTCACCCCATTGAGAACATGGGAATGCATGCTCTCAACACCTTTCCTGACCTGATGTTCTCTAATTATGGAGGTAGCCTGTAGACGCCTATGGATCCAGGGTTATTGGGCTGGGGGGATGCCCTGGGCAGTCAGCTGGGATGGGCATCTGAGGAATAGCAGGGATGTGCTAACAATGATGTTGTTCTCTGGCCTTCTCATATTGCTTTAGTACCAAGATCAAACATCCTGCCTACATGGGGTTGATATTTGGAGCAGTATACCTGCAGTCTGCATGTTGGAAGCCCTTGTTCACCGGGACATGAACATATATTCACAGAAGTAAAATACCATCCACCTGCTTCTCAGACATTTAACGTGATTGAAAGGTTCACCTACCAATAGGTGGGCTGAGTCGTGACCCTCAAATGAAAAATAGGCAGCATATCCAGCTGACCCCAGGCTGACATACACTGAGAGAGGCAATAAGCTTTTGTTCTCATATTTAATGCCACCTCCATGGAACCGGGGCTGGCATTCAGGTCACATGTGGGGCCCTTTGCATGACACTGTATGCTGCCCAATTGCACCAGAACACTCTTTACCCAGCAGTGTTGACACATGTCCTCTCAAGTCAATCAGCCCTTCCTTCTGGACTGACTCATTTAAAAGGAACAATAAGGAACAATAAGGAGGAAGAGATGCTGGGAAGAACAGGGTGGGGATGCCACTTCGGTATTTACTAAGACACTTTTTCTTTCTTTTAAAAATAAAAACAGGACAACAATCCCTGGTGGGACAGCTTACATTGGGTGATGAGTTTCCGGTGCTCATCGCGAGAGTCTTCCATGGTGTAAAGGGTTTGCTTGGTGATGCTGTTCAGGTCCACGTTCCTCCAGTCTTCCAGCATTTGGAACGTGATGTCTGCACTGTGGATCACTGTTCGAGATGCCTATAATCCAATCCAATCAACTCGTTAGCTCATGGGTTGTTAAAACCCTTTCACTGTATTTCCTTTTATGCCTTGTTAATGCATCTGCTTATGGTATTTTGCAAACTACCCTGAAATTCCGGGAAATTCAATTTCAGGAAAGCACCAGAAGACTCTGTAACTCAGAAGACGCAGACACTGTTTTCTCCTATGGTTCTTTCCACACATCTCTTTTTCTCTACAAGAAACTGCGAGGGTGGGCTAGGCCAGACCAAACCCTGCTGTTTCCAGTCCCTTTGGTCTTGACCCCATGGAACAATGGGATGAAGCCCAGAGATCTGTCAGCTTTCTGATGTAAGCCTGTGGGATGGGAGCTCTGTGCTGAATTATCCTTGTGTCTCCAGTACCTGAGAAGCTGCAGGCTGGGATTTAGAAGTGTTCTTGCTACCCCTGGGCCTAACTTAATCCCAGAAATTTCAAAGTGTGTATTTTTCATATAAATACATTCTGAAGCAGTTTATGCTCTAGTTTTCTGTTTTTGCTTTTTTAAAATGTTGCTATAATGATTAAAACATACATGAATAATTAGGTTGGAGGAAAAGGGAAACTATACCATACATCTCAGTAGTTTGTTAGTGGATGGAGGGATGTGTATAGTGTGTGAATAATTATATATATGTATTTTTTTTTCTTTAAAGCTGTGGCTTTTTCATGGAACCCTTATTAGTGAACTTAAATTTGCAAGTTGGAACAATACTTGGAACAATATCATCAAGTTGAAACAATACTGAGAAAAGCTAAGAAAAATATGTATCTAGGATCATTTCCTTTATTTGCATGTTTTCAAAATGTCTTTTAATAAAATAAAAAAAATTAAAATACACGAAGACATTGTCAAGTCTCCTAATGCATGTAAATTTCTAGGCAAAGGTAAATACTGACAAACCCTTGTTGTACCCAGACCATCCAATTACAAGTAAAATCTTAGTTAAATAATTGTAGAACTCTTTAAAGGTCACAAAGGTGTAGAATATATGAGTTAGGTGAATCTCTAATGATAATGAAAACAACTGAATGGAAAGGTCAGGTGTCCTGGATTCAAACATAACCTAGTTCAAATCCTGGCCTCGTTGCTGAGCAGCTGACTTGGGGCAGGCAAGTAGATTAACCTCAGCCTCCTAATCTATAAAATGGAGATATGATAGTACCTACCTTTTTTTTTTCTTTCCTGAGCATGTTCCTTCAGAGATGCGTTGTGAGCTACTTTATTACAATGAAATGAACTGTTTACCAAAGAGTGAATTCTGTAAGCAAGTGTTTAGAACATGCTTTTTTTTTTTTTTTTTTTTTTTGAGATGGAGTTTCACTCTTGTTGCCCAGGCTAGAATGCAGTGGCGATCTTGGCTCACTGTAACCTCTGCCTCCCGGGTTCAAGTGATTCTCCTGCCTCAGCCTCCCTAGTAGCTGGGACTATAGGTGCATGCTGCCACACCCAGCTAATTTTTTTGTATTTTTAGTAGAGACAGGGTTTCGACATATTGGCCAGGCTGGTCTTGAACTCCTGATCTCAAGTGATCTGCCCACCTAGGTCTCCCAAAGTGCTGGGATTGCTGGCCTGAGCCACCGCACCCTGCCTAGAACATGCTTTTTAATAGTGTCTCTAACCATCATGTTTAGGGCCTTAGTGCTTACCTCTTAAAGAAGGGCTGCTGTTGAGGATTCCTTGAGATAGTGTTTGAAAAACAGAGTGCATAGTGCAGGGAACTCAATAAAAGTGGCTACTGTTATCCGATCGCTTCTCTTTCAGTGATTGTGTTGATACCTCAAGGCCTTTGCACATGGTGTTCTTGCTGGCCGGAACATTCTTCTCCCTCCTTGCCCCAGCAGCCCCACTACAATGTACGCTCCAGCTTAAATGTCACACCCATGGAAAGGCCATCTCTGACCACTTTATCTACATAGGACCTGAATGCCTTGTGATTTTCTATTTCCATTCTGTTTCTTTCATAACATTTAACACTTTTAATTTTTTTTCCTGCTGAGGGCAAGTACCACTAAGCACAGTATTGGGCACACAGTAGGCACCCAAAAGATTCTGTGAAGTGAATGGCTGAGATAGGAATGCCAAGTGCTTACTTACCTGGTGTATCTGAAAGAGCCTGGACGTGAATCTTAGGTCTAAGTATTTGAGGTGAGTCTTCAGTTGGACGTTGTTTAGTCTGACTTGCTGTGTATGTGTGTTTGGGAAAGCTCACTGGGATACTAGCTGGTGTTTCATTCCCAGCCTTAACCCTAGTCCTCTGTCTGATCTGGGAATGCGTCTGAAAGCTTTCCGGTAGAGATGGAAATGGGGCATTTGCTGATTAAATTACATACTGTTTTTGTGCGGAAGGTGGAGAGGGAACGTGTGTGTGCGCCCCTACGCTTGTGCAACACGTGGCTATAGGCATGGGTGTGGACGCTTTTATCTACATGTGCATTAAAGGAACAAAGTCCTCTCTAAATTGTCTGATCCCCAGAGGGAGGCACCAAAACCATGTCTAGTTCCCTGATATGACCCAAGAGCCACTCTTCCAAGCTGGAAAAAAGAACCAGATGCTGGCATGCATCCTCAGAAATAAGGCAGTGTTTCTTTGTTAGGCCAATATTCACCTTCTTTCCTGAATCCCATTAATCTGTCAGGCTCTGCACCATCACCAGAACAATGCCCAGGTGTAGCCTCTGTAGCAGCCTGCATGAATCTGGATGAGTTTCCCTCTGGTCTCCAAATCATCCCCTGTGCTGTCCATGCCAGGGGCAGGACAGGAGCAGTGAGGTATATGTGGGTGTTGTGTTATACTTTCTGGTTCCTGGTCTGGGACCCTCCTTCAGGCCACTCTAACTAGAAACCCCTCCCTACCACCTTGACCTTGAACCCACCCAGAACCAACAGCACCTTAAAGGAGAGGCTGCAAACAGAAACACAGGAAGGGGGCAGGCAGGTGACATTCAGGAGTGAGGTGGGCCAAGTGTGAGAGAGTTGGTGGAATGAGGACGGTGGCTGCTGTGGAGAAGCTTGGCCCAGCAGCTGACAGCTGCCCTGGGGAAATGGGACTCTGGGAGCAAGTTGTCAGCCCTTGAAGGTTTTCTACAGAAAAATGTGGGTGTTTAGCTGTCATCTCCCAGTTCCAACTGTTAGTGACCATGTGAAAAAAATTGTTTTGAACATATTCAAACCAAACAACAATAACCCCACATATCTGAGGGCCAGATTTGGCCTGTGGCCACCGGTTTGCCACCTCTGCTTTAAGGTCATTAATATTTTAATGTAATGTTAATCGGTTGCCTTAACAGACTTAGAGTCCCTTCATTAAAGTGCAAAATTAATAGAAATGTAGTTATATGCCATCAAGCTATAACTACAGAGTTGATAGGGGCATGGAGTGGGATCTTCCACTTTTACTTACTACACTTATATTTTTAAATGTTTTTGAAAGCAAGCATATGTCACTTTTGTGCTAAAAATAATGCAGATCTGGAAAAAAACTAAACAAAATTAGGCAAATATTGAATATATTATGTGGCTTTGAACTCAGATGATACAACAAACAAATCATCCTCTTAATCTGTTTGAATCATTTGATTCAACCACTACATACATTTTGGGCTGGATAATTAAGAGAAACACAGAACTGTGGACTTAGAACATATCTGAAAGGTTAAGGGGCAACTGATACCAGAAATTATTTTGTATATTAGTTGAAACTAGTTATTGGCTAATGTTTTCATTCCTTATCTGTAGAAATTAAAAAATAATAGAGAGAGTGCCCTGTTAACCTGAAAGATCCTGCAGGAGGTTGTTTTTGTGGATTTGCCCCCTCATTTGCAATGACTCAGCAGTGATTAAAACACATAATGGAGGACAGCTACCTGGCAGAGATGATTTAGTGATGTTTGCCGTCTCAGAATTTGGGAGAACCTTCTCGACACTGCAAGGAGAAAAGAATTAGTTTGAAATATTTGCATGCTTTATGATTCTAACTTGGATTTTCCAGGGGCACATTTCAAAAAGTAGCCTGCTTATTTTGCCTACGTTTATCTCACTGCCCAATCCCATTTTATGTACCCACTGGCAAAACCCTGCACTTGATTCTTTGTTCTCCCATGTGGGCTTCAACAACTACTTCCTAATGGTGACATTTGGGGTACATATTTCAAAGTCATGCACACGATACACTCGCAGGTGTGAGAAATGGTGGCGTCAATCAACCGTGAGTAAAAGCAATTATTTACTTGTCTTTCATTTCGCTAATTGCAAGCTCAATCACTTCTCCCCGTAAATAATTGCAGGAATCAAGTGGAAGCTTTGAAGAAGTCCCTTTAAAAAGTAGTATGTCTAATAGTAAACCTTGATTGAGCCTCAGCGGTGTGTGGGGCTAGGAGGTGCTTCTGGGATGGAACCCTGGCTTTGCATTCATAATCTGTCCTTTTTATCAAGTGATCTCCATGACCTGTTTGCATGTTTTGATGATGACTGCAGCTAGGAAAAGGTCTTGTTTCCTACACTGACATAATAGGCTGATAATTTGAAGTAGGGTGATCTTATATCTGTGGATTTCAACGCAGACAAGACATGTGCCTGCCCTAGCTCTTCATTCTTACAGAGTGGTTGCAGTGGGACTTGTTTCCACCCCTTGCACATTCTCAAAATACACTCCCAGGCTGGGCTCCCTGGGAAGAACAGCTTCCTCCAGACACACACAGGTGGAAGGTCCAACAAACCTCCTTGCCGCCGACTTTGAACAGGTTTGTTTTGTCGGCATAATTAAAATGGGTGCGGGGGCATTCTTCTTGGTAATTTCTGAACTGGTCAAGTAATAGTCAGAAATTTCCCTAGGATTATTCTAATTTGTACTCAGAGCTGGCTTGATTTGAAAAATAAGGTGTGGAGTGGAGGAATGGGGGTGGGAGGGGGCAGATGGACTTCTAATTTTCCAGGCTGATCAATCGTTAATCCTTCTCCTTAATTACTTTTTCTTTAACTTTGTGATGTGGAATTTAGTGCTCATGAAAAGAAAAGAGCTGAGAGCCATGAAATAAAGCAGGCTTTATCAATAGGTGATGGCCACTGCAGGCAGCCTCAAAGCGCGTCTGAAAGGGCTCCCTTTGCCTGTGGAGAGAGGGTAATTTGATCGCCTTCATTTTGTTCACTGGCACTTATTTTGGGCAGGAATAGCAAGCCGTTGTATTCAAATGGGGCTTTAAAAAATGTATATTTTAAAACTTTGTTTTGCTGAAAATCATTTCATCTTTGTTTAATAGCAGCAAACGAACGGTACATGAGTCTCCCTGCAAGTACAGGCAGATTGAAACAGAAAATTAGAAAACTAATGCTGGGGAATGGGTGCCAACACTCAGCAAAGAAAAGGTTCACAGTCTCAATCCCTTTATGAGAAATATTAATTTGGCTTTCTAATTAGGCAGAGAATGCATGAAGCCCTTAAGCTATTCTCTCTCTCCTGCTACCACCATTTTATGGGCAGGAACTTCAAGGAAATCTGAGACCTGAGTTTGATTCCTGGCCCCTACTTACAGCTGTGTGGCTGCGTGGCTTTGGGGGAACTCTCTTTGCCTCTTAGAGCCTCATCTGTAGAACAGGGATACTACTTTCTACATCGCAGAGGCAGCATGAGGATTAAATGAGATAAGGAGGATGGTGGTGGTGGTGAGCAGAAACTTTGGTGTCAGACAGACCTGGGAGAAAATCCTGTCTCTGCTACTTACTACCTCTCTAAGTTGATTCCTCTTCTGTAAAGGAAGAAATGTGCCACCTATAATAAACATTTTATGAGGATTAAATATATTTACATATGTAAAGTAATTAGTATAATACCTGGTGCTTTATAGTCAACCAGTAAACAGTAGCTGCTGCTACTATTAACAACTTATGTAAAATATTTGGCACTAAAATGTAATTCTCTCTTCCATCCCGCTCTCAACTCAGTACTTACATTCGAACTTGATGTTTCGCAAGTTTTCTGGGAGGTCGTGGAGAGCCACTTTTAGCCACTCATCCAGTTGCTTGGCAAACTTTCGAATCACCTGAGTTAAGCTAGAAAAAGAAACGATGAGTTTTAAGTGCTGCACATGTTGCTTAGCTCCTCCCACAGGCCCCTAGAGGGTTTTATTTCCCCTAATCATGTTTTGGCTGCTACCAATAGGTGCCATTTGTAATAGCAACCTCAGAGACAGTGCCAACAGTCCAAGCCCTGTGGAGAGCCGGTGGGTCTGGGAAGGGCACGAATAGAATGTACTCTGCTGGTCACTGATGGCCACTGCAAGGCTTGGTGGCATCCAGAACTATTTAGATGCAAGGAAAACATGCTCCTTCATGCTTTTGAAGAGCTTGTGTGAGGGGTGAAGACAGTGGGCCGTGGGCCTTAGAAAGCCCAGTCCTGTCTGATCCTCCCAGGCAGGCAGGAACCCTGTTTGCAACATAACTGCCATGCCTGCCCACCCAGCTTACCAAACTGCTCGCCATTTGGTGGGAACTGGGAAGCAACAGCATATTTTTAAATTAGCAAACAACCCTGATATGGGCCTTGAAACCATATTAGATTCCAAGAGTCAAAGACCATATTAGAACAGGAGGCAGGAAGGAACTGGAGAGGCGAAGCACTGAGCAGGGCAGTAGGTTGCAATAAGATGGGAATTTGAAGTTGAGAAGACACCGGGCACCATTTTCTGGCCCTTGCTATCAAAGCCATCTGCTCACAGGCCTAGGTTCGTTCTCCTCCACGAAGTCCTCCTTGGTTGTGCCAGACACAGGGACATCTCCCCATTGACCATCCATCCTTGCCTTCCACCAACACCACCTAGCCTGCCCTGGTTCAGCCTTTCACCCACTGTCTCCTGTCAGACACAAAATCACCAACCTCCACCCCACTGGGCAACCCCATTTCTCTCTGGTCACTGACTCTTTCCTTTCTCATGGCTATCTCCAACCTTCTTCAAGACCCTTACGCCTCCAATTCCCCAACTCTCTCCTCCCTGCCAGCGGGTGGAATCACCTCCTACTTCTCAGGGAAAAAAAAAAAACATACACACACACACACAAAGGAAGGACGTCATCAGCACTCAGCTACCTGTCTGGTTCATCTCTTCCTCCTTCCTGATAGAATCCATGAGCGATCCTTCCTCTTGCCATCCCCTGCTGCTTTCTCAGGAAATCTACATTACCGACGGTCCCTTCTCCTGTATATTCAGCTTTTTCTTCTCTACTACATCATTCTGCTCATCAGTTTTTTTAGGAGACAGTCTTGCTCTGTTGCCCAGGCTAGAGTGCAGTGGCACAATCTCAGCTCACTGCAACCTCCGGCTCCCAGGTTCAAATGACTCTCGTGCCTCAGCCTCCTGAGTAGCTGGGATTACAGACACACACCACCACGCTCAGCTAATTTTTTGTCTTTTTAGTAGAGATGGGCTTTCGCCATGTTGGCCAGGCTGGTCTCGAACTCCTGACCTCAAGTGATCCACCCGCCTTGGCCTCCCAAAGCGCTGGGATTACAGGCGTGAGCCACTATGCCCAGTCCTGCTCATTATTTTAATGCATTTAAGAATGTCTCACCTTAAAAACAACAACAACAACAACAACAAACCTCTTATTTCCTCCACTCTATCTCCTTGAGCCACTGCCCTTTCTCCCACATCACAGACAGACTTCTTCAAAGTGCTGCCCAATTCTTTGTCTCATTTCCTTCACCTCCCATTCCCTCCTCACCCCGCTCCTGACCTCAGCCTAAGCAGCCCCCATGCATGATTCTAAACCCAGTGGACTTGTCATGTTTCTCATCTGCTTGACATCTTGGCAGCATTCGATTCTGTCACCTGCGCCCTCCTTTTGGAAACACTCACTTCTCTTGGCTTCTGTGATCCCTCCTTCTGCTGCTCCTCCCCAGTCACAAAACTCCTGCCCTCTGCCTGGTCATCACGCCTCTCAGTTCTTCATGTCTAGTCCTGGGCTCTCTTCTCACAAAGCTTTCTTCCTTCCCCGGGTAGTTTATCCAGGCCCACAGATTCACTGAATCTGCGAAATTCCCATCTGTGCAGATTCACTGTCTGCACTTAACTTTTGCACCTCCGGCCCAGAGGTCTCCAAGTTGAACTTGTGATTTCCCCCTTGGACCTGCTTCTTTTCTTGTGTCCTCTATTTCAGTATGAACTCTATTTTTCATCATTTTATTTTTATTGATCACTTTTTTATTTTCAAGAATTTCAAACATACCCCAAGACAGGTAGTATAATAAACCTCCAAGCACCCATGACCCAGCTTCAAAAATTGGCATCATTTTTGCCAGTTTAATATATTATATTCCACTTTATCTTTTCTGAAGTGTTTCAAACAAATCCAAGATGTCATTTAACCCCTAAAAACTTAGTGTGCATTTCTCACTGGCAAGGTTTAAATACATATGTGTACATGTATACACACACGCACACAATATGCATGCAACATTTAAATCCTCCATGCCATTAGTTTATCTAACTGAATGAATAGTAATTCCTTAATATCATCTACAGCCCAGTCTGCATTCAGACTTTTCTATTTCTCCCAAAGATGTTTAGTTTGTTTGAATCAGGATCCAAACAAGGTCCACACATTGCATGAAAGATATAACATTGTCCTGTTCTATTTCTTAAATATTTTTTTCCCCTATTTTGTGCCATTTATTTATTGGCAACATCATGGTATTTGTTCCCTGGAATGTCCTACACTCTGATTTGGTTGAGTTCTGTCTTGTAGTGTCATGTAATCTATTCATCTATCCTGTCTGCTTCTAAAGACTTGATTAATTCAGTTACAATTTCTTTAGGCAAGTATCCAGTTTTGCATACGCTATTTTGGACACAGTCTCTCTTTCCCTTTACCACATATTACAGATTTTGCTTCCAAATTACTTCCCAAGCACAGCCACTTCTCTCCCTTTTCTCCCTAGTTCAGGCTGCCGTCATCTCTCATCCGGACTTACAGTAGCTTCCTGAGTCCATCCTGCCCTGCTCACCCTCCCACCTCCACTCCATCTTCCACATTGTCAGAGGGACATTTCCAAAACACCTGTAATTCCGATTAAAACTCCTCAATGTTTTCACATTATTCTTAGGATAAAAACCCCAATTCTTGCTGCAGCCCCCAAGGCCCCACCTTGCACCTTCTCCCTTTCTCTGCATTCCGGACCTCTGGCCTCCAACTCCAACTGGTCCTCTCCCCTCAGGGCCTTCGCCCCTGGCATCCTTTCAGTCAAGAACATCTCTTCCCTCTTCACCTGCTTAGCTCCATGTTATTTAGCTAATCTCAGACTAGATATTATTTCTATAGGCAAACCTTCCCCGAAGCCCCCAGACCAGGTCAGCACCCCTGATGATTCCTCTTGAAAGACCATGTAGTTGTGACAGTTTGTTGTTACGTCAACTTGTGTGATTATCTGATCATTGTGCATCTTTCTCACTGTACCCTTCATGCAGAGGGCAGGGACTATGTCTGTTTTGCTTATCACTGTATCCTCAGTACCTAGCATAGTGCCAGACACATAGTAGGCACATAAGAAATGCTTGTTAAGTGAAGTGTAAGAATGAATGGCTCTCCATCCCCAGATGGACAACGGGTCTTGTCCAAACTGTCCCCCTCCCTACCCTCCTTATCTCTGGCTGCAGCTCCTCCCACTGTCCCCTCAGCTTACTCCATCCCTGCAGCACTAGCCTCCATTCAGTTTCTCCAACACTTCAGGCCCTTGCTTACCTCACCAGGACCTTTGCACTTGCCATCCCTTCTGCCTGGAAGCTCTTGCCCCAGATAGCAGCTCACCTCCTGATCACCTGCTCTAAGAGATGCCTCCCTAAGCCCCAACTGACTCCATCTCCTGCAGCATCTATGCCTTCTTGACATACTGTCCTCTGTGGGTGTATACCTGCAGCTCGACCTCCTTCCTCCGCTTTCCCTCCACCTCTTTCCTTCCCTAGGCTGGGATGCCAGGGTCTGTCCTCCACTTCTAGGGACACACTTTTCCTCCCTCTTGTGCGGCTGGCTGCCAAGTCTACAGCTCCAGCTTCAGCCCTTCTCCTACATCTTAACTCCACACTCGTAGCTCCCTGAATGCCCATCAGCAGTGATGCTGTTACAACTGCAACAACGGTGATAACAGCAGTTACCTTTTAATGAGTGCAATGTGCCAAGCTACTGAACACTTCACATGTACTTTCTTAATTAATCCTCACCTCAGCCCTAGAAGTACATACTGTTGTTAGTCCCAACAGAGAGGTGAGAAATCGAGGCTCACAAAAGTTATTTTACTTGTCCAAAGAGATGCAGCAAGTGGCAGAGCCAGGAGTAAAGCCCAGGTCTATCTGACTTACAACCGCTGTCCTACTCCACTTTGATGAAAGTACCACATTGTGCACTTTGACATGCCTTGCTGCTCCCCATCTCCAGTGCCCTCTGCCTTTCTGTCTGATGTTGCTATTCCTTTGGCATTTCAGGCTTGGTCCTCAGTCTTTTCTTTGCCTCTTTGACTTCTCCTCCCTGCCCATACGACACACACACGCGCACACACACACATGCACACACACACATGCATACACACACACTTTCTTACTATAGCTAACCCAATTGTTATTAACAACCACTGTGCTGAGATTACTTGGAAGAAGTGAAAAACCCCAGTTTGAGAATGATTTCCCTTTCTTATAAATGGGAGTGTATGATCCATGGTTATCTCTATCATAGTGTCTTTTTATTCCCCTGAATTTCAACATGCTCTTCTGAGTTGGAAAGGAAGGGATGGGTCTGAGCTAGGGGGTGGGGAGATGTGCCTCAGCCTGGGCCTGCCCAGGGTCATGAGTGAGAACTTCTAGTACCAATTCTCATTTCCATGATGCCAAGCACAAGGCTTGGTACAGAAAAGGCACTCAAAAAAGTTTGAGGGATGGATGAATATATAAAACTGAAAAGTCAGCTCTCAGATGGAGCCTGATGTTTTGAATAACTTTGTCTTCCTGATTTAATGAAAACGGCACTTGATTTGTAAGCCTTGCAGGCTAAGATTGCAGTAGTAATTATGTAACCACGTGATTTTTTTAACAGTCTCCTTTGGCAGACTGTAACTCAATGAGAGCAGGGAGCATGCTTATCTTATGTAATGCTGTATTCCAGGAACTAGCATAGTCCCTAGCACATTGTAGTAATCAATCAACATTTGTTTAATGAATGAATGAATATTGTGGTTTTCTTGAATGAATATTCGAGTCCTGACTATTTCATTTATTTGCAGGTGAAGGTAGACAAGTCATTTCAGCCTTTTTTTTTTTTTTTTTTTTTTTTTTGAGACAGTGTCTTGCTATGTCACCCAGGCTGGAGTGCAGTGGTGGAATCTCAGCTCACTGCAACCTCCGCCTCCTGGATTCAAGTGATTCTTGTGCCTCAGCCACCCAAGTAGCTGGGATTACAGGTGCCTGCCACCACGCCCAGCTAATTTTTGTATTTTTCGTAGAGACAGGGTTTCGACACATTGGCCAGGCTGTTCTCAGACTCCTGGCCTTGAGTGATTTACCTGCCTCGGACTCCCAAAGTGCTGGGATTACAGGCATGAGCCACCATGCCTGGCCCTCATTTCAGCTTTTAATCTTTAACCTCCACATCTGTAAAAATAAGTCAATTATAGATAGGAAGGGAGGGGTTAACATTTCATTTGTACCCCACAAACTGCTTTGTAATAAACAGCAAATGCCATGTGTATGTGTGTGTTTAACACCTATAAAGCATTATTAAAAGTATGTGAATCTTTCTTATAAAGATGTGTTTTACTAAATCCTCAGAAGATACCTTTGTGGTACAAAATAAAAGTGGAGATTTAGCCTCCGTTCACTTGATCAGTGACTGAGAAAGATTTTAATAACACAAAGCCCTAAATGGCTCCTACGTATATAATATAGACATATACATATTATTATAAAAATTGAAATTCGGTCTTAATGTAGAACATTTGAATAATGCAGAAAAGGATGAGACTAAAATGTGGCCATAATCCCCTCTGGAGGTAACCTTTGTTAACCTATTTGGGTGTGTTTCCGTTCCATCTACAATGTGGAAAGCCGGAAAGAGCATCACTTCCACCATAACAAGAAAAAGCCAGATAATCTACAAAATTATAACTTTTCTTTAAACCATTAGAGAGCTGAGGTCACAATCATGTAGCCTGGAATTTATGGAAAGAAAGGCACCTCCAATGAGAGAAGGACTTGGGGACTGGCTCACTTGCAATAGAGGGAAGAAAACAGGGCGTTACATACAAGTGGGTGAAATAAATTTTGCTAACACTTTTAACAAATTGCTAATGGGCCAATATGAACTACCATGAGAGTATAGAACTCTTGGAATGACAGATGCAAAAGAAGTTCACATCTATTTGCAAGCCCTCCTCCACAGGCCTCACCAGGTGTTCATGAGGAAGACTGGGGACAGGACAGGAGGACAGAAGAAGCCTTTCTGAGAGGTACATGTTTGGAGGAAGGGAACAGCTGTTGCTGTGGAAAAAGCATGAAGTTCCACCAAGACCTTTCTCCCTTATGGAACAAAAGCCTCAGTTGACTAGGGGAAAAGCAGAAAACACTGTTGACCCCAGGGAATAGGGAAGACCCGTTGTAGGTGGGGGAAAGATGAAAAGAGAAAGCTCTGTAACCCTGCTAGAAACCACCAAGGGATCAAATCACTAGAGTTTTGTCTCTGCAATGAGTCAAGATCACTGAGAGTGCCCAACTCTGAGATCCAAAGCACAGGGCTTGCTTAAGACTGAAACAGGACTGTACAAAGGAGAACCCACATCCCCACTTCCAGCTCCAATCAGGCTAACAAGCACCAAGTCTTAAGCAACTGTGTGCATAGGGATGGCCTACAGGTAAAGGAGTAGGCACATTAAGGGAAACAACCCAACAAATCTCCAACTTAAGCACAAAGTACCCCAGAAGAATTTAAATCTGGTGCTACACTAAAGGTAATCATAGGAACAACAAAACCCAAATGCAATGAACTCCCGAATAGACTGCCTCAACTCATATTCAGAGCCCAGGGGAAGAAGCATGCCCATTTCCAGGCATAAGTATTATTTACCCCAGTCTCTACTCTTCTACACACTGTTTGGCAGCCAATAAAAATTATGAGATAAACAGAAAATTAAGAAAAAGAACCTACTGTCAAGAAACAAAACAATCAACATAACCAGACTATCAGACAGGAAATTTAAAATTTAAAGTAACTATGATTACTATGTTAAAAGCTCTAATGGAAAAAGTAAACAAGCATGAACAGAGGTGGAATTTCAGAAGAACACATAAATAATTACTACTATAAAATTAATATATTAATAATAAATGTGATAATAATTATTATTAGAGACAGGGTCTTGCTCTGTCATCCGGCCTGGATCATGATTCATTGTAACCTCAAATTTCTGGGCTCAATTAATTTTCCCGCCTCAGCATCTTGAGTGGCTAGACTATAGGCACAAGCCACTATACCCAGCTAATTTTTTTTTGTAGAGACAGGATCTTGCTATGTTGTCTGGGCTGTCCTCAAGTGATCCTTCTGCCTTCATCTCCCAAAGCACTGGGATTACAGGTGTGAGCCATACGGCACCCAGCCAGAATGCAGAAATTACTTTTAAAAGAATGTAATATTAGAAATTGACATAAAAACAAAGTACAGTGATGGAGATAAAAAATGCTTTCAATAGTCTCATTAGTAGCATTGGCATAGCAAAGGAAAGACTCAGTGAACCTGAAGATAGGTCAGTAAAAATTACTCCATCTAAAACACAAGGAGAAAAATGAGTAGAGAAAAAGCAAAATCAAGCATCCGGGAGTTGTGGGACAGTATCAAATGGCCTAACATACTTGTAATTGAAATATCAGGAGGAGAAAAAAGAGAGAAAGCAGAGAAGAAGATAATGAATGGGTATTTTCCAAAAATAATGAAATACATCAAAGCACAGATCCGAGAAGCTCAGAAAACCCCAAGTAGGATTGAAAACAACACAAAGCATTGAGACACATCATGGTCGAACAGCTGAAAACCAAAGATAGAGACTGAAAAACCAAAGACAGAGAAAACTGTGGAGGCATCCAAGGAAAAAAGGCACACTGCCTACAGAGGAGCAAAGATGTACAAAAGACAAACATGCAAGCCAAAAACAATGGAGTGAAATGTTTAAAATGCCAAAAGTGAAAAACGTGTTAATTCAGAATACCATACCCAGTGAAAGTATTTCTCAAAATCAAAGAGAAATAAAGACCTCTTCAGAAACAAATAATTTGTTACCACTAGACCTGCAATATGAGAAACATTAAAGAAAATTTTGCAGGCAGAGGACTATGATTACATATCCAACTCATATATTACACCGATGAGTTGGATATACACAAAGAAATGAAGATTAGGAATCATGTGAATGAAAGCAGATATAAAATATTTTTTCATATCTTTAATCATTCTCAAAGATAGTTATCTAAAGCAAAAATAGTTATAATGTTTTAGGAGTTTATAGCATATACAAAAACAAAATGTATGACAACAATAGCATAAAAATGGGAGGACAAATAGGGAGTATACTGTTGTTAAGATTCTTACACTACATGTGAAGCAGTATAACATTATTTGAAGGTATATTATAATTGAAGATATACAAACTTGGCCGGGCGCGGTGGCTCACGCCTGTAATCCCAGCACTTTGGGAGGCCGAGGCGGGCGGATCACGAGGTCAGGAGATCGAGACCATCCTGGCTAACAAGGTGAAACCCCGTCTCTACTAAAAATACAAAAAATTAGCCGGGCGTGGTAGCTGGCGCCTGTAGTCCCAGCTACTCGGGAGGCTGAGGCAGGAGAATGGCGTGAACCCGGGAGGCGGAGCTTGCAGTGAGCCGAGATCGCGCCACTGCACTCCAGCCTGGGCGACAGAGCGAGACTCCGTCTCAAAAAAAAAAAAAAAAAAAAAGAAAAAGAAGATATACAAACTTAAAACAACTAGTAAATTTTTTTTAAGAGGTATTTTTAAAAAGACAATCATGGCCAGGCATGGTGGCTCACACCTGTAATCCCAACGCGTTGGGAGACTGAGGCAGGAGGATTCCTTGAGCCCAGGAGTTCAAGCCAGCCTAGGAAACATGGCAAGACCCCATCTCTACATAAAAGTAAAAAAATTAGCCAGGCTTAGTGGCACATGCCTGTAATTTCAGCTACTCAGGAGACCGAGGTGGGAGGACTGCTTGAGCCCAGGATGTTGAGTCTGCAGTGAGCTGTGTTTGTGCCACTGTACTCCAGCTGGAGCCTGGGTGACAGAGTAAGACCCTGTCTCAGAGGGGGAAAAAGAAAGCCAACCATGGAGATAAATGGGATGATAAAAATAATTAAACAAAATTAGGCACAACAAGAGGAATAAAGGAGCAAAAACTGATGAAACTAATAGAAAACAACTAGGAAGAGGGAAGATCTTAATTGAACCATATATTTAATTACATGAAATATAAAGATCTACACATACCATACCAACTAAAAAGGAAAATTGCCAGACAATAAAAAAGAAAGACCTCCCTCTATGTTTCTATGTTGGTTACAAGAAATCTACTTCAAATATAAAGACAAATTAACAGGGTGGAAAAAAATGTAATGCAAACACTAATTTAAAAAAAACCTGGAGTAGCTATATTACAAACAGACAAAGTAAACTTCTGAACAAGAAATATTATGAAAGATAAAAAAAGACATTATGAAAAGAAGTCAATTCACCAATAAGACATAACAGTTCTAATTTGTATGCATTTAACATCAGAGCTTCAAAATACATGAAGCAAAAATGTATAGAAATAGACAAATTCACAATTAGAGCTGGAGGTGTCTATACTTCTCTATTGCTAATCAATAGAACAAATGGACAGAAAATCAGTAAAGACAAAGAAAATTTAAACAATACTATCAATTAACTTGACCTAGTTGACATTTATAGAATAATTAACCTAATGATACCAGAATATATAGCTTTTTCAGGTACACATAGAACATTCACCAATAGGCCACATTCTGGAGCATGAAACAAGTATCAACTTAAAAGAATTGATATATTACTATGTATATAATATGACCAGAAGGGAATTAAACTAGAAATTATTAATAGAAAGATATCTTGAAAATCCCCAAATATTTAGAAATTAAACAGTTTACTTCTAAATACCCCATAGATCAAAGAGGAATTCACAAGAGAAAGTAGAAAATATTTTGAATGGAATTAAAATGAAAATCCAACATATCAAAATCTGTGGGTGCAGCTAAGTAGAGATTAGAATAAAATTTATAGCATTAAATGCTTTTATTAGGAAAGTAGAAAGATTTATAATCAATGACCTAAGCTTTCACTTAAAGAAACTAAAAAAAGAAGAGCAAAATAAACCCAAAGCAAGCACAAAAAGGGAGGAATAAAGATAAAAAGCAAAAGTCAATAAAATTGAAAACAGAAAGCAAGAAACCAGAGAAACCAAAAGCTATTTTTTGAGATCAATAACACTGAAAAATTTCTAGTCACACTGACCAAGAAAAAGGAAAGAAAACACAAATTACCTACATCGGGAATGAGAAAGGACACATCACTACAGAGCCTACAGATATTAAAAGGATAATAAGAAAATATTATGAATTAAAAAAAAAAAGAAGAGAGGGAACACTTTTCAATGCATTTATGAGGCCAGGTTTCCTCTGATATCTAAATAAGAGAAAGACATTATGAGACAAGAAAACTAAAGATGAGTAACTTTCGTTATTGATCAAATAACTTTGATGAACTATAAAACCCTCTGAACAAAATATTAACAATTCAGATCTAGCAACATATTTTTTAAAAATTTATGACCACCAGACTAGGCTGTATAGTGAGACCCTATCTCTACAAATTTTTTTTTTAAATTAGCCAGGTCCTGTGGGGCATGCCTATAGTTCTAGCTACTCCGCAGGCTGGGGCAGGAGGATCACTTGAACCCAGGAGTTTGAGGCTGCAGTGAGCAGTGATCAATGATTGCACCACTGCACTCCAGCCCAGGCAACAGAACAAGACCTCATCTTAAAAAAAAATTAATTGGCCAGGTGTAGGGGGCTCACGTCTGTAATCCCAGCACAAAGGGAGGCTGAGGCGGTTGGATCGCCTGAGGTCAGGAGTTCAAGACCAGCCTGGCCAACATGGTGAAACCCCGTCTCTACTAAAAATACAAAAAATTAGCCAGGCATGGTGGTGCACACCTGTAATCTCAGCTACTTGGGAGGCTGAGGCAGGAGAATCACTTGAACCCGGGAGGCAGAGGTTGTAGTGAGCCAAGACTGCGCCATTGCACTCCAGCCTGGGCAACAAGAGCAAAACTCCGTCTCAAAAAAAAAATAATAATAATAATTATAATAATTATAAACACACACGAACACACACACATTCAACCAGATATTAAAAACCTATAGCTAGCATTGTATTTTATAGTAAATACTGAATGCTTTCCCCTTAAGGTCAGGGTAAATGCAAAGATGTCCACCCTTGCCTAGGCTAGGACATCATCCTAAAGATTTTAGCCAGTGCAATAAGACAGGGGTGGGGAAAAGGTATACAGATTGAAAATCACACACACACAGAGCAGGAAGCACTGTGAAGGTGGAGGCAGAGATTAGAGTGATGCGTCTGCAAGCCAAGAAACACCAAGGATTGCTGGCAACACCGGGAGCCAGAAGACAGGCATGGCACATACTCTCCCTTAGAGCCTCAGTAAGGAACCAACCCTGCCAATGCTTGATTTGGGACTTCTGGCCTCCAGAAGTGTGGGAGAATAACTTTTCTGTTGTTTTAAGTCACCCCGCCAGTTTGTGGTAATTTGTTACAGTAGTTACAGGAAACTAATGCACTTCACCATGTTAAAAAAAAAAAAAAGGTAAATGAAATGTCATTCATCACAGTGTTGTTTGGAGTAGGACAAAACTGGACATATCAAGAGAATTGACTAAATGCAAGATGGTGGAACCCTATACAGTTGTAAAAAAGAAAAAAGCTCCTTATACCTTATACATGGATGTGCAATGTGCTTTGTAACAGTCCCAACAGGAAGGAGTGCCACTCTAAATGGGTGGGTTTATTTACAAGGGACATGTCACAAAGGTGTGGACGGAGTAGAGGAACTATGAGGGAGACTGCTGCAACCTAAGGCTCGGAGCACAGGTTCTCGCCCACTCTGTGCCCAAGGACAGCCTGGAAAGTTGCTTGGAAGGGAACACAGCCCAGTGAAGGAACCCAGCCAGCTCAACACAATCTCACAGGAAGGGGGCCAGATAATCCATCTCCTGACTTCACTCTCCTCCCTCCATCCCTCCCTGAGAAGCGCCCTGTGTGGTGGCCCATGCTATCAGCATATGCCCCACCTCTGGCCCCAGCAGAAGGCAGCATGAAGTGTGGTGGAGAGTACATCTGGAGGGGCATGGAAGCTGTCCAGCATAAACTTCAAGGTTAAGTTGTTTTGTTTTACAGCAAGGCACAGAACAGGGTATAGTGTATGTCACCATTTCAGTAAGAAAAACAGTATATTATATGCATTGATTACATGTGCATATCAGATCTGGACAGACTCCAAGAAAATGATTCTATTTGATGTTCTGGGAAGGGACTGGGTTGTCTGGGGAACAGGAGTCTGGTGGGGAGATTGTTTACTGTACACCATCTTATACCTTTGAATTTTAAGCCACACAAATGGTTCAAAATATTAACAGTTTATTTATATTCCAAAATATAAATAAACTTTAATATTTAAAAGTTCAATATTAATGGTCTTTACAAGGGAGGCCTCTGGACAGTGCATGATTATAATCAGTACAAGAGAAGCAGAACAATCCCTTCTGTGGACCAGCCGTGAAGGAAGACAAGAATAAGCATGCCCACCTGTCAGGTAATGCCTGCAGCACAGTGGGCATCAGCACCCCGGAGATAGCTTTGTAGAGGATGGAGTCACACACGCCGACAATGTTCACCACCGTGGAGGAGCCCAGCACAGGCAGCATGTGGGGCGGCATTCCTTGCCAAAAGTGCAGAAGGAAACTTTGAACCTGTATTGACCCACAGAGAGAAGAATCATGAGGTTACCCAGGGCCCTCCCAACAGAAGCTTGGGACTCCACCAAGGCCAACCCAGTCTACAATGCTGTCATCTACTTCCCCTGCGGCAGCAGAAGTCACCCCCAGCCTGCCATGTTGTAGGAGGCCCTGGGAGTTTCTCCTGCTTCAAGTCTTCCCTCTGCCTAGGCATGCAACATGCACACTGCTGGGGAACTGACTAGCCTGGCAGGCTGGGGTCTCCTCTGCCCCAAAAGATGAAGCACTTTCACCCCTCAGCGCCTTCAGTGCTTACTGAGGTCTGGGAAGAGTTTAAGGAAAGGAAGGTGGGGCATTGTTTTTAAAAAGGTCGGAGCACTAGTACTCACTATTCTTTGAGCCCACTGAACCTCAGGGGCCCCTGGGTATTCTGGGAAGGAAGGGAAAGGTATGGGAGTCGCGGGTAAAAGGAGTGTGGCTGAAAGGAGAGTAGGTGCCACACACACAAAATTCTGATTCAAATTTGTGCGTCAAAGATTGGGTCAAGTGCAAAAGTCTTTTCATATCAGAATTCTTCCATTTCCCAAAGCTCCCTGGCCAGTGGGTGCTATATGGGATGCTAGATGGTGATACCTGAGTGGTAAGCTATGTGGGCACATGAAGTGTGTGTGACTGACTTTTTAAAACTCCCCAAACCACTAGCAAAGAACCAGATTATAGCAGGCACCCAGAAATGCAATTATTACTATTAATATGATGATAGCAGGAACTTGAGCCACATTGTTACTGAACGAAGGGCAGAGTGAATGTCCAAAGCAGAGAACCCCTTGCCGCCTCCCCTACACCTCTGTCTTTTAGCTGTGGATTAGAAGTTGAGTAGAATAGGGGGTGAAGTGGTGGGAAAGGTAAGGGAAGTGAAGAGAAATAGTAGAAGATAGTAACTGATGTATATAATAACATTTGAGAAAATCTAGACTTCAGCTATCAGCTAACATCTGCAGCACATCTTCAGTTGGGGAGCAGCCCATCTCGAAGCTGGGGAACACATAACTGAATTTTTATACATTCCAATGGGTTTGACTTGGTTTCTGGATCATGTTTCCTTCTCTCCCCAACAGATGGGCACTCTTGAGTTCCACATGTAGCATTATCCACATCCCTGTTTCCCCAAATCAATCCTGATTTGGTGTGGGAGATAATTGAGTCCCTCTAGTCTAACATTTTGGGGCAAGTATTATTGCCATTAGCTTTCTTTTCTGGGGAGATGGAGTCTTGCTCTGTCACCCAGGCTGGAGTGCAGTGGTGTGGTCTCGGCTCACTGCAACCTCCGCCTCCTGGGTTCAAGCGATTCTCCTGTCTCAGCTTCCTGAGTAGCTGGGATTCTAGGTGTGTGCCACCACACCTGGCGAATATTTGTATTTTTTAAGTAGAGACGGGGTTTCGCCATGTTGACCAGGCTGGTCTCGAGTACCTGACCTCAGGTGATCTGCACGCCTCGGCCTCCCAAAGTCCTGGGATTACAGTGAGCCACCGCCTGGCCGCCATTAGCTTTCTTTATCGAGTACCTACTATATGCCAGGTACTTTGCTTAGGTTCTTTCATGTAATACTCATAATACTATAGCTGAGAATCATTACTCTTATTTGCAGAGATATTAGTTGTCCAAAGCCAGACAGCCAGTCAGGGTATGGCTGAGATAGAGCCTATGTCTGCCTTAGTCCTTCCACAGTCTCTCTTGTGGCATTTGTTCTTCACATGGTAACTGGGTTTCTACCCCATTGCTGAGGCCCATGTCTCTCCCTAGACTGCTGCCTACTTCCCAGCTTTCTGCCCCTGCCCTGGTAACCTGCAGCATCCTTCAGGCCCCTCCAAGGAGTAGGGCCTAATTTTGCTCTGAAAAGGCTGCCTCTGGCTAGTAGAGCCATGCCCCGACTCTAGCCTGGTGACTCCATCTCAGCCTCCTGTGAATAGGCTTCCCTGATGCCTACAGCCTGCCTGGACTTCCCTGTGGAAGTACAGGATGGAAGGCTTGGAGGATAAGGAACAGGGATAAAGGCATGCCCCTCTGACTTCCTAGGAGAGAAGTGGTGATTGCCGAAAACATGATCGTAGTGGTGAATGAAGTCAGGTCTGTAAATCGAAAAGACTTCAGTTAGAGTCCTGTTTATTCCCTGACAGTGGAAATACTGCAAAGTTTTCATCCAGATTGAAAATGAAAACAAAATCTGGAGGAGTGAAGACTGACTTGCAGGGTTCTAATCCTGGCTCCACTACTGAGGAGTATCATATCTCTAAGCCTCCGTTCCCCTTCTGTGAAATGGGGATAAAAGCAGTATTTACTGCATAGGTTTTGGTGAAGATTTCTAAAAAGTGCTTCTAGTGCTTGGCACATCATAGATGTTTAATAAAGGTTAGCTGTTATTACTACTATTATATCATGGAGGCACTACCACTACTGGGCTCAAGAGATCAGTGTCCTGCCCTAGGTGTTTGAGACTTTCTTGCCTATGTTTCTGAATGTCACCCAGCCAGGATCCCTACTGTGGCTCCGCTCACCTATCAAGACTTTTGTTCTGTCACTGAGACACCCGGTGGCTGACTATTAGCGTGGCCTGAGCCTGGAGATGTCCACGGCTTTTGGACAAGGTACTTGCCCTCCAGAGGACCCTCCACTGTCCCCTGATCCCAGCTCATTCCCTGGGCATCAGGCTCAGGTCAGGTCCTGGGCCTTCTTGTCTGCTCCTCTAACTCTGAGTAAGAAGCTCTGCCCAGCTGATTCTTGAGTTGACACATTTTGAATTCATTTGCCTTACTTAGCTCTTCTTGCAGGCAGCCGTACCCCCTTTTTTATATGAGCAGTCAATTTCTAGCAGAATGTCTAGAAAAGATCAGCTGTTGTGTGGATTTAAACAAATCTGTGCAAAATCAGTCTCCTCAGCAGGCATCTGTCTGTTTGAAGCCTGTTCAAGCTGCACTGGGAAGGCTGATCCATCCTCAGTTTGCTGAGTGGCTTTTGTAGAAGATGTATTCTCCAGTTTTAACATCCCTTTCTACTCTGCATTTTAGGTCATTTATTGTCCAATGATACTTGTTCCTCCAGGTGAGAAGGAAAAGGAAGGAGGGAGAATGGCCTTAGCTCAAGCACTAAGGCTTGGAAGTTAGGCATGAAATGGACAGATGCAGTGTTTCCCTGCAGAAGGTGGAGCTGACAGGATCTCCCAGTGGACTGGATCTGAAGGGTGAGGGAAAGGAGAGAATCAAAGTTTGTGGCTTAAGCAATTGGGTGGAGGGGAGTGGCAATCTAAGACCTGGGAAAAACAGATTTGGGGCAGAAAATTAAGAGCTCTGGTTTGGCCGTGTTAAGTTAAATTTCAAGTCAATTGAATCTGGAGCTCAGGACTAAACATATAACTCTCAGAGTTACCAGCATTTGTAAAATGAAGATAATGATGTCTTCCTACTATTAGGGTGAAATAAGATAGCTTATGTAAAATGCTTGGCATCGTGTAGGCATTTAACAAATGGAAACATTATTAGGCAGAAAGGAGAGTTCTGATAAGTTCTTACACCTTACAAGCATAAACAGTGAAAGAATCAGAGGCAAATGATTCCAAATTATTAGTAAAATTAAGTTTCCTGAGGTATCTGTTTCAATCTTCTGAACTCTCGGCCCTTTGTCTCTCAGCTCAGTGAAGTACTAGGAGATGATTTCCTTAGGAATACCAAGCAAATTTTCTATTTCTTTTTCCATGTTCATATTTAGTTCATTCTGAACATTGGCACCTTGTGGAAACACCTGTGATGACTTGCAATTGGGGTCCCTAAGTGTACCAGGCTTGGAAGGCTCTCAATAAAATAATTACAAAAATGCCTAACATCATATTCTAGAACAAAATCAGACACTTTACATACACAATTTCATGTTCACTATGAGATAGGTATAATTATTATTTTCATCTTGTAGCAAAACAAATCCAGGCTCAGAGAGGTTAAGTGCCTTGCTCAAGGTCACAGGCTAGTCAGTGGCAGATTTGAGACTCAATCACAAGACTACTGAACTTTACAGCTTATTGTGCAATGTAGTCTGGAGAAGACGTTCCCGAGTCCCCTACATGCAGATTTGCATTTTTTTTTTTTTTTTTGAGATGGAGTCTCACTCTGTCACCAGGCTGGAGTGCAGTGACGCAATCTTGGCTCACTGCAACCTCCGCCTCCTGGGTTCAAGCGATTCTCCTGCCTCGGCCTCCTGAGTAGCTGGGACTACAGGCACGCGCCACCACGTCCAGCTAATTTTTGTATTTTTAGTAGAGATGAGGTTTCATCATGCTGACCAGGATGATCTTGATCTCTTGACCTCATGATCTGCCCACCTCGGCCTCCCAAAGTGCTGGGATTACAGGCGTGAGCCACTGCGCCCGGCCTCAGATTTGCATTCTTTAATTGCTTGACAATGTTATAAGTCAATGGCATTTCTACACCTGTTCATCCATTCATCCACTCATTCACCCAACAAATACTGACTGACAGCCTAAAAGTATGGCTAGATAGGATATAGTAGTGAACAAGACAGATGAGCTTCCTGCCCTCAAAAGCTTACATTATAGTGGTAGAGACAAACAATGAACAAGTGAACAAACAAGATAATTTAGGACTGTGATACTAGCATAAGTTGTAACCTCAACTGATATTAAAGACTTGGAAGACTTGAAACCAACTGTAAAGTCAAGGTGTACCAGATACATCCACCATCCATTTACCAATGACTTTTCTCAGCTATAGGAGAAAGCCATCCTCATCAGAGGTAAAATGTCTCCCTTCATTATTCTGTGGCTGAGAAGAATTAGCTATCTTAAAAGCAGCCACCAAATATTCCTGCCAGTGGGGTGGAATTGGCCTAAGGGTGTGAGGTGACGAAGGACCTTGTCACACCTTTGGCCCTAACCAACTGTGTGACCTTGGCCAAATCTCTGAACACTCTGGTTGATACATCTGAAAAGAACAAGCATTTGTATGACCTTTTACAGTTTACAAAGAGCTTTTACCAGGCAGTCTTATCTCCTCCTTCTAGTAACACTATGAATTAAATAGATGGGGATGATTTTTTTAAATCTTCATTTCTAGGATGAGGAATTGAGGCTTGAAAGGCAGAGCCAGCTCTTGAATCCAAGCCTGGGACTTGAAGCCTGGCACTCTTTCCATAGCAGCATCTGCCCCTCAATGTTTCTGGACCTCTCACCATATATTCTGCATCCTAGTTGCTGGTTACATGCCTTCCCCCCATCCTATCAACTGTGTTTTACTTATCTCTCCAATAGTGTATGGGACCCAATAGGTGTTGGAATTAAGCAAATGAAATGAAATGAGAGTGAGTTTTGAGATGACTAAGCTACATATGAACATAAGGGGGGACTGCCACTAGTTTTGTTGTTGGTAACTGTGGCAGAGAGGAACAGCTGTCCCTTAGAGATTTGAGTAGTGTAAGCTGCTGCCCAGTGAGGGACCACACTCCCCAGCCCCCGCTGCATTAAGGTGGGGCCGTGGGACCAGCTCCCGTCCATGGAATATGGGCAGAAGTGCTATTTTATTTCTGGGCTGACAAGGATAAGTAGGGGGTATGCCTTCCTAGTAGTTCTTTTCCCCACCCATCAGCTGAACAAAGAGGACTCCAAGGTTCTAGGGCAGGGTGGAAGGAGCCTGAGTCCCTGAATCACCCCCCAGCAACCAGCCTTCCAACCAAGAACAAACGCACTGGATTGTGACATGGGTGGGAAATAAACCTCCAGTGTGCTAAGATTTGCAGAGTTATTTGTTACAGCAGCTAGTATTGTCTTAGCCAGTCACGAATCATTATTTGTCCTGATCTCAGTGATCTTTGGAATGTAAGATAGAGCCAAACCGCAGTTCGAAAGAAAGCAGGGAGTTTTCTTTCTTAAAAGAAAAAAATCACTGAAATTATTGCTCAAGTAATTTGGGACATTTTAAAGTACATTTTAGAAGTCTAGTGGATAAAAGTCAAGAGAAGGAAGAACAGTACTTCTTTACCAACACACTCCCATCTTGTCTGGAGCTGTGTCTGTGAGCAAAGTGATAGTGGAAGTGCTCAACAAACATTTACTCCTAAAGGACACAGCCGTGGGAAGGCAGAAAAGTACAGGAGAAGAGCATTTTGTACCTGACATCGTTTTTATATCCCTCCACCTACAACAGCACCCCCTTCCCACAACACACACACCAAAGGAATTTCTGGGATGTCTTCCATCAATAGCTACTGGGTTTTTTATAGTCCTTTTAGAGACCACATTGTCTTCCCTCAAAAAATAATAAAGTTATATAACTTTATTATTGGTTATTGTTCTCCCATCCTTTCTCATTTCCTCCTCTCCATTCTTTAACTACAATATTTTAAAATAAAATGGACTTCTTACATTGTTTGTATTTAACGATGGCCCTACTAATGGGATTTGATGGAAATCTATGGATCAGACCTTGGGAATGGAGGGTAACCAGCTCCAAATGTACCCAAGTGGACAAGCCTCAGGAAAAGCCTAAATATACAAAATAGAATAAAGCTTTTTATATATTTTTTCCAAAATGTAAGGAAGCTTTTCTTTAGCTTCTCTGAATCTATAATCCTGGGTTTAATGATATCCTGGCAAAATGGTCTTCCTAGTGTGCTGATAGGGCAGGAGGCAGTTCACCAGTTCAGTCAAAGGAGGAGGCCAAGCCCACTGCTATACACATGTATGGTCTATAAAATGGGGATAATAATCGTACCTGCTTCATGGGATCTCATGAGGATGAAGTGAGCTAATGGGTATCCAGGAAGGGCTTCCAGATGCCAGGCCTGGCACCTAGCAGGAGCTCATGAAATAGGAGCTAGTGTTACAAGATTTTTAATACCGAGTATTCACAGCTCAACCCTTGTTGACCTACCTCATCAAAGTTGGCTCTTATTACAGTGTCCAGTATTCTCTGACAGTGTGTTCTGTACATCATAATAAAGGTAGAAACCTGTGGGGGTGTGTAGAGGATCAACAACAAAGACATACATTAATACACATTGCTGCTGCCCTTGGACTTTCAGTTTTTAAGTCATTTCTTCCCTGTGGGGGGGATGCAATTCACCTAACACCGGCTCAGCCTACCAGACCCAGGTGAGACTGATTTTCATTAGGTGGTATTCTCTGACCCTTGGCTCCCTCCTCTGTGCTCACACAGCACGAGTGTGTTTCTCCCTGAGATACGGAATGCGCTGGTTTCTCCTCCTGCCCCCATTTTCCACCCCCTGAGACTGTGAGCTCTAGGAAAACAAAAATGGTATCTTATTCATGCTCATGTATCCAGCACTTAGCACAGTGCCTGGCACATAGAGCTAAGCAGGGTTATGGAACTAAATTCTCTTCATTGGCTGAGACCACTAGAAAGTTAAAATCCAATGTATAGTTATATGAAGAAGTGATTCTGCCTAAGTCACCATAAGACATTTGGAAATTCTCTGCAATGTGCTTAGCAAAAATAAAAAAAAAAATTAATCTCCCCCTCCATTTATCCAATAATTTTTTTATTTTTATGTTTTTTTCAATTACCTGAGAATTTTAAATCCATGGTGCAGGAAGTTCATTTGTATGTTTATTGACCAAAAAAGCAAATTTAAGAAAAAATATTTATCTATTTCTTAGATTTAATGTATCCTTTACAGATACAAGTTCATTTTCCTCATTTTAGAACATAGACATGCATTTTATATAAACTTAGTTTGACTTATACAAGCACTATCTCCCTGGTTGACTCTAAGCTTTCTGAAAGCAGGACTCATCTCATTCTTCACTGCATCCCAGATCCTAGTGTGACATGGAGACTTAGTAGAAGCTCAATACATGTTAGAGCAGCACTGGGTTGCATCAATAGGTGCATTAAAGATGTGATACTCGACTGGGCCCGGTGGCTCACACCTGTAATCCCAGCACTTTGGGAGGCCGAGGTGGGCAGATCATGAGGTCAGAAGTTCGAGACCAGCCTGGCCAACATGGTGAAACCCCGTCTCTACTAAAAATACAAAAATTAGCTGGGTGTGATGGCGGGCGCCTGTAATCACAGCTACTTGGGAGGCTGAGGCAGGAGAATTGCTTGAACCTGGGAGGCGGAGGTTGCAGTGAGCTGAGATTGCGCCACTGCACTCTAGGCTGGATGACAGAGCAAGACTCCATCTCAAAAAAAAAAAAAAAAAAAAAAAGAAATGTGATACCCCAAGGGAAACTTCCCCAAATTTATTTTTCCAGTAACTTGCTCCAAATATTCTATGATCAAAACTATCAGATTCACTATACCTATAAAATCTTCTTTGACTGTTAGACTATTATTTCACCAAATCCCCTGCAGCACATGGGAAAATGGACTTTATCCTGTGGAAAAGCAATTCAGAGGGGAGAGGTTCTTTCCTCATGAAATGAGACAGCATAAGATCATAGGACAGGTAGGTAGGTAGAAAGACAGAAGATAGATGATAGGTAGATAGACAGATAGGCATACATGATAGAGATTGACAGAGCAAATTTTATTTTAGAATAGTTTTGGATTTACAGAAAAGTTGTAAAGATAGTACTGGGAGTTCCCATATGCCTCACCCCAATTGTTAACATCTTGCATTACTAGGATATATTTGTCACAACTAATAAACTCATAGTGATAAATTGTTATTAACTATAGTCCATGCTTTATTTTGATTTCTTTTCTTTTTTTTTTTTTTTTGAGATGGAGTTTCGCTCTTGTTGCCCAGGCTGCAGTGCAATGGTGCAATCTTGGCTCACTGCAACCTCTGCCTCCCAGGTTCAAGCAATTCTCCCGCCTCAGCCTCCAGCTGGAATTACAGGTGCCCACCTCCACACCTGGCTAATTTTTTGTATTTTTAGTAGAGACAGGGTTTCACCATGTTGGTCAGGCTGGTCTTGAACTCCTGACCTCAAGTGATTCACCCACCTCAGCCTCCCAAGTGCTGAAATTACAGGCATGAGCCACCTCTCCTGGCCTGGATTTCTATCTTTATATTTTTAAACTCACGGTTTTGCAATAAATGTGTGTGTGTGTGTGTGTGTGTGTGTGTGTGTGTGTGTGTGTGAGAGAGAGAGAGAGATAGAGACAGAGAGAGAGAGAGAAAGAGAGAGAAACCACCCACCCCAAATAGTCACTTCAGTTGTAGTTACCTTCTCCTCAGGCAGGCTGGCTGGCAGATTTAGATCTTTGACATTGGGAAATTCTGGCAGCAGTGTTCCGAGTTTGGACCGGGGTGAATATGCCACTGTCTGTTTGCTCACTTCTTTCTTGCCCGTCTCACTCACCCAGGCAGCTCCTTTCTTGGAATACATCACATCATAATATTGGGAGCTTTCTTTCACTGCAATGCCATAGTAATGGTACCTGGGCCACAAGGGGAGGGAGGGAGAGAGAGAAAAAAAAAAAAAGAGAGAGACCCACATGCACTGTTATTAAGTGAGGTTTCCTGAGTAGGGAGTGTTGCCCAAGGCCAAGGAAAGCTGGGGCCATCCTACCTGGGGATAGAAGAGTTAACTCTCCTGTAAGGCTAATATCACTGAAATATAGAATTAAACCAAAGTGCCAGCCATCAATCAGGCAGGTAAAAATAACCAAAATTGCCTCCTACAGAAAACGTTAAGTCAAATACTTTGCAAAGCAGAGAGGGGATGAAAAATTTTCCATTAGTACTTGATCTCTCATGTCTAGCCAAATGGGATACCAGCACTTGAGGGTCCCTTCTCTGTGGGGACCCAAGCAGGATATGTTTGTGACTACTAACTGCACCTCTAATAAAAATTCATTTGGCCTGTGTTTTCCTTTTCTTTTTTCTTTCTTTTTCTTTTTTTTTTTTTTTGAGACAGAGTCTCGCTCTGTCACCTAGGCTGGAGTGCAGTGGTGCAATCTCAGCTTACTGAACCTCCACGCCTCCCGGGTTCAAGCGATTCTCCTGCCTCAGCCTCCTAAGTAGCTGGGATTACAGGCATGTGCCACCACACCCAGCTAACATTTGTATTTTTAGTAGAGATGGTGTTCCATCATGTTGGTCAGGTTGGTCTCAAACTCCTGACCTCATGATCTGCCCACCTTGGCCTCCCAAAGTGCTGGGATTACAGGCATGAGCCACCGCGCCTGGCCTTGGCCTATGTTTTTCTTAATCAATAAATGGTAGTCTCAAAGAACTGTATTTTTAAAAAGGTAAATTCAGTGCTTCAGTTGACACTGAATGTAAAGCGAAGACCAGAACTTTTTATTAACTCAAAATAGGCTTAATATTAGCAATGTTTTCAATTAAGACTAACAAGGGATTGGAGGCTGCATTTTGTTTAGATTTTAGCTATAATCTATTGAGCATTATATATTGGCTACATGCCAGGCAGTTTGCAAAGGACTTTGCATGCATTAATTTGTAAAATAACCAATAATGGAAATTATTACAGTCTTTCTACACATGAGAAACTGGAGGCAAGAAAGCTCAAATAATTTGTTTAAGGTCATATAGCTGTTTAGGGGAGGAACAGGTTCTTGAACACAGACAGGTCTTTTTGACTATGAAGCCACAGTGCTATCCTACTGAAAACACTGCAAGATAGTCTTATAAACTTTGATCTTATCAGAATCATTTTTAAAGTTTAATAAAAATACAGACTCCTGGGCCCTCTCTCAGTACCTACTGATTTAGAACATCTGGGAATGGGGCCCAGGAATCAGCACTGAATCAAGCACCATAGGGGTAATTCTAAAGCACATCAGTTTGAGATCTCTGGTACTGAGTGCTTGACACACATTATCTTATTTAATCTCACAAAATCCCCATAAAGCTAGAATTAATTATTATCCCCATTTTTATAGATAAGGAAACTAAGGCCCAGAGAATTTAAGTCATGCACCCAAGATCAGCCAGTGAGTAAGGAGCAGAGGCAGGATTTGAACCTCCCAAGTGCTTTGAACCACTAAGCCAGTGATTCTCAAACCTTACTACTACTAAGAATCACTTACAAAACATATTAAAATATCCCTGGTAGTCTAGTAGCTAGGACTAAAAGAAGAAGAAGAAAAAAAACCATTAAAATAGAGACTCCTGGGCCCTGCTCCCCCCTTAAAGACTCCTATTTAGTACGTCTAGAGTCGATTTTCACAGTCCCGTGGCAATACAAATGTTAGGTCATCCGTGGACCTCGCTTTCAGAAACACCGCACAACATATTAACTACTTTTCTCTACCCATGGAGATACAATGAAAGTCACAAAATCATACAGATGAGAAGGCATTTTGAATTATGGGAAGGGCTTTTGCGAGGAGGGAAGAGATGAGCACGTCAAAACCTTCCCTCTCCCCAACCCTCCTTTACTCCTGATACCATTCCGTGATATTTCTGCTTAGTGGGCATCTCGAATCTATCTGAATGCCTTCTGGGATGAAGAATTCAGACCCTCCGAAGGCAGCCCAGTTCATTTTGCCAGTATGGTTATCAGAAAATTCTTTGTGCTGAGCGAAGTCTGCCTTCTGTGCCTTCCGTGTCTTCTACTACTTCTCAACTGTCATAACTGCCTTCCCACCTGGAACTCACTCTGTGGGTGGGGGAGGAGCATGGTTCCGGTGGCTTCAGGTGGGATGACAGTTATGACACACCACCGTAACCTTAAAAAGTTCACCTTTATAACTTCTTAAGAGCCAGATCATCTAATATGTTCAGACCAGACCACTTCTTGACTATTCAGAGATCACGTAGCTAAAATCAACAACCACAGTGAAGCTACTGCTCTGATCTTGAGTTCTTCTATTTCAGTTCTGTAGGGCACAACAACACATTCCTCACCAGCCACCCCCAGATTTATTTATTTATTTTTTAATTTCTTCTAAAAAAAGGCAGGGGATACATGTGCAGAATGTGCTTTTTTTTGAGACAGGTCTCGCTCTGTCACCCTGGCTGGAGTGCAGTGGTGCAATCGTGGCTCACTGAAACCTCTGCCTTTCAGCTTCAAGCAATTCTCCTGCCTCAGCCTCCTGAGTAGCTGGGACTAAAGGGACGTGCCACCATGCCCGGCTAATTTTTGTATTTTTTGTAGAGATGGGGTTTCACCATGTTGGCCAGGCTGATCTTGAACTCCTGACCTCAAGTGATCTACGGGCCTCAGCCTCCCAAAGTGCTGGGATTACAGGCGTGAGCCACTGCACCTGGCCCACCCCCCCAGATTTCTTCTGTCATTGTCAATTTGCCAAGGGAGTTTCTCTATAAGGCCATGATGCAGGTTGGAGACAAGAGCTTCTTACTGCCTTTCAACTGGTCGAAGGTGTGACCAACTTTGGAGTATCCTTATGGAAGAGGATACAATAAAATTGATTATACAGAATTTTTAAAGAGGGTATTTTGCCAACCTCGAGGTTAAAGAAAAAGAAAAACAAACAAAACAAAAACAGACTCTCCCATGTGGACAGAAGGAAATTTTCTCTGTTTATGCAGGATGGGAAACCTTTCTGCTCTCTCTTTACTGTGTGTCTTTACTATTTCTGCTCTTCTTAGAAATGAGCAACAAGCTATCGGAGCCACTGATTCCTCAAAGACCAAGAGCTGGAGAAAAATAATTTATTTTCATTTATTCCATATCGTTCTATCCATCCACTCTTCTGTTTGACCAACATTTTGAATTGCCTACTATGTGTTTACCAGCAAACAAGGAAGAACCTGGCTTTTGTAATCTATAATCGTACCAAGGCTGAAACCTTACTTTTAAACAAATACCAGAATTTTAAAATTATAACTGAGGTTTGTTTTTTTTTTTTTTTTTTTTTTTTTTTTTTCAGAATAGTCATCTTGGAAAATTATTAGGAATTTATTCCAAGAGGTCCTTTGTTCAACAGTCTTCTGGAAATTCCTTTAGAGACTGGTTCAAAAGCTTCTGAGCTACACCAAAAAAATTAGTCTCATTATTTTCAGAATACCAAAAAAGGGTTTTTCCCAGTTCGATCATCCATTTTCTTTCCCTACCTTGGCTCCAAAATCAAACCCACCCTTGGAGGATGGGAATGTGCTGCCCAGGGATGAGAGGAGCTGGTGAGGGACAGGGGTTTGGCCCAGGGTGAGAGCACTGGACATGCTTTTGACACATCCTTCAAGACAAGTCTTAAAAGTCCTATATGGTTGCCTTTCTAAAAAGTTACAGTGTTTTATAGGTCACTATGTGCTGACCTGCTCAACGTGGTCAAAATGCTTAGAAATGCTGCATAATAAGGCACCCTCTAGTGGAGTCACCTTGTACATTAGCATAATAAGGGTTCTGAGAAGTCTTGCAGTAAAGGAAACTGTTTAAACTTAGTGTTAACCAAACTTATAGGGCCTGCTGCTCTTCTTCATGGAACACCTATTATCGTCCAACAATTTTTGAAACATCCTTAGAGGCAAGTCCTATAAATGCAGATTTTAATGAAGGTCGAGCAGTACAGGAAGAGATTCCCTTCCCACTGACTCACACCTAGCAGACAAGTGTCTGCACAGCCTTCTGCACTCCCCTAGTCTTTACTTAAATGTAACCTCCTCTGAAAGACCTTCCCTGGCCATTCCTCTTTTGTTGCTCTCTGCTACAACTTTGTCACAATCTGATTCTCTGTTTTGTCTGTTTCCCACCGGAATCTATGCTCCATGAGGGCAGCAACTGATTTGCTCCTGTGTTCCCAGTACCTAGCACCACATATGTGACACACAGAAAGTATAAAGCATGAGTTGGTTGGTTGCTTGATGAAACTGATGAATGGGAAGCCGTGAACCCTCATGGACCATGGTGCAGCTGGACCTTTCTGCCCCATCTCCCATGCAGGGAATAGTACAGTTTTGCTTCTCTGGTCTACTGCATACTATCAGAGCAGAGTTTGCTCAGCAAAACAGTCCAGATAACCTGGTGATCCTCCAAGAGGCCACAAGGCAATCCTTTCAATGATGCCCAAGACTATTTTACAAAATATGCCTAAAAGCAGGGTGGTACAAAATCAGATTCCTTAAAGCAGCAGAGCCAACTCGTCTTGGGCTTTTGGACAACCTCTCTTTCAGGAGTCCTGAGAGAGGGGCCCTGGCCGTCATAAAGCTCTTCCATATTCCCTCTAGGCACAGACTTCTGCCAGGCCTGCAGACAGAGCTCAGGATAAAGAGCCAAGGGTGTGGCCTGTCTCGAGGCCCATAGATGTGCGCTCTGCAGGTGGAATGGCCGTCCGGTGCTTACTTTGACTGTCCTCGGGTCCCGAGTCTTCTGGTGGTTAACTGAGGAAACTGCTGCCTTATGATCTGTAAGTCAACACAAGAATCAGTTACCCATTGGGAAGAGTTGGGAGCATAGTGACTGAGTTTTACAAATAGCCATCTACAGAAGGGAGGAAAACATAGGTCCTTGGTTGCAATGACTTAATAGGAGTCTGTGAGGACCCTGGAGAAGACTACTGGTGTCAGAGTGGGGAGTGCTTGGATGGTTGTGGGGCTCTGGATACTAAGGGGGTCTCACTTGGCCACTCTATGCTTCACCCCGTCCTACTCACAAAGGAAGGAGAGTTCTGGTTGGTCCAGAACCTGCCTCTCCCCTGTTTAAAACCCTCCAGTG
Organism: Homo sapiens; assembly: GCF_000001405.40. Classification (NCBI taxonomy): domain Eukaryota; kingdom Metazoa; phylum Chordata; class Mammalia; order Primates; family Hominidae; genus Homo; species Homo sapiens. The sequence goes on along the minus strand of NC_000012.12, from coordinate 106,681,682 downwards.
GCTTCCACAGCACCTGGAACTAAAACCCACACTTAGCCTCTGTAACTCGTCCTGCTTACCTTCTGGCCTTCCTCTCTTATAATTCTCACCTTTACTCACCAGATCCCAGCCACACTGGCTTTTTATTGTTTTCTCTATTACTGAAACACACCAGCGTTGCTCCCCATGGGGGGCCTTTGTACTGCACCCAGGAGTGGAATTTCACTCAGCTCTTCACAAGACTGCCTCCTCTTTAACCATTCAGGCGTCTGGACAATGTCCTTCTGCCCAGAGGCCTTCTCAGACCAGCCAGTGTGGAGTAGCACAAGGGTCACATGGCCCTGCTTTGTCTTCTTATCACTTAGCACTATCTGAAGTTATCTTGTTCACTTACTCTCTGGGTACTTAGTTTATGTCTCCTCCTGCTTGAACACACGCTCCATGAGAGCAAGGACCTCATACAGGGTTTGGCACATGCAAAGACCCCAATCCACATCTGTTGAATGAAGGAATGAAAGCCTAGGGGTATCTTTTTTCTGTCTGCAGAGCAGAGGATGATAATTGCTGTTGCCCAGGACAACCACACCAGTTCACAAGAAATCCGTGAAGAGAGAGCATCTCTCAAGGTGAAAACATAACCATGAGGCCCCTTTCCTTGGGGTTTACGGAGATGATGTTTGTGGAGAGGCATGACAGGTCAGGGGTTACGTGCAAGAACTCTGGAACTCGACTACCTGAATTGAATGCAAGCTCAGGCATTGGTTAGGCTGGATGCCCTTGGGCAAGTTATTTAGTATCCACATGACTCAGTTTCCCCATTTGTAAAATAGGAATGATAATAACCTCTAGAGTTATTGTGAAATTTTAAAAAGTGAATGTATGTAAATAGCTGGCAGTAGTGCCTGGCAGTTAGTAAGTACTTAATAAATGTTACCCATTATTACCACTGATTGTCCTGATGACCCTTTTACTTCCAGGGATTTTTTGAGTGTAACCAAGACTCCCTTCCCTCCTGGTACAGCACTGAGCAGGCATACATGGTCAGAGAGAGTAAGCCTTCATGAGAAAAGAAGCTGTTGCTGATTTCTTGTTGGTAGGGCATAAACCTTGAGTGCTTTCTCTAGGGATGGGGATGAATCTCTATTCATCTATTCACCCCTCTTTTATCCACACCACTACTCTCACTGATTGATTTACTCATTCACTCAACAAATATGGACTGTGACCTTGTTAGCTGTTTGAACTGGGACATACTGTTTAACCTCTCTGTGCCTGAATTTCCTCCTGTGGCATTTGAGGACTAAGGGGTTGTGTAGTCTTCCCCTAATTGGAGGGCTAGGTGTTGGTGATCTCAACTAAAATGGTATCAATGGGATGGACAGAAGTGCACAAATTAGTGAGAAATTGAGAACCTTGAAGACTGACCATTTCTCTACACTGGGGAGCTGACCACCTCCAGTGTGGAGAATGGATGCCGCAGCATTTCAGCATCAGAGAATCGTTGACAAAAAGATGCACCTCACAAGAATGTTTAGAGAATCTAATACGATAGCATCATGAAACCACTTTTGGAAGTAAAAAAGGCTTTTAAAATACCATCTCATGGTGATAATACTGAACAAAATGATGCAACAATTCTCTGAATTCTTTAAGGGTACCACTTTGTAGGCAATAAATCCCATCTCTTTAACCCTGACTCTTGTAAACTGAAGATCCAAGCTTTTCACTTTATGTCCTTCTCAAATTGTGGTGACCTGAGTAAAAGGCAGTGATTCAAGATGGGGTCAGTAACAGTGCTCTTTAAACACTTTGTCTAGCAGTGCAGCCTAAGACTGCATCCAGGTTTAGTGGCCTCATCACCTTGGATTTATATTAACCTGTGGCCAAGCCCTTCAGACTTTCAGCATATGAATGGCTTCAGAGCCAGGATTTGAAGCAGCTGTTCACAAAGGCACACTACTGAACAGACATAGACATGCTAATAGCGATAGAAAGAAAACAAGGGAAGCATAAAAATTGAGCCAGGGGATTTTTCACATTGGTTAAAAGTGGGTTCTAAGTTTCCTAACCACCCAAGCAAAGAAGATAATACAATAGAGTTCCAAGAGTCCCAGTATCAATATAAGTGCATACTAGTTGCTTAGAAAAAGCAGAAATTTTCCTATGTTTAGGTCTGGAAAATTTCTCCGATACAAATGGACACAACAGTAAAGTATTGTGGTTTTTGGTTTTTTTTTTTGTTTTTTTCTGAGACAGAGCCCCCACTCTGTTGCCCAGGCTGGAGTGCAGTGGCATGGCTCAGCTCACTGCAACCTCCACCTCCTGGGTTCAAGTGATTCTCCTGCCTCAGCCTACCAAGTAGCTGGGACTACAGGTGCACACCAACACGACTGGCTAATTGTATTTTTAGTAGAGACAGGGTTTCGCCATGTTGGCCAGGCTGGTCTCGAACTCCTGACCTCAAGTGATCCACCCACCTCAACCTCTCAAAGTGCTGGGATTACAGGTGTGAGCCACTGCACTTGGCCAGTAAGGCACCATGTTTAACCCTCTGTTATTCACAGACATTTTGGAAAGGTTAATATTCAGTGCTGTCAAGGCTGTAGTAAAACTGGAATACTCAGATGGCTGATGATATCATTTATTAGCACAACCCTTCCCCAGAGCGTTTTTAAAATACATAGGAAGCCATAAAGTACTTATATTTTTGATCTATTAATTCCAAGGAAATAATCTGAAATAAGGAAAAGCTAAATGTAAGTCTACTAATGAGAGTGAAAAATTTGAAACAGCATAAATGTCTAATGATAGGAAACTGTCTAAAAACATGATAGTATATATACACACGGTAGAAATTATGAAATAGCCATTAAAAATGATGGTAACAAAAACTATGTCACAACACAGAAAATGCTTATAATGTTAAATGAAATAGCAGATCTCAATCTGTGTTTATGTTATAGTTTTATAACAGAGAATTGTTTGTAAAAATATAGGAATAAACAGGTAATGTGGTAAAATGAAAATGGATATTCGTTAGGGCATTGGGATTGTGGGTAGAACAAAAAGGGTTTGTATATTTATGTACTAAATAAACTTTTTGTTTTTTGCAAATAGAAAAGGATTTCCTTATTGAAATAACTGAAAGTTCAAGATAATCTTGGAAGAAGCACCTAAAATCTACCAGAGTGTTATAGTGTTGTTATTTTTTTCTTTCTTTCCTTTTTTAAAAACATAAATCATTTCCTATTTTCTATAAACAATACGTAGATAATTGAAGAAAGCAGCATTGTTTTGTTTGGTTGCTAAGTCTTATGATTACTTGATTTAAGAGACTGGGCTAAGTTCTGAAATCTTTCTAAGTGTTTATCCAAATGGTATCCTACATAACATCTATAAAGCAACACAGGCCAAGCCCTTGATGCCTGGCCCTAGGTGAAGGTACCAGGGGTTGCCGACTGTGTTCTAGAGATGTGCCAGAAGGCCCCTGGGAAATGACTGGCCTTCTGGAGCCATTTGTTCTACCTCTGTGAGGCAATAACGTGTACAATCAGTGTGTTTGTGATTCTACGCACTGTGATCTTGAGGAATTATCAAGCCATAGCATGGGGCCTGGGAATTCACGGATCAATTTAATCTATGACTCCCTTCATTCCTGATGGTTTTTACTTATTCTTTTTGAATAATGTATAGATCAATACATGCAGTTTTAACATCTGTGTGACCAGCATCAATCTCCACTGAGTTACCTAAGACAGAACAGGAGAGTCCTCCCTGACTCCTCTCTTCCTAACACTGCACAACCCCAGGTCCTACTGGTTCTGCCTTCAGGATGTCTCCTGAACCTAGCCCCTTCTCTCTTTCTGCCCTTACCCCCACTACTGCACTAGTCCACTGTGATCTCTCACTGCCTGGACCACAGAAACATTCTTCTAACTGGTTTCCCTGCCACCAGTCTTGTTGCCTCACCAGTGGAATTTGTTTTTTTGATTTTTTTGAGACAGGGTCTCACTCTGTTGACCAGGCTGGAGTAGTGGTGCTATCCTAGCTCACTGCAGCCTTGAATTCCTGGGCTCAAGAGATCCTCCTGCCTCAGCCTCCAGAGAAGCTAGGACTGCAGGTACATGCACCACACCCGGCCTCAGCGGCAGGATCTTTCTAAAATGCCAATATGATCATTTCACTTCCTCATTGAAAATGCTGGATGTCTTCTTGCTGCCCACTCTGAATAAAAATCCAGGCTCCTCAGGATGGTCCATGAGGCCCTCTGTGATCGACTCCCACCCAGCTGCCCAGCCTGAAATCCAGCCACTCCCCAGAGCTCCAGGCTTATGTTGCTCCCACATCCACAGTGCTGTTCCCTGTGCCTGGAATGCCAAGGCCACACTGTTTCCACTCACCCCAAGGAACTCCTAGCTTTCTCCAAGCCTCTCCCACTTGCCCTGTGACCCTTCCCATGCAGCCTTAGCTGCCTCCTTTCTCTGTTTTCCTAGTGAATTGGGAAACAGTGGTATACAGTGATTAGGCACACAGGCTTTGGAGTCAGGCTCACCCGGGTTCCAGTCCTGGCTCAGGCACTGTGCTAACCACTTTACATGTATTATCTCAGTTAATCATCACAACAATCCAGCGCCAGGTTCCACTGATATTCCCTCAGTATAGATGAGTAAAGTGAGGTTTAGAGAGGCTAAGCAACCTGCACAAAGCCACACAGCTCAGATGCAGACCTGCGATTTGAATGCATCCAGTCCAACTTAACACTCTACCACCGCAATGTTACTGCTTCTAGACGAATGAGAATGTCTCGAAGCCTCTCATTCCTTCCTTTAACAGTAACCTTTATTTCTTTTATGTCATATTCCTACATTTACACATTGGGTGTGTTTGAGGAATGAAATGATTTCTCGTTCTCATCAACTCTTCAGTGAAGATTTCTCTTCTATTCTCCTCACATTGACCCTCTTGGAGATGTTCTGGTGGCCTCTGCTATGAACAGGATCTGAGGGCCCTGCACCCAATAGGCTAGGGAAGGTGAGAAGCAGCTGAGGGGATGGTGTCATCAGCAGACAGCCCCGTGTCTCCTCCTGGATGAAATTTCCCTGCACCCACTCAAGTGATCATCTGGCAGTGAAATGCTCCTGCTTAATAAAATGCTAATCAAAAATCATTATTTGCATAATTGAGGTCCCCAAGTAGGTTTACTGAAGGAATGATGCAGATCATTACCTGTCTACCTAGAGGCCTCTGGCAATTCTCCACGGTCACCTGACTTAGCAGAGGTTCTTTTGATTGAAACTCAGACACCACTCTTTGCTTCCATCTTTTCTCTAAATTTCCTTCCATGAACTCGAGGTTCTGTCCAAGTCAGACTACTTGGTGTTGCACTATTCCCTGAATGCTTCCCAGGTCCATACCTCTGCACCTTCTACCTTAAACTCTCTCTCCCTCCTCACTACCTGTGCCCTCAGAGCCCATCCAGCCACGCAGCATGCACTCTGCTGCTCTGTGAGCCTTTCCCCATTACCTGACCACACCAGAGCTCGCCTTTCCCAAACCATGATTGCCTTGTATGTGCCACTTCCAACCTGTGACCAAGTTCTACCCTCTATCTTCATATTCCTGATTCTACCCATATCCTCCCATCTCTACGCATCCCAGGACCATGGTTTTGCACCTGGAGTGCTGCCATAGTCTCATTGGCCCTGCTTCCCGTCATGCCCCATCACGACCACTTTTCCATGAAGCCTCTAGACAGAACCCAGACCCACCAGGTCCTGCCTAATTGGCCCTGCCTTTGTTCCAGCTTACCTCTCCCCGTCCTCTCCCAATTCCTGTGCTCCGGCCATACGGAATGGAACTTCTTCCAAGTTTCATGAACACACTGTGTTCTGTCTTACTCTGGCCCTTCCCACAGGATGTTCTCATTGTCCAGAGCCCTCTCTTCACACCCTTTTTCTGCCTAATGTCTACTCATCCTCACATCTCAGCTTGTACCTTATTTCCTCCTAGAAACTTTCCCTGGGCCACTTGTTGGGTGACCGTAGTTATGTGATCCATAGAATCTTTTTTTAAAATTAAAGTTGACAAATAAAATTGTGTATATTTATGGTGTACAATATGATGTTCTGAAATATGTATACATTGTGGAATGGCTAAATTGAGTTAATTAACATATTCATTACCTCCCATACTTGTTATTTTTTTGTGGTGAGAACACTTAAAATGTACCCTCTTAGCAATTTTCTTTTCTTCTTGTTTCTTTTTTCTTCTTTTTGAGACAGAGTCTCACTCGTCACCCAGGCTGGAGTGCAGTGGCACCATCTCAGCTCACTGAAACCTCTGCCTCCTGGGTTCAAGTGATTCTTGTGCCTCAGCCTCCTGAGTAGCTGCGATTACAGGCATACACCACCATGCCCAGCTAATTTTTGTACTTTTAGTAGAGATGGGGTTTTGCCATGTTGGCCAGGCTGGTCTCAAGCTCCTGGCCTCAAGTGATCCACCCACCTCTGCCTCCCAAAGTGCTGGGATTACAGGCCAGAACTACGGTGCCTGGCCAGTAATTTTCAAGAATACGTTGTTATTAACTATAGTTACCATGCTGTGCAATAGATCTCTTGAACTTGTTCTTCCTGCCTAATTGAAAGTTTGTATTCTTTGACCAAATTTCTCCAACTCCGCCACTCCCATAGAATCTTTATAAATAATCAGTGTTCTGCTTAGCTCTATAAAGTCCTGACCTAGGCCTGTAAGACTCCACACAAACTGGATCTCCAGCCTCATTTTCCCCATGTTCAACAAGCTGCAGCCTCAATAACCATAATAGGTTGGCTAATGGTACAAAGCAGGGATTCATTCACCAGCAGATATCCACTGAGCTCATGCTACAGGCCGGACATTTTGCTAGGCACTGAGAAACACACTGAGCAAAACAGAAACAGCCTCTGTTCAAGAAGCTTACATTCTAGTGTGAGAAGACCAAAAATAAATGAAAAAGTCAATGTATCTTCTATCAGGTAAGTGCTCCAGAGGGGAACACAAAAGTAGGGTGAGGGGAATAAAGAAAATGGAGGTGGGGGCCAGGCACGGTGGTTCATGCCTATAATCCCAACACTTTGGGAGGGTGAGGCAGGCAGATCACTAAGGTCAGGAGTTCAAGACCAGCCTGGACAACATGGTGAAACCCCGTCTCTACTAAAAATACGCAAATTAGTTTGGCGTGGTGGTGCATGCCTGTAATCCCAGCTACTTAGGAGGCTGAGGCAGGAGAATTGCTTGAACCCAGGAGGCAGAGGTTGCAGTGAGCCGAGATCACACCGCTGCACTCCAGCCTGGGTGACAGAGCAAGACTCTGTCTTGGAAAAAAAAAAAAGAAAGAAAATGGAGGTGGGGATGTTATTTTGTTTAGGGTGATTAGGACTCTGTGATGATGTGGCATCCGAGTAGTGACCTAAAGGAAGTGAGAGAATGAACTTTGTGGATATCTGGGGGAAGGAAACTGCAAGAAGGAATAGCCCATGGGAAGGACCTGGGTGGGAGCTTGTCTCATTCGTTTCAGGAAGAATGAGGAGGCCCATGTGGCTGGAGCAGAGCCAGTGGGCGAGGGAGTGGCAGGAGGAGAGGTCTGGGGGCTGGAGGGGTTCACAGGGCCTTGCAGGCCTTTGTAAGCTGTCTGCTTTTACTCTTAGTGAGATGGGAAGACTTCAGAGGGCTTTAAGGAGGGGAGTGGGGAACAAAACCTGACTTACCATGCAAAAGGGTCACCCTGGCTGCTGTGTGGAGAACTGACTTAGGGGCAAGGATGGAAGCAGGGAAACCAGTTGGAAGGCTACTGCAGTAGTCCAGGTGGGAGAGAAGGTGGCTCAGTGCATTAATTCATTGACTCATTGAATGAAAGAATGAAAGAATCATTCCTCTTTGATTGGCCATTGAAGTTGTCTCCAGCATTGTGTTAATGCAAATAATGCTATAAGCAATATCTTTTTGTGGCATGATTTTTGTTTTTTATTGTGGATACTTTGTTTTGGGATTTCCTCCTCGTGATAGTTTCTCAAAGGTGGAGCTGCTTTATCCAAGGGGAGACACATTTCAATGTTCTTAAAACACACTTTTATAAAGTATAGGACAGCATTAACACTTTATAAAAATGTGCTAAATTGAAAAGTCACAAAAGACCTTTTGCTCTTTCTTCCATTTGAGCATCAAGTTCTTCATCTATAAAGTGGGGATCATAACACTCGCTCAGCTTATCTCACAGGCTCGTAGCAGGATCAGAGAGGCTAGAGACTGGGTACCCAGGCTTGCCTCCTGGGACTTCACCAGCCGGAAGTGGGACAAGAGTGCAGGGCAAGAGCTCAACCTCAACAGGCTTTCACAGCCCGCTGGCTGGAGGGGAGCCAGGAGTGACCAGCTGCCAGGGAGGAGCCGGAGCAGGGGGTCCATATCTATTAACACTCCTCTCTGCCTCTCTAGTGACTCGTCCTCTAGTTATCATTATTTTCTAGCCCTTTCTCTTCACTGACGGAGTTAGCCCTCTATACTTCCATCCTTCATGGATTTGCAGACGCTCCTCATTCAATCTAGTTTTTGGGCTTTTGTGGTATATTATGCTTTCCCAAGGAACATATTAGTGTGGTTGGAATATTTAGTTCTGTTTGTGAAAATTCTTTTACCTAAAAGTATCTAATGGCCAAATCTTCTCCTCCTCCTCCGAAGAGAGAAAAAGGCAATCTCAAGTAAAGAAATCAGAGGAAAGGGAGTTTGCTGTGAGTAGGGGATGGGGGATGGGTGGAAGCGCTGCTGTATCACATCACATTCTGCCCAAATGCAGGTCAAGACTTTTCCCACTCTGAGCAAAGAAAGGGCTGCTGCAGATAGCACCTCCTCCTTGCAGCTGCAACAAAAACCTGTGGGAAGGGGGTTTGGCTTTTTTTTTTTTTTTTTAAGTGTTTCTTATGGGCTGCAAATTACAAATTATTCTCCTCTCCTTTCACCAAATAATCAACTGGTCCCTGAATCTGAAAGCCCAGCACAATTTAGTTCGAGTCTCAAAATGCAGGGTCGGTTCAGCCCCGCTCAGGCTGCTCAGCTTTTAATTTCTGGAGCAAGACTCAGCAAACAGTAAAACACTTTTGTGGAGCTGTGAAAGTTGAGCTTCGCTGTTTGATAAATGAGCAGACAGGCAGGCAGCCCCTCTTTCTTTTTTTGTATGGATTCAATGAAGCCTGCCTAAAGAACACCACATGCTGTTCTAGCTACTGATCTAACATTCCGCAACATCCCAGCCTTCCAAATTCCCTTTAATTACTCATGAATCCCACCCTTCTCTCTTTCAGCCTGGGCAGACAGAGCTGGGGGCTCCGCAGGGATAGGGGTGGGAAGCAGAGAAGCTCTGGAGAACTACTCTCTCTGGAGCTGTTGGAATTCTTCTTTAGGTGGTGGTGGCCATGTCACTCATCTCCCCTGTCCGTTCTCCTCCCCATACACCACACTCCAGTTGAAGGTAGCCCAGCATGCAGGATACCCTTACATCATTTTGTGGGTGCAATTTTTTTTTAAAGAAACATGAGTTTTAAGCAAGAATTTCCGAGATGGCATGTTCAAACAATTGCCCTCCTAATTTAAGATGAGGAAAGGAAAGAGTGAAAAGAGGAACTGTCAGCCACTGAGCATCACTAAGCACCATGCCCTAAATGAGGTGGTTTTATACTCGGTAGTACATTTTGTCTTAGAAAACAACACTGGAGGCCGGGTGTGGTGGCTCATGCCTGTAATCCTAGCACTTTGGGAGGCCGAGGTGGGCGGATTGCCTGAGCTTAGGAGTTTGAGACAAGCCTGGGCAACACAGTGAAACCCTGTCTCTACTAAAATACAAAAAACTAGTCAGGCGTGGTGGCGTGCACCTGTAGTCCCAGCTACTCAGGAGGCTGAGGCAGGAGAATCACTTGAACCTGAGAGGCGGAAGTTGCAGTGAGCCAAGATCATGCCACTGCACTCCAGCCTGGGTGACAGAGCGAGACTCCATCTCCAAACAAAAGAAAGAAAAGAAAAGAAAGAAGGAAAACAACACTGGAAGAGAGTATGATGATCTCACTTTACAAATGAGGAACTGGGATCTAGGGTGATTCAAGGCTGTCTCCATTCACAGTCTCTGGCCAGTGGAAGAAACAGGAATCTGATTCTTCTACCTGTCATCTTCTTTACTGTGGCTGACACATGCCCACACATGCCAGAGCCAGCACGGTGTCCTCTCATTGTGAATGACACCCCCTGCCCCACTGCCTCTCTTGGTGTTGCCTCAAGAGACACCCCCAGAGCCACCCAGGAAGGCCATTCAGTCTCATCACTCTACATAATACAGCCTTCAATTTTGACCCCAAATAATATGATCTTGATCAGTTTGATCTCCAATCTTAGTCATCGGGCGTTTGTTTCCAAAAATTCCACCCACCCTCAGTAGGTAAAGATTTGCCATCAACAAGAAGTGATCTAAAATAAATTCTAATGCAATGGAATCAGTAGATGTCCTTCCACACACTGAAGGAGATAAACTCATGTAGAATAAAGTATGCTGAACATAGTTTAAAAATGAGAGTTGTGGGTCTTACTTCAGGGGTCATTTTAGGTGTGGGTAAAGAAGGGCTTTTCAAGAAGCAAGAAATTAGAAATTTAATACAATGACAAGTTCCTGTTTTATAACCATATATTGTGGAAATCTTGTGGCATATTTTTAAAAACACACATAAGAAACAATGCTTTGAACAAGAGAGAGAAATGATTAGGGAAAGAAGTTGGTTAAAGGGAACTAATTGTCACAAATTTAACTCTGAAAGCAGGATATTCACTTTCTTTCTTTTGACAATAAACCTAGTCTATTTTTCAGAAAAGAAAAAATAATTAAAGCTGGTGATATGAATGGGGACTGTAAAACATCCTATCTCAATGCTTCCATCTTAAAATGAGTGTTTGCTGGGGTCATTTTACTATACTGATGTAACTCTTACCTACTCAACAATTTTTATGACACTTCCTGGGTGCCAGGAACTGGGGAATGAAAGGGTTAGAGAATGCTACAGGTGTCACAGGAAATTCCCTAAGAGAAATTGCAAAATTTCTACAAGAAATTCATACTGAGGGCAATGAGACAGAAGTGGAATTTCAAATCATGCCTATGGATTGATGAAGAATTCTTTGAAAAGCCCCAGGGCTGAAAAGGTAACAGTGAATCTGTTGCCCCTTGAGGGGTACCACGGATGGCAATAACAAGAATGCCAAAAATCCATATGTGAACACCTCATTGTCCTCAGGGTGACTGGATAATGTGTCACGTGTACATGAGAGAAGGCAGTCATCACACACTGATTTAGCTAGAATGAGGTGAGTTACATAAGATACAGGTTAAGTCAAAAATGGAATAATTCTGAAGATGATAATAAGAGAGGGCGAGGGTGGTGATGGCAGCATGTGTGTGATGTAGGACATTTTTAGAACAATTGTTCTCAAAATTGTTCAGAAAGAAGAGCACCTAGAAAGGCTGGAACACTGATATGTTAGTGATCATGAAATATTGCTATAATAAACTGAAGTCATAACTAACAAGCATTGAGTGTTTATAATTACAGGCTCTGTGCTAAGTAGCCCTTTTACAGTCATTATCGCAACAGTTCTCCAGGTGATTGATTGCTATCAATATTCCATTTTACAGATGAGGAAACTGAGGCTGAGGGCTGTTAGGAAATTATCTGAGCTCACACAGCTGCTAAGTGGTACAACCAGGATTCAAATTCAAACCCAAAGAGTTTGACCCCCCAGAGTTTTACATGGCACTACACACACACACACACACACACACACACACACACACACACCCCTAGAAAAAACCTGGTGTGAAATCAGACATTCTGTCATGGATGCCCCACAGCAGATTCAAAAATATTAAGAAAAATATATACAAGAATTAAAAGTAGAAGGAAAGTCTGTCTATGTACGTATTTTTTTTTCCTTTGAGAACTGGAAAAAGACCATCTTTGAAGGATCCTAAAGATGCCTCAAGAGTGCCCTCATCTTCTGCTGTGTCAGTTCAGGGGTGTGCAAGTGACCCCACGTCAGGATGGGAGGAGGGTGGGCAGACTGGTGGGACTAGAAGAAGAGGGCCACCGTGTAAATGAGGAAGTCTCTGTTCTCTCCAATGCAGGTAAGTGCAGCTGATGAAGCACAGGTCCCCAGAACACACTTGGCTTTTTTCCCCATTGCCCAAGGATGGTCAGCGAGGAGAAAGGAGCCAAATCTTCAAGGATGAGCCACCCACAACCCAAACTGCCAATTACCCATGTCCTCACTGAAAAAATGCAGGATATAAATAAATTTAATTCATACAAGCACATCTGTCACCTCAGCTTCCCTTTCTCCAGTCTCTCTACCTCTTACTGGTGTCTCTTCCACACTCTCAGCCCCACCACTGGATCCAGTGTGGGGGAGGGGGAGACCTGCCACCAAATGTAGGAACTGGGGAAAACCACTCAGTCCCTCTGAGCTTTAATTTCCACATCTGGAAAGTGAAGGGATTGCATCAACTGATCTCTGAGTCTCCTTAATAGATTAAACTCATACATACTGAAGTGTTAGTAAGTGATAAGTATTAATGAATGATCTTATCCTGTTCTAGTTGCATTTTTACAGACTTAAATAAGTGGGATTGAGGAATTTAAGACATCATTAAGCCTTTATTTCAGAAGGTATATTTTTGAGGCCAAATGGCCTCTCCACATATTCAAATTACACTATATCACAACTATCTAGTGCCTATCCATAAGCCAGCCTTTTCCTGAAAAGTTCAGCAAATTGCTGACCATGAATCATGTCACCCTCCACAGTCTTAAGTGATCACATTGTACCACCCATGTTACTTCCCATGAGCTCATAATTTGAGAGAATAACCTATACTCTTCCAGGATCCTGAGTTCCATTTCATAGTTGTAGCATATACAAGGATGCATGGATGTGTGAAACACCCTTATGTGGATAAAATGGCTAGTTGCCTACTCCTTCCCCACTAAACCCTAATTATTTTTTCTTTTTTCCCCTTCATCCTTAGTCCAAGGTAAATAAATCCTAATTATTATTTAAGTTTAAAAAATTTTTTTAAGAGGGGCTCTCGCTGTGTTGCCCAGGCTGGACTCGAACTCAGGAGCTCAAGTGATCCTCTCACCTCAGCCTCGTGCCTGAGTAGCTGGGACTATGAGCCTGCACCATTGCACCTGGCTCAAACCGTAGTTTTTATTCCAGGATAGAGTGGACCACATTTTCTTGCCTCCCTGATAGCCAAAGGCAGCCAATGAGATGTAAGGGAAAATCACTGGGCTGAGCTCTGGGAAAGAGTCTAAAGAGGGCTGACTGAACTGGGAGCTTTGACCTTTCTTCCCTTACCCCATTTTTTTCTACTTCTTTCCTGGAAGATAGTTTTTGGAGTCTAGCAGTCATTTTGGACCATGAGGTGATATAGAAACTGGAAGCCATCTGCTAGAAAGGGCAGAGCACAAAGACAGAAAGAAACTGGGTCTCTGATGCTTTTAAGGAGCTGCCCAACTGCAGCTGGGTTACCTTCCTCTAGACTTAGTTTATGTGAGAAAAGTAAGACCACTAATTTATTTAAGCCACTATTGAGGCATGGGGGGGACATCTTTCCCCACAGCCCCAATTTTTGTAATAACTCAGAGACCTTCTGGTTTCCACCTAGGATCGACTTTATAGAGAATGCTCCAGTGTTTTGCTCCTTTGCATTGATCAGAAATCCGATATTGACAACACAGGCCCTGGAGACAACTACCTCATCTTTAAATGGGAATAAAAACAGCATTTTGACTTCCAGTTTCTGGTTTTCTGTATATAAGAAGCTTTGAAGTCACCACTCCATCCTAACAAGTAAAAAGCAAAACAAACTGAAAAATCAACAATTCTTCTTGGGTTCTTAAGAGAGGGGAGGACACAGAGCAAACTGCTGCCCTCAAGATTGGAGAGACGGGTAAATACAGGGAATCGTGGCTCCCTGGAGCAGAGACTCAGGAGTGGGAACTGCCTCAGGACCCAGTACTGTGGTAGGAACACCTGAATTGTAATTGACAAGTTGTGAAGGCTTAATGCAGACAAGGCTGAGAGTTAAAAAATAACTCTAGGGAGACCCAATCATAGGGGAACCCACACAATATTGAGAGATGTACCTCTAGGAGCTTGACCAGGTTCCCACAGTAAATATCAGAGCAAAAGTCCCTCACGCTTCCGGCAGGGGAAGGAGTAAAGGAACCATTTTGAAATACGCTGGAGCACTCTGTTCTTCTTAACAAGGCCTGCTTTCAGGAGAAGCTAGTTAACCAGAGCCTAATCTGCTGGGGTATTATCAGAGCCTAACTGACTTGGGAGAAGGGAAATACCCAACTCCAGTCAGCTCTAGCCTTCCATGCGGAGAAGGGAAATAACCCAACACCAGTCCCCTCTAACCTTCCATGTGAAAGAAGGGAAATATCCAATTCTAGCCAACTTTAGCCATCCTATGACATCTAAGAGGGGAGGGAAAAAATGGAGAAACACTTGTAGTAAAGTTCACAGTCCAGAGGCATAGGCTTACTAAAGGATTGAGACCTAATCACAGGACAATAGATTGCTTCCCCCACCAACAACACGCCTTACCACCATATGACTAAAGGTGATTTACAGCAATTCCTTTTTTACCTGGCATATCATGTTCGGCCACCAAGAAAGAATTACAAGGCATGCTAAAACACAATTTAAAGAAACAGCAAGGCTCAGAACCAGACAAGGCAAGGATGTCAGAATTATCAGACCAGGAATTTAAAACAACTGTGATCAATTTGCTAAGGGTTCTAATTGATAGATTAGACAGCCTGCAAGAACAGATGGACCATGTGAGCAGAGAGATAGAAATCCTAAGAAAGAACCAAAAAGAAATGCTAAAGATCAAAAACACTGTAACAGAAATTAAGAGTGACTTTGATGGATTTGCAGGTGACTAGACACAGCTGAAGACTCTCTGAGCTTGTGTAGATATCAACAGAAACTTCAAAAACTAAAAAGCGAAGAGAACAAAGACTGAAAAACCGAACAGAACATCCAAGGACTAGGGGGCAATTACAAAAGATGTAAATACACATAATAAGAATATCAGAAAGAGAAAAAAAGAGAGAAAAGAAGCAAAGAAATATGTGAAACAAAAATGACTGAGAATTTCCTCAAATTAATGTCAGACACCAAATCACAGATTCAGAAAGCTAAGAGAACACCAAGCAGGATAAATGTCAAATAAACAACAAAAAGCCAAACCACAGGAAAACAACATCAAGGTATATCATTTTCAAACTATAGAAAATCAAAGATAACGAAAAACATCCTGAAAAAAGCCAGAGAGAAAAACAACCCATGTTACCTATATAGGACAAAGACAAGACTATCTTCTGACTTCTGCTTGGAAATCATGTAAACAAGAAGAGAGTGAAATGAAATATTTAAAGTATTGAGAGGAAAAAACCTACCAACCTAAGTTTCTGTACACTAGAAATTATCCTTCAAAACTGAAGTAGTAGTAGAGACTATCTCAGACAAACAAAAATTAAGGGAATTTGTTTTCAGTAAACCTGACTTGCAAGAAATGTTAAAAGAAATTCTTTAGGGAGAAGGAAATTGATATAGGTCAGAAACTCAGATTTACACAAAGAAAGGAAGAGGACTGAAGAAGGAATAAGTGAAGTAAAATAAAAACTTATTTTTCTTGTTTTTTAATTGATCTAACAGATGACAGTTTATTCAAAATAATAATGGCAACAAAGTACTTGATTATATGTGTATATCAATTAAAACACATACATAAGTATGTGTGCATGTTTTTTTTTACAGAGGGCACAAAAGTTATGATTTTCTCATTATAAGGTGCTCGCCCTTCTTGTGAAGTGGCATAGCATTATTTAAAAGTGGGCTTGAATTAGTTGTAAATATATATTGCAAATTATAGGAAGGCCATTTAAAAGGTTTTTTTATGTTAAAGTATAACATATGCTAATAAAGGAGAAAAAATGGAATGATATGAAATGCTCAATTAAAACTGCAAAGGGCAGCAGAAGAGTGGAAGACAAAAATCGTAACAAATAACAAGGGCAACAAATAGAAAACAGTAACAAATATGGTAAATATTATCCAATTTTATCAATAATTACTTCGAAGATCATGGTCTAAATGCATCAATTAAAAGACAAAGATTGCCTAAGCAGTTCAAAAAACAAGATCCAACTATATGTTGTCTATAAGAAACCCACTTTAAATATAAAGATCCATGTAGATTAAAAGTAAATGGATGGAGAAAAATATACTATGATAATACTAATCAAAAGAAACAGGAATAACTATATTAATTTCATATGGAGCATACTTCAAAGCAAAGAAAGTTATCAAGGATAAAGAAGGGCATTATATAATTATAAAGGTATCAATCTCCAAGAAGACACAATGATTCTTAATATACATGTGCCTAACAAGACAGCATCAAACTATATAAGGCCAAAACTAATAGAACTGCAAGGAAAAATTGATGAATCCAGTATCACTGTTGGAAACTTCAATACCCCTCTATCAGAAATGGAAATCAGTAAGGCAGAAGATCAGTAAGGACATGAATCAATTAAATATAATTGACATTAATAGACAACTTCATCCAAAAATAGCAGAATATATATTCTCAAACTTATATGGCACATTCATCAAGATAGATCACATTCTGGGTCATAAAACAAAAATCATATAATGTCTGCTCTCAGGCCACAGTAGAATTAAGCTATCATTCAATAACAGAAAGATAACTAGAAAATCCTTGAATGTGTGGAAATAAAACAACAATTCTACATAACTCATGGAGCAAAGAAGAAATCTCAGAGAAATAAAAATATTTGAACCAAATGAAAATGAAAATGCAACATTAAAATTTGTGAGATGAAATGAAAGCAGTGAGTAGAGGAAAATTTATCACACTGAATGCATATATTGGAAAAGATATAAAATCAATAATCTAAGTTTCCACCTTAGGAAACTGGAAAAAGAAGAGTGAATTTAATCTGAAGTAAGAAGAAGATACAATAAGAATTAGAGCAGAAGTCAATGAAATTGAAAACAGGAAATCAATAAAGAAAATCAATAAAATCAAAAGCCAGTCCTTTGAAAAGATCACTAAAATTGATAGGCCTCTAGCAAGCATAACAAAGAAAAAAGAGAGCAGACCCAAATTAGTAATATTAGTATTGAAGGAGGAGACACCACTACAGATCTTATAGACATTATAAGGATAATAAAGGAATACTATAAATAACTCTATGCCCACAGATTCGATAATCTAGATGAAATGGACTAGTTTCTTGAAAGATTTGATTTGCCAAAACTCACACAGAAAGAAACAGACAGAATAGGTCTATATCTATTAAGTATATTGAATCAATAATTAATAATCTTCCAAAACAGAAAGCACCAGGTTCAGATGGGTGCACTGGTAAATTCTACCAAACATTTATAGAAGAAATTTTGTCAATTCTTTACAATCTCTTTCAGAGGACAGAAGCAGAGGGACTACTTCCTAACTCTTTCTATGAAGTCAGCTGTTACCTAGTACCAAAATCAGATAAAAGGCATTAAAAAAAGTTACACACCAATTTCCCATAAACATAGATGCAAAAATTCTTAACAGAATATTTGCAAATTGAATCCAATGATGTATAAAAGTAATTATACACCATAACCAAGTGGGATTTATCCCAGATATACAAGGCTGGTTTGACATTCAAAAATCAATTAATGTAATCTATCACATCAACAAGCTAAAAAATTATATGATCATATCAACAGATGCACAAAAAGTATTTGGCAAATTGAAACACCCACTCACGATTTGAAAAAAAAAAAACGCTTTCTGCAAACTAGGAATAAAGGGTAATTTCTTCAATTTGATAAAGAATATCTACAAAAAACCTACAGCTAACATTATACTTAATGATAAGAAACTCAAAGTTTTCCCACTATGATGAGGACCAAGCCAAGGATGTCTCACCACTCCTCTCACCACTCCTTTTCAACATCATACTGCATTAGCCAATGCAATAAGACAAGAAAAGGAAATAAAATGCATGTAGATTGAGAAGGCAGAAATAAAACTCTTTGTTCAAAGATGACATAATTGTCCAAGTAGAAAATCCAAAAGATTCTACAAAAGAAAAAAAAATCTCCTGGAACTAATAAGCAAGGTTGCAAGATACAAGGCTAATATACAGAAGTCAATCACTTTCCTATATACCAGTAATAAACAAGTGGTATTTGACGTTGAAAACACAATACTATTTATGTTAGCATCCCCTCAAAATGACATACTTATGTAGAAATCTAACAAGCTATGTATAAGAGCTACACGAGGAAAACCACAAAATTCTGATGAACTAAATCAAAGAAGAACTAGATAAAAATAGAGATTCCATAATCATGGATAGGAAGATGCAATATTGCCAATATGTCAGTTATTCCCATCTTGATCAACAGATTCAATACAATCTCAATCAGAATCCCAGCAAGTTATTTTCTGGCAATCAATAAATTGATTCTAATGTTTCTATGGAAAGGCTAAAGACCCAGAATAGTCAGCCTGATATTGAAGAAGAACAAAATTGGTGGATTGATTCCACCCATATTCAAGATGTACAATAAAGCTACTGTAATCAAGACAGTATGGTATTGGGAAAAGAATAGACAAATAGAACAACAAAACACAATAGACAGTCCAGAAACAGACCCACATAAATATAGTCAACTGACCTTTGACAAAGGATCAAAGGCAATAAATGAAGTAAAGATAATCTTTTAAACAAAATGGTGCTGGAACAACTGAATATACACATGCAAAAAAAGTGAATCTAGATACAGACCTTATACCCATCACAAAAATTAACTCAAAATGGATCATAGATCTAAGTAAAACACAAAACTGTAAAACACCTAGAAGACAACATAGAAGGAAACTTAGATGACCTTGGGTATGATGATGACTTTTTAGATAAAACACCAAAGGCACAATCCGTGAAAGAGATAATTGATAAGCTGGATTTCATTAAAATTAAAATTTTATGCTCTGTGAAAGACAATGTCAAGAGAATGAGAAGATAAGCCACAGGCTGGGAGAAAATATTTGCAAGAGACACATCTAATAAAGGATTGTTGCTCAAAAGATACAAATAACTCTTTAAAAACAATAAGAAAACAAACAACCCAATTAAAAGATGGACCAAAGACCTTACTTAACAAACACCTCACCAAAGAGATATACAGATGGCAAATAAGCATATGAAAAGATGCTCCACATCACATGTTATCAGGGAAATGCAAATTAAAACAACGACATACCACTACATACCTATTAGAATGGCCAAAACCTGGAACACTGACAACACCAAATGCTGGTGAGGATGTAGAGCAACAGGAACTCTCATTTATTGCTGTGGGAATGCAAAATGGTACAGCCACTTTGGAAGACAGTTTGGCAGTTTATTACAAAACTAAATAAACTCTTACCATACAATCTAGCAATTGCCCTTCTTGGTATTTACCCAAAGGAGTTGAAAACTTATGTCCATACAAAAACCTGCACATGCATATTTATAGCAGCTGTATTCATAATTGCCAAAATGGGAAGAAACCAAAATATCCTTCAGTAAGTAGGTGGATAAATAAACCATGGTACCTCCAGACAATGAAATATTATTCAGCACTAAAAAGAAATGTGCTGTCAAGCCACAAAAGACATGGAGGAAACCTAAATGCATATTATGAATGGAAAGAGGCCAATCTGAAAAGGCTACATACTGTACGATTCCAGCTATATGACATTCTGGAGAAGGCAAAACTAGAGACTGTAAAAAGATCAGTAGTTACCAGGGGTTAGGGGACAGGGAGAGAGGACTAGGCAGAGAACAGGGGATTTTTAGGGCAGTGAAAATACTCTGCATGATACCAAAACAATGGATACATGTTATTATACATTTGTCCAAACTCACAGTATGTGAGTGAATTCACCAATGTGAGTGAATTCACCAAGAGTGAATTCTAATATAAACTATGGACTTTGGGTGATGATGTGTGAATGTAGGTTCATCAGTTGTAACAAATGTACTACTCTGGTGAGGGATGTTGTTAATGGGGGAGGCTGGGCAAGTGTAGGGACGGGGTATATGAGAAATCTCTGTACAATTTATTCTTTGCTGTCAAACTAAAATTTCTCTTTTAAAAAGTTTTAAATGCACAAACAAAAAACCCAGATCACAGCATCTCATTCACAGAGTATGCGAGGATTAAATGAGATAATCCATGAAAAGGGCTTGCCCAGGAACTGGCATAGAGTCAGTGTTAGCTATTTTATGATTTCTAGTTGAAAAGTGTTTTGGGCTAATACGGTAAGATCCTCATATGCTTGTAGACTAACTTCCCCATTTGATAGATGGAGGAAGTGAGGTTCAGAGAGGGAAAAGGACCTGCCCATCATCACATGGTGAGTAAGGGTGAAAGATCCTCAAGTTCAGGGCTCAAAACCTGACATTATTGGAAATTCCATGGGCTACAGCACATGGTGGGCCCTCAATAAGTGTGAGTTGAAGAAGACATTCTTTCACTTTGTGGCCTCTACTGCAGCAGTCCCCAACCTGTTTGGTACCAGGGACTGGTTTCATGGAAGACAATTTTCCCTTGGACAGGTTGAAGGAATGGTTTCAGGATGAAACTGTTCCACCTCAGATCATCAGGCATTAGATTTTCATAAGGAAAACACAACCTAGATCCCTCACAAGCGCAGTTCACAATAGGGTTCTCACTCCTGTGAAAATCTAATGCCACCACTGATCTGACAGGAGGTGGAGCTCAGGAGGTAATGCTCGCTCACTCGCCCACCCACTCACCTCCTGCTGTGTGGCCCAGTTCCTAACAGACCACAGACTAGTACCAGTCCACAGACCAGGGGTTGAGGACCTCTGCTCTACTGAAATGCAGCTTACAAATGCTTGGAAAGCAACTCATTTGTAGGCTAGAGATGTTCTCTTTTCTCAAAAATCTGAGGCTCAGTTGTTCTTTCTGAAAAGGCTTAGCTTGTTGGCCAAATGCAGTGATGCTCCATCTTTGTGTGGGTAGAGTTTTTGTTTTATTAGAGTTTCTGAAAGACAAGTGGTCAAGCAGGAGAAGGAGGTTTCTGGTGAAATTAAAACACCCACTTTAGCTTCCATGGACCTTCCAGGGTTGTGGGCTGAGAGAGGGGGATGCTCAGTGCCTGGAGCTTTTCCACAACCAGCCTGGTTCTCAGGCTGCCCCTCACCCCTACAAGGAGGAAGCATCCCTCTAATCCTGTGCCCTTCCAATCTTGCATTCATACTCAGGAATTGCATTTGCCATCTGGTTTTGCAGTCACTCATGTGTATATATCTCCTCTACAGGGCCTTCTCCTTGGAGGCAGACTTCACTCTGTATCCCATCTTCCAGCACGGGGCTGGGTCCACACAGACATGAGATAAATGAATATCAGATAAATGGATGAACCCGGGTGCTGAGGGAGTTAGTACTCAGTACCCCAGAGTTCACAGTACCCAGAACACCCCAGCTGGGAAGATTTGGGAAAGCATTTCTCAACTGCAGTGATCAGCACACTTGATCCCTGAGATACACAGAGGCTGAGACTTCTCTCCAAAATTCCATCACCTAGGAGATCACCAGATGACTACTAATGACTGCAACAAAGTCAAAAGGACAAGTGTGTGCACAAAACCTGCCTCCACACATACCTAGCCTAACCCTGAAATAACTCATCCTGTGTAAATGAGGTGGCTAAGGGCATGAGCTCTGGGGCCATATTTCCTTGGTTCACATCCTGAGTCCACCACTTACTGGCTGTGTGAACTTGGCAAATCATCCAGCTTCTCTGGGACTCAGTTTGCCATCCATGGAATGGGAACAATAACAGTATCTACTTCATAGAGTTATTTAGAGGACTAGACACGGTTGATATATGTAAAGTGCTTAGAACAGTACCAGGTATACAGAAAGCCCTACATAAATGTTTGCTCTTTAATCGTATGAAAACTGAATGTTGCATTCTAAGTTAGACAGAGCTAGACACTTCTACCATCTGTTAAAAAATTGCCTATTAATAAGCTTGGACAACGTCATGAGCATGCCAATTGTGATCCCTATTACCGTATGTTTGTTTCAATTTATAGTTCTGTTGTTCTCTAAAAATTTATTTCACTGTTTCCCTGGAGAGCTAGAGTTATATTCTGAAAGTATTTTTTCTCAGTCTAACACACCTAAAGGGACCAGGAGCAGGAGGGAATGGTCAGGGAAAGGAGAAGATCAGATCACACTCTTCCCTTCCTCACTGTGGGTCCCCAAGCCACAGATAGCCAGACCCCAGCTGGGCTAGGGAGGAGTTTTGAAGTGGATGTGAGACTGCAGTTTTAAATTCAAGAACTGGACTGGACTGGACTTTTAACATCTAAAAAAGAGTATAAATTATTGAGAAGATGCTTGTTCTTATAATCAATAACCCAAAAGCTATTAAATCTGCCATGCAACAATCAGGGGTCAGGGAAGGAAGTGGGCCATAGACAAACTTGGAACAAAGCAAAGCTATTTTTTGTTTATGCTTCATTGAGTTCAGCCTGTCCTATCTGCCAGTTCTGCTTTTTGGGGCTCCTCTGGGCATCTCTAAGAATCAGGGTGTAACACTCGGTGTGCAGTGAGTTGGCCAGAAGCTTCCAACACAATAACAGAGCTACAGAGGGACTCCTCAGTTACCCGAGGGGCCAAAGCAGCCTGTGAGTGGAGGTGGTAGGAGGTTGGCTAGAGAGCACATCTCTCAGCTAATGTGGACAGAGATCCACAGTGGCTCCCCCAAAACCTATGACAGGACCCCTGGCCCCAGCATTTGGGTGACAGTCATAGCAGAAGGCACTTATAGCTAGGAGAAGCCCCCAGTGAGCACCAGTTTGTCAAATGACTCTTGTTGCCTTTCCTCCCCCACTGTCTCCCAACCCCAACCCTGGAGGAGCCAGAAAAGGAAGGAGAAAAAGCTGATCCTACCCCTCTTTCCCAGAGCAAATTCTGAGCCACAAGGAGGAAGAAGGTCTGACTTAGATGTGAGATTGAAGTTTTAAATTGGACTGAACTACACTTTTTAATAGCTGAGAATGAGCTGTAATTATTCAGCCAAGACTGATGTGATGGGTGAACATGGCCAGATGCTGTGGGATTTCCTCTGAAGACATCATCATCAGAGCAGGAAGAGTTGGGTGGAGAACTTTGAAGGCGATTCTTCAAAGTAAGTAAAAATACAGCTAGTTTCCATGTGTACCTCAATAAGTTCATTTCTACTCAGTAAATGGGCTAATGGAAAATGGATACAACACCAGTTTCATAGGGTTATTATCATGAAGGTTAAACGAGTTCACATACGTAAAAGTGATTCACATGGTCCCTGACAAGTAATGTAAATATAAATCATACAACATGTAACAAATATCTGAGGGCTTATTCTGTGCCAGGCATTGTTCTGGGTGTAGGGGATGCATAATGAACAGAAAGTCCTCATAGAGCTTTCATTCTAGAGGAGACAGACAAAACAAAATCATTACGTATATATAATGCTTCTGTATACTCACATGGTAGGTGTATACATAGATATAGATATTTGACAAGCATAGAGTAGCAGTAGGGAAAGTTAGCTATATATCTATATATAGAGAGAAAACTATACTATATAAATGTATAAATATATCTATTTCAAGTCATGATAAATGCTATAAAGAAAAATAAAGCATGGTAAGGAAGGATGGGAGGTGAGATGGAATGAGGCCATCATTTAGAGAATGATGATTTATTTGATGGGTAGAGCACTTGACAGTTTCAAAAAACGCCCTCATAAGCACTGTCTCATTTTATCCCTAGTTTTGTGAGGGATTATTCCTGTCTAAAGATAAGGAAATATGAGCTCAGAAAAGTTCAGTGACTCCAAGTTGGGTGAACTTTCATTACCCTTAACAGCGAAAGCAGGCACAAGACCAGTTCAGCTAGAAGCTTTCACATTCTCTATACTCCCTAAATTAATTCTGGGACCCAAAGTCAATACAGCATTACTGGAAGCCGGTGTTTTTGGGGCTTGGCCACAGACTTGGAAAGAGGATTTACATTTCAGATCTTACTTGCAGCGAAGCAATGGCTGCCACCCACTTTATGAAGAACGGTATCCCAACCAGGTCACCCTGGTTGTCCCTGGGGGACAGCTTCAGCATTGATGTCTGTGTTGCCTCAGCCCACTTGCAAACTGGGTAGAGACTACTACCAATGTATTTGTTCTCCAAAAGCTAAGCTGAAATATTAAACCTCGCCTGCTCTAAGTTAAAAGTTCATCAATGAATTGTAAGTTTGGATGGATCTGCTCAAAGGAAGACTGTCCACGATTTCATCTCAAAGTTTCACAGAACAACTAGTCCCTTTCTCTCAAGGAGATGGCAGCTGCAGCATGCTGGAGTCCTCAGGAAAGGCAAATGTGTCTGGGATTTCAATCCAGCAAGCTCAGTGTGGAAACCCTTAGCAGGCAGCTCCTGTCCTCTGTGGCTGGAAGGACAGCTCCAATGCCCAGTCCATTTGAAACTGATGGCAAGGCAGCTGCACAGAGCATTTGCATTTGTGTTCTTAATGCCATTAGAGTATTTCCTTGTTTTAAGGCTGAAGATAAGATGGAGTTCGGATGTTTTTTAAATGACTATTTTGGAAGCAGCTGGCACTATAATTCTTAGGGAGGAAATGTATTGTTCAGAAAAATATTTTGAAATGCCATTTGGGGTGAGTGAGGTACCTCTATGGGCATAGATGTCAGCAGAAACCAAAGATCGCAGAAGAGAGACATTTGGTGGGGGGTGTCTCAAGGAGGAAGGGGAGAGGAGAATGAGGAGAAGGGAGATGGAAGAGGAGAAAAGGGAGACAGCAGGGTGGAGAAGCACTGGGACTAGCTTTGGGAACCATCAGGGGCAGGGCCAGTAAGCCCCCACTGTGGTGAAGAGGATGAAGAGCATTTTGAAGTGGGGGATGTCTGTTCCGTAGGACCCTGTTTGGGATGTTAACCCTGTTTGGGATGTAAACCTCTCCTACAAATCTCACTCTACTAGGATCACAGAGGCTTCCTGTGGGCTGTCTTGTGAAAAGCAAAGTGGGTACTGAGTTTCCTCCTTGGCTCACTGCAGTATAACACAGGACTCTCTGATAGAACTTTCTGTGATGCTGGGAACGTTTCATTCTGCACTGCCCAATATGGTAGCTTCTAGTCACATGTGGCTCTTGAGTATTTGAAATGTGGTTAATGCAACTGCTAGTGTACTGAAGTTATTATTTTGTTTAAGTTAAACAGCCACACATGGCTAATGACCAGAAGGAAGAGTCTCAAGTCAAGGTGACCCTGAGAATGCAAATGCCTTGAGATTTGCTGAAGTCTTGGGGCAGGCTTGAGACTTAAATTGAAAATGGGACTGGGGTGCTGAGGTGAAGGCGTGCGCTTAAACTGATTTTACCTAGATCAGGAGGTCAAGAAAACCACAAGCTAATAGGGTTACAAAAGTAGTTGAGGAAAAGAGAATAGAGGCTTCTTGTGCAGGCAAATTGGAGTTTCTACAAGTGGTGAGGGTTTTTATTTGTTTTGCAGAATATAAGCTAACAAATGTCTGTTTATGTCCATGCACAGACATCTCATGCAGAATTCATAACAGCAACAGTTGTAATCGCACATGGTAGGTGCTTAATAAATGTCTGAGTTATTGGATGACTGAGTAAACAGTACCTTCCATCATCCACTGACATCATCTCAGTTGACTCTTGCAACATCCCCCTGAGGAAGCTGGGGCAGCTGAGGCTTAGAGAGGTTAGATAATAAGTCCAGGAAAGTCAGGATTCTTGGTCTTTTGGTTCACCCAACCTGTCCCCAACCTGTATGTAAGAGGCCTCATCTGGGCTTTCCACTGTGGCCTCTGCGAGGGGTTTGTAGGTGCCACTGAATATTCCAGGACCGCAAACTCCTGACCAAGCTCTGGTAGCATACACATCCACCTTGTGTGCTCTCCCTTCTCCCACCTGCTGAGGGGCACCTCCATAGCAGAGCCATACTGAGTTCCTTTCTGGGTCCCCACTGCCACTACTTAACACAGGGCCTGCCACACAGCCAGTCTCTACCAATACTGAAGGATTGAAGAAATGAATGAAAGAAATAGCCAAAGGTAGTTTCTCCACTGACTTTTAAAAAAACATCCCTTTCACTTTGGAGAAATCATGTTAATCAACACAAAAATGTTTTTTCCTCCCCAAGTCATCACAGAGCATCCTCCCATTTATTGAATGGAGCCATTTCTCAGCCACTCCATTTTTGGGCTCTCCAGGGTGGCTGGCTCAGCCCTAACACGGCTCTTTGTCTTTTCCTACTGATGATTTATCTTTTGGGGATCTGAAAAGGGAATTCCTGAAACTCATACACTGACCTCTTTCTGCCATTTCAGCCCTTCGTATTCCTGCACTCAGAAAACTGATAAAAAATCATGGTACAGAACAAGCCTATTTTTGTTAGCAGATGCAGAAAAAATTACACATAGAAAAAGGAAGCTAACAAAAGGAGGAAGGTTTAGATGTATTGACTCAAATTGGGTATTTTTTTGGTGTAGCCATCAAATAAATAAATGATCAGTCTTAAAGAATGCCCCAACAGCTTTCCTTGGCCTATTAAATGGGAATGATCACTGCTAACAATTTTTTGTAGACATAGCTCTAAATGTGGATTGCATTTTTTTTATAAGGTGGAAAGAGAACAGTCTGGACTGTAGTGATAATGCAAATAGTACCACTCTTTGCAGAGGACTCCCACACCTCCAATCTAAGGATACAGGGCCATTTCCAGTTTCTCCAGGCATCCACATGACTAAGCCAAGCAGGTTGCCTGTCCCAGGCTGATTGACATCCATGTAACACACTTGTGAGTTCAATATTTGCCTCTCAGAGAAAATAAGTGACTTCATGAAAATTAAGTACTGAGGAAATTCAAGTGAGACATTGAATTTCTTACTTTACAATGTTTTTGAATTGTTTGAAATTTTGATAGCAAAGTATTACAGTGAAGTTGAAGTTGTCAAAGTACCAAAGTAAGTAAGTACTTTGATAACTTAAAAAAAATAACTAAAATGCTTTAAAACTGTGCATAAATTACTTAAAGTTGGGGTGGTAGGGAGGACAAGCCTGATGAGGCTGGACTCACCTTTCCAAAGCTGGCAGCATTGACAGGTTGGGTATCATTCTTCTCGCAGAAATCCAGGTAATGCATATAGAGGGCACTGCGAGGGATGCAGACCCCCTCTGCAATCTCATAGTTCTCCTCCAGCCTAGGGAAATAAACGCCCAATGAGCAAAAAATGTGTTACCTTCCCCAAGCAAGAACGGTCTGTTCTTTCTAGTCCTCCAGAGATGGGCAGTCCTTAGAAATAACGTTCTTTCTACAGGTGGAGAAGCTGGGGCCCAGGAAGACAAAGCAAGCTGCCCAAGGTCATGCCTGGCATTAGTGGCTTGGCAGTGTCAGAATCCTGGCCCCTTTGGGTATGACACCAGGCTACTTTTTCAGCCCAAATTCCCAGATCCTCTACTCTGTACTGTCATTGACCTGGCCTTGTTCTGGCTAGATCAGATACATGCAAACTCCAAAAACTACATAGGGTCTTGTGGGTGCCCCAATCAGCCAGGAATGGAACCACAGACCAACTTGAGGAGCCATTTGTAACAGCTAAAAGCCCAAGGAGGATGTGTCAACATCTTGGAGCTCCTTGGCTGACAAATGCTATGGAGGGGGATTGTCTGGGAAAACCAATGCCCCAGGAGAGGCCTGTATAGCTGTACAGACACTGATCTGCTGACTGAAGGGAGGTCTCATGACCAGAGGAGGAAGTTGGCCCCATGATTACTTTAGAATCCTCTTCTCCTCTGCTGTGCTAGGAATAATGATTCTATACCCATCACCTTCTTAGTGAGTCTCCATTAGGGATTCTGTAGGAGAGATTTTCTACAACTGGGTTTACATCCCAGCCTTGTCACTTGCTGGCTTGGTGACCTTGGGCAAGTTACTTAAGCTCAGGCCTCAGTTTCCTTTTGGTGGGATTGAATTGTAAGTGCCTCCTAAAGTGGTTATAATGATCAGACGAGGTAACGTGTGACAAGCATCCGCATGGTGCCTGGCACGTGCATGGGAAGCACTGAGAAGACGTCAGACCTCCTCATGATTCGTTCTTCCTCTCCAGAAAACATTTTTGGGCACTATATGTCCTGACCGTGTGCTAAATATTGGGGATATAAACAAAAATTAGATACAGGGTTTAAAAAATTTATTATTCTTTAACCCAAACACCAGAATGTAGGCATCCAAATAAATCTTGCCTCCATTGTCCTAGGCACTCTGGAAAGTTAAATACCTTTCCCAAGAAAACTGCTGTGGCACAAGACAATTTGGGAACTTCTCTTAGGGTCATGCCTTCGAAGCCTGGGGCACCTACTGCTAAATCAATGCACCAACAGGAAACATTTCTCCTTTGATCATTAACTAGATTTTAGGAAACAACCCAAAGTTATTTGGAAGCAAGTTTGGGGGATAAAGTGACTGGAAAACCATCCCCCACCCCCAATTTTTTGGTCAAAAATAAGGCATAATTCCAAAGTGATGAAATAAATGTCCTCAAGTGGCTTCAAAACTCCCTCTGAGAGCATTTGCCAAAGAAGTGGCCCAGCGCTGTCGTAAGTGAAGTGGAATGAGGACACGGCCCCCCAAGGTGCCCACTTGAAAGGGCAGCACTCGCTCAACTTATTCCAACATGTGATTGCAAGAACATCAGTTCAATCATTTCATACCCAAACCCCACAGAGGGGGAATACAACCCTAGGGACACAGACCTGTCAGCACCAAGACAAAACCTGGTGCTGAATAGTCCCCGATCATCTCATCTACTTCCCGCGCTTCTGGGATGGGGAACATTGAGTAACTTGGGATAGTTTTTAGAAATGTTCCCAGAAAGAGTTGATGTAATCCTTTCTAGGTGATCAAATTCCTTGAGGCTGGGATAGTGTCTGAGTCAATTCTGCATCATTGAGGTCCAGCATATTCCTTGGCACACAGTAGGGGCTCAGTAAGTGTCTTATGGATAGATTATTTCAGTCATTTATTCATTCAACAAATATTTATTGATCTTATCACCTGCCAGGCGCTGGGGATATCACAGTGAGCAAGATAGTCCATGCTTGCATACAGTGAACAGATTAATGGTAGACAGATGGACAAAGACACAGATAACCTTTAACTCAACAAATATTTACTAAGTGCCAGGCAATGTTCTAGACATTAAGGAAACAGTGGTGAACAAAACAATGGTCCTGTCCTGAACAGGCTTACATTCTGATGTATGTCTTTGACATCATAAATTGGAATTCTAAGTGTGTTTTCCAGTGGGAAAAGGGTTTCACATAAAGAATAGGTTTCTTAGGACTGTCCTAAGTTTCAGGTCCAGTATGAATGAAAATCAGCCTGGGAGGTTAGCCTGGACCCCTAACTGCCATTCGCGGCATTGTTTCTCTATAAAAGTGAGTTCAGAGGTCCAAATAACCAGCTCGCGTACAAACTTGTAGGGGCCATCTGAATAAGACAGCTTTCTCAAACTGGGGTCTCACAGACATGCTTTGTTTTGGCCTGAACAGTGTTGGCCCAATTTTTAAAATTCAGGACATTGCACATAAGAATCTGGATTTCTGGCTTCTTTTGAAAAAGCTGAGATCTGGCAACACTGGACCCATATTCCCGCACGACAACAATTGGCCAGAGCTACATGTGCCCTGAAGTTGGCCAGAGTCCTCACTCCTCCCTATTTCTTTGTACCCTGTCTATTTTCTGTTCCTTGTCTGGCTCCTGTAGGCACTTGTGTTGGCATAAGACATGATCTATGTCCTAGTTAACTTTGCAGTCTATTTGGGGAGACATATGCACAAGAAATAATATTTAATTACTATAAACTCCTGACCATAGGTACAGTTGAAGGTGGGAAAACAGAGAGATTGATGTGTAGATGAGAGTAGATAATTAAAGTTTCATAGAAGAGTTGGGTTTAGGATTGTGTAACAACAACAGTTAGCATCTGTTGAGCTCTTACTAGGTGCTGGGCACTGGGTATCCATGGTCTCATTTGACCTCACAATAACCGTATGGCATGAGGTAGGTATTTATACATATGTTTCAGGATAGGAATCTGAGGCTCAGAGGGTGTAACTCATTTGCCCAGTCATGCAGCTAGTAAATAGGAGGGTTTGTCTCATTCCAAATCTCTCTGGTATTCTGCCACGGTAGTTGGGGGAGGGAGGGAGGTTCCAGGCAAGTAGAACAGCAAGGATGGGAGACAGTGCCATGTGCTTTTAATGATGGAGATGCTGATCTGAGTAAAGAGAGAAGGAAAGGGTATCTAAAGGGAAGAACTATGGGAGGTGGAGGGAGTCTTTAAATGCCACACAAATGGATATGATTTGGCTTAAGAATTTAGCACCCACTTGGAGTTCAAGAGTTACTATAAAAATGTTATTTTCAGAAGAAGGTGGTAGAATTGTACTCAGGAGGACTGAAAGAAACAAAGACTCAAAGGAGTCGGGAAGACCTGAGTGCTTCCGGGATGCTATAGGAATAATAATGATGATAATAATAATAATATCATCAGTAACAACAATAACTGACATTAATTTAAAGCTTAATACGTTCTATTTGCCAGGAATGGCTTGAGTATAATAAAAGAATGTCAAACAACAAAACAACAACAAAACACCTGTCTCATAGGTATCATCTTAGACTTTTTTTTTTTCTTTTGAGACAGAGTTTCGCTCTGTCACCCAGGCTGGAGTGAAATGGCGACATCTCGGCTCACCGCAACCTCCGCCTCCCCGGTTCAAGCAATTCTCCTGCCTCAGTTTCCTGAGTAGCTGGGACTACAGGTGTCCCACACCTGGCTAATTTTTGTATTTTTAGTAAAGATAGGGTTTCTCCATGTTGGCCAGGCTGGTCTCGAACTCCTGACCTCAAGTGATCCTCCCACCTCAGCCTCCCAAAGTGCTGGGATTACAGGCATGAGCCACAGCGCCTGGCCATCTTTGACTTTTGAGAGTTCCATTAAGCAATTTTTAAGAGATTTGACTTCAACACTTGTAGTGGAACATTTTCCAGTCTCATGCATACACATGAACAATTTGGGCAACTGCAATTTTGTGTATGACAAGCTGTGGGGAAGATAAAAGTATCCCTTTTTGCTTATTTTTGCTAATGGCTTCCTAGAATTTATTTTGGCTAAAAAAAAATCCATGAACACACTAAACAAATGTGTATTTCAAACCATTCAGAATTCATCTTGCATATGATTATTTAAATTGATAGAAATCCTTTAAAACCAATTAGATTTTTTAAAGCATGGGAGTGGCATGATCAATGCATTCTTTGGAAAGTTTGCTCTGTACCTCTAGGGGAGGTGGCCCAGGAGGACGATCAAAGCCTGGCACATAGTGGCTGATTAATTAGGACTTGTTGAATGAATGAATGAACACAGGAGACCAATTAGGAGCTACTATAATAGTTCTGGCAGGAAATGATGGGGCATGAACTGAAGCAATGGTTGTGGGGGCAGAGGTAACACTTAGGGTGTGGGCCTCATGCTGCCAGATGTGAGGAGGACAGGAGTAACCAAGCAAACCCTCAGGTTCCTAACTGGGCAGAATGGATGAATGGGGGGCTCCATTCTCCACTACCAGAAATGCAGAAGGAGAGGACAGTTAAGGGTGAAAATCATGCTTTCAAATGCAGCATTAAACAGCATGAGTTTCTAAGTAAGTTACTTTATTTAAGCTCCTTGTGCCTCAGTTTCCATTTGCTGTTCTTGTGGCTTGTGTGCTTACTAAATCTGGCCAAGAGGTCAAGATTAAAATACAAGATCATGGTTAAGAAACATCACATCAAATGAACCCATAGCAGCAACAAACTATTCAAATCAGATGGGTGTAAGTCATGGTTCACACAGGCTGGGCTAATTAAACAGTTACCTGTCAAAGGCCAGAGCCTCCTAAATTACTACATTTCAGCCCACGTTTTGTTCCTCTTTCCGGAGCTTCTGAGCCTCAAAGTAACTAGGTGGCTTATAACTATGAAGCATTTTAATAAGCTCTATGAACAAATGGATGTAATTGGCATGGAAGGGCCCCTTTGATGCTTGATAAGTTTCTACAGGAATAGCATCATGACACCTTTGCCCAAAACCAGAGGTTCTGCCTATCTACTAAAGTTGCTAATTGGAATGTCCACTTCCCTGACCAAAGCATGGCAGAAAGAAAGGCAGTTAATTATTCTTCTTCATATCTGATGAAATTTTCTCGTTTCCTCCTCTCTTTTAGAGGACATCATTAGTCTGACATGGTGAACAATGCTCCATTATACCTGGGTTTTTTTTAATGATCACAAAAAAATTCCCACTTCTTCCATTTTCCTTATCTTCTATTTAACAACTTGATTATATTTGAATTGAGCCTATCCTATTATGGAGAGATAATGAGCTCAGTCTGCTAGCTAACATGAGTCATTATCTGAGTTATATATTTTTAAGAAGACTTCCTCACAAGGTTTCAGCATGTGGCCTCCTAAGGCACATGGAGGAAGCTTTGTATCAGCACTTTACAATGAAAAGCAAATGTTTCGGCACCTGGCATCATTTCCCACTGTCCTCATTTTAAACCTGTGATTTCTTATATGTATATGCAGAGATCTTTTAAACTGATTAGATGTTTTATAGCATGGGGGCAGCATGATCGATGTATTCTTAGGAAAGGTCGCTCTGCGTCAGTTCAAAGTGCCCACTCCTCAAGTTCTTGCACACATGTCAAGAACAGAAACTTTTTCATTCTCTTTTACCAAAAAAAAAAAAAAAAAACCCCACAGGATTTTTTTTTTTTACAGAAAGCCCAGACTTTACAAGACAACAGGATTTTTAAAAATATTAACTATTTTAACTTATCACTGAAGTTGTCACAGAGATCTGAGACTGTAAACTATGTAGAAAAAAAAAAAACCCTTGCTAAGCAATCAGGACAAGACAGTAGTCTACACCCGTCAACGGCTCCCTGTTCCCTCTCCACAAAAGTCTGGATTCCTGACCGTGGCATCCAAGGCCCCTGGCTCCTTTTCCGTCCTGCTTTCCCACACGTATACCTCTTTCCAGCCAACTGGATCGTTTCCTGCTCCTGAGACACACCTTGTCACCTTCCACCCACACACACGATCCATCACCTTCCTACCGCAGGGGATGACCTCCTCCACCGTGTTCCACGCATCAAGGCGCAACTCACATTTCTCTTCCATGGAACTATGTTCAGTGCACACTCAACCCCATCTGCTAACCACTTCTTCATCCTTTCCTCCCTGCCAAATTCATTTATTCATTCAATAACATGTAGAGTGCTGCAGTGGTCTAAATGCCAGCTGCTGTTATGTCTGTAGGAAAAGCCACATCCTCTGCTTGTAAAGCTCTCACTACTTCCCAGGGATGGCCATGGTTCCTCATAGCTTATGGCTCAAATAGCTTCATCAGGAGCCAGCACTGGTTTTAGAGTTTGAGATCACTGACTTTGAATCCTGCCTCCACCACTTACAAGCATATAGCCTGGGGCACGTTACTTGAACTCTCTCACTTCCTTCATCTGTAAAATGAGAGAAACTGTACCATCTCCCAAGCTTGCTGTGAGGACTAGACAAGAATCCATGCACAGCCTGAGGCCCTTTATTGTGGGGGACACTCAATAAAGAGTAACAATTAGCATTATTTTACAATATTGTGGAATATTCAGGTAATGTTTTGTATCTTAAACTGAAAGTCCTTTGATGGCAGGGATCAAACCAAATTCCTATTGATGTTAACATAGTTCCTAGCACTGTGTCCTGAACACAGTCAGTAAACACTGCAGGAGGAAGGAGGGGAAAGGAGGAAAGGCCAATAAGAAGGAAGGCAGGCTTTTGCACAGGTCAAGGGATTCTGGTATTTTATTAATCTTAATATCTGGGTAGTTAAAGGAAAAGCATGGTTAATATTAATATATTTGATTTATATTTTCAAGTGCCTACCCTGCGCTAGGGATGTTCATATTGGCTATCACTACCCCCACAAGATGAGTAAACACTATGCCCTAGGACATAGAGGAAGAAATGGAGGGCCAAGGAAGTAAAGTGGCTTGTCCACAGCGACTCTGCTGGGAAAAGCTAGGCTTAAAAAGT
Organism: Homo sapiens; assembly: GCF_000001405.40. Lineage (NCBI taxonomy): Eukaryota > Metazoa > Chordata > Mammalia > Primates > Hominidae > Homo > Homo sapiens. The sequence goes on along the minus strand of NC_000012.12, from coordinate 106,647,289 downwards.
ATGAACTCAGGTATGATGCCTCTAAAGTTCTCACTATGTGCCAGAGACTGACATTCATTTGGTTAGTCAGAATACATTTATTGAGCACCTACTATATGCCAGGCACTGTAGAATACAGCCATGAACAAGAAGATGCTACTCTTGCCCCAGCCTTTAAGAAACTGACAGTTTACCAGAAGGAAGATGGGAGCTAGGGAGATAACACCACCAGACAGCAAATGAATAGAAAACAGTGGGCTTTGGCTCATACAGGCTCTGGTTAGGACTGAGGCTAAGTCTAGAAAACTCCAAAGCAAAATAAAACAAACAAAAAAACAATCTATTTCATTACACAACCATTAAGCCATGCTTTGCTGCCAAGTAGACGAGCCAATCAGAAACATGCATTTGTGTGGACACTGACATTTCTCAGGGGACTTCAGCTGACCCAGCTTCCTTGTTGTTGAGGATTTCCCTGGGGAGTCAGGAATGTCCCCCTCTTTGTGTAGAAAGAGACTACCTTGGTTTCCTCCTCTTTAAATACAGGTAGCTGTCCTGCCTTCTCTACAGGATTTTCATGAGGATTAGGTGTGCTCAGCAGTGACATCACCTGACAAGCCTGGCATCCCACGGGTGATTGCTGAACCTGTAGGTTTGGCTGATGTGGGGCAATGGACTGAATCAGAGATTTATTCCTGCCATTGTAATGTCTAAACTGGACCAGAACAGTAGTCATCCAATTCCTACGCTGGGTTTGACCTACAACCTACTGAATTAGTGTTCTAGTAAGGCCTGGGCTTAGGTAGCTTCTGGAATCTCTCAGCTCAGTTTTTGGTTATTCAAGTCCCCTCTTTTTTTTTTTTTTTTTTTTTTTTTTTTGGATAAAACTAGGCAATGTATTAAGCACAGTGTTGCAATTTCCATTTGGTTCCGAATGCTTCTTTTGGGGCCTAGGCTACAGGTTTGCAGCCCAGAGCTCTGGTTGTCCTGGACAGTAGCTGAGGTGATTTTGGCACCATCCCCTACCAGAAGCTACCTCCTCAGTGGTCCCTTTCCACCTATACCCAGTACTCTACTCATCTCTACTGCACTTTGCCATTATGAATAAGGCCCCGCAGAACATCTTCGTATGTGCCCCCTTACACACCTGTGTGGGAGTGTTTCTCCCTGCCAGCATCAAGAAGCACAGCTGCTGGCTGCATGTGCTTCAAATGCTAATGGATTGCAAAATTGCCCGTCAAATGGCTTTACCATTTGACACATTTACCCACAGCACAAAATACTTTTTTTAAAAAAAGTTGTGGTTCCACAACACAGCATCTCATTCCCTGAGAAATTTCTGCCCTTGGCATTGGGTTGTCCAGCTTAACTGACCTTTCTCCATCTGTAGCTGAGGTCATCCGGAGGGACACAGTCACATCTAGTGGCATTATCTATCAACACTGGTTGTGTTCAGAGCTAAAAGTGTTCAGCCTCCCTTTTTAGAACCATGTTACCTAACTCACATTATGAAAGCAATGTTCTGTCACTGTTGAGTAAGAATCAAGTCACAAAAGGGTGCAAAATGTCAGTTATCGGTTACATCCAATGAGTCTGATCTAGCAGCTGTGATCTGGTCTAAAATGTCAATGTATTTCTTCTTTGGAACAGTGCCAAACCCAATGTCTTACCTATGACCTTCCAGAACATTCTAAAGAGAAATTATAAATTTCTTTTGTTTCATATTAATTTGGAATATTGATAGCTTGTCAACCACCCAAGTCCTCAATTTAATTTTTTTCAAAAGAAAGGAAAATCTCCCCCCAATCCCCCCCGAAAGTGACAATTTGATCTTCTGTCCTCCTTTTTGGAAGAGCCTCATTTCTTCAGTAAATTGCTGGAAGGGAAAACGTCCCCACCCAGAAGGCGTACAAGGAGCTCTGGGTAAGGGCGGCAAGGGTGGCGGGCGAGGGCGGGGCACGGAGGGGGCATGTGTTGGCAGCAAGTAGGCCGGGACTGCGGAACAGGCTGCTTTCCATTTCGAAATTCTCTGCATGAATAGAGGTTATTGTGCGGCCGGGATTCCAGCAGCGCTCACCATCCCCAGTGAGTTGGGATTTACTAACCCTCGTGACCGAGGATGCTGGAAAGTGTTTGGCAGAAGGCATTTGACAATATTTGCCTGTTTTCTGCTGGGAGTTGCCTCCAGATCACGTGTCCCCAATTATTTTAGGCTGCTTGGCTGCTGTATTATTTGTTCTTAGAGCGGTGTTATTTGTTCTAGGGGGAGGGGGAGGGGGTTTGTGGCAAGGAAGGGGAAGAAGGAGAAGCAAATAGCTCCTAACCCAATTCCAATAACAAGCCAAATGTCCCAGGAGAGCTCGACACTGTCAGGCGGGTGGCGGGCGCCTTAGTGGTGCGGCCAGTGTCCTTTCCTGGGCCTGCCCTCCTCTCTGTCCTCAGGGGCTGGCCACTGCCGCTGGAGAGAGGGCACAGCATGAAGGACATAAATGCCTCAGAGAATGAGATGCTTGTCCTAGCATTAGGTTCCTGTTTTGTTTTGTAAGTATTTTGCACTGCAGATGAAGATATAAAATGGTAAAGCCATTTGATGGGTAATTTTGCAATCCCATCAACACTTTAAGTGTTAATGGAGCAATTCTGTTTCTTGATACAGACATGAAGAAACACTCCCACGGTGTCCAAGGGGGCACACACGAAGATGTTCCGTGAGGCCCTACTTGTAATGGCAAAGATGAGATTTGAACAAAACTTAAATGTTCATCAAAAGGGAAGTGGCGCCGGGTGGGGTGGCTCATGCCTGTAATCCCAACACTTTGGGAGGCTGAGGCCGGTGGATCACTTGAGGTCAGGAGTTCAAAACCAGCCTGGCCAACATGGTAAAACCCCATCTCTACCAAAATACAAAAATTAGCTGGATGTGGCGGTGCGCGCCTGTAATCCCAGCTTCTTAGAAGGCTGAGGCAGGAGAATTGCTTGAACCTGGGAGGTGGAAGTTGCAGTGAGCCGAGATCACACCATTGCACTCCAGCCTGAGTGACAGAGCAAGGCTCTGTCTCAAAAAAAAAAAAAAAAAAAAAGGGGAAATGGCAACATTAATTCTGCCATTGTCTTATGCTAAACACTGAGCTGCAGTTAAAATGAGGTTGTTCTTTATGAACCATGAGTGTAGCTTCAGGACATTCTACTAAGGAAGAAAGCAAGTAGTGGATCAATACAGCATAACAGGTTGCGGGTCAATATTTTTAGTGTGATACATCTGCATGCTTTTTATAAAGGAGACAATGCTAAATTAAAAACCATACTTCAGAAACTTCTACAGATACATATGTGTGCAAATTCATAGGGAAGGGTCTGTAATACATATCTACACATATGTATACACACAAGTGCACACATGCACACACATGTCTCACTGAATAGGGTTGCTTTTGAGGAGAAGGCAAAGAACTACAAGGAGAAATGGACTGGAGTCTTACCTATAATGTTTTTAATTTTTTAACAAGGAAATGTATTTCTTGTGTAAACAAAATAAAAGTAAAGCAAAAATATATTTATTAAATTTACTTATATCCTGGGTTTTTTTTTAAGCTAGCAAAAGAAGAAGAAAATTAGACAAAGGAAAGAAGTGATTGCAAAAGTCTGTAAGCATCAGATTTAGCTCTCAACCCCACGGCAGCCACAGCAAAAAGGGGACACGTTGTAAATCATGTCACTTTTCCTTGTAAAATGGAGGGTGCATCCACTCTCTTTTGAGAGAGAAAGTTTTTATACTGAAACCATATTTTTTAAAAGATGATACATGTGCAGCTTTACGTAGGAGGTCACATGTTCTCCACACCGTTTTAAGCATGACTGTTCCTATCTAAGTTTAATGTCCTACTTTCTTTTCCCTACTGCTTATGTAGCCTCTCCCCTGCCTGCCTCTCCCACCTCATCTTGTGTCATTCTCCTCCATGTGTGCTATGCTCCAACCACATGGGCCACCTTCTCGTGGGTCCTTCAGCAAGCTCAGCCTGCTCCCATCCCGGGAAGGAGTGGTGGACGCTGAGTGTGCCCAGACTGCCCTGAGGCACTGAGACATTGTTCCCCCTACTGGGAGGCTGAATCATTCCAAGGAGTGATCCTCAGCAAAACATGAAGGCAACCGCCTCTCCCAAGTTACACCCCCACCCTGGGGGCAGCCTGTATTCAGTGATGGACAATGGGGTTGGGGGATAAAGGTCTGGATCCGTTGCTTTGATTCAGATCATTTTTAACTGGCCATCTCCACCTCAGAACTCCCTGTAGGATTGGCTGAAGCCTCTGTGATAACCTCTTCACTGCCTAACACCCCCTCTGTCTATTCCAGCATCCCTCACACCCCTATGGGCGTGGAGGCTGGGCGCATGCCCTAATAAACCACCTGTAGGCACAACTCTGCTCAATCTGGAGAGGTCACCTGCAACAGTGGGGCCTTTGTAGAAGCTGTTCTCTCCACCTGCAACATTCCCCTGTCCCTGGTTTTCACACTGTCATGGTGTCATACATGTATCCACTGAAATGTCACCTTCTCAGAGAAACTTGCCCTTACTGCTCAACCTGAAATAGCCTCTCAGACACTATCGTATTAGCCAAGCTAAAGTCTCTGCACAGCACTTCTCACTATCTAATGCATTACTTGTTTATCTATCAATCATTAGTTGTTTTTTTAAATAGAGACAGGGTCTTGCTCTGTCACCCAGGCTTGAGTACAGTGGCACAATCAGGCCACTACAGTCTTGATCTCCAAGGCTCAAGCGATACTCCTGTCTCAGCCTCCAGAGTAGGTAAGACTGCAGGCTTATGCCACCATGCCCAGCTAAGTTTTTTGTTTTTTGCAGAGACAGGGTCTCACTATATTGCCCAGGCTAGTCTTGAGCTCCTGGCTTCAAGCGATCCTCCCACTTCAGCCTCTCAAAGTGCTGGGATTACAGGCGTGAGCCACTGTGCCCTGAGTGTCATTAGTTTAATGACATATATATACGGGCACGGTGGCTCACACCTGTAATCCTAGCACTTTGAGAGGCTGAGGAAGGTGGATCACATGAGGTCCAGAGTTTGAGACCAGCCTGACCAACACGGAGAAACCCTGTCTCTACTAAAAATAAAATATTAGCCGGGTATGGTGGTGCATGCCTGTAATCCCAGCTACTCGGCAGGCTGAAGCAGGAGAATCACTTGAACCCAAGAGGCGGAGGTTACAGTGAACCGAGCTCACGCCATTGCACTCCAGCCTGGGCAACAAGAGCAAAACTCCATCTCAAAAAATAGATATAGATATAGATATAGATATAGATATAGATATAGATATAGATATAGATAGATATAGATATAGATAGATATAGACATAGATATAGATATTTCCCCTTTTTCCCCTGTCATCAGCTCCTCTTCTTGGTCTACCTTATCCACCATTGCATTTCCAGAGCCTAGAACAAGGAGCTAGCAAATACCAGGTGCTCAGTAAACATTTATTGAATTAGTTAATGACTGAAATTCTATCTTAAACATATAATATAAAGATAATTAGAGCAAACGTTAATGTTCTTTGAACAACTTGATGTCTTTTGATAAGAATAGGCGAATATGTACAAATTCTCAGATTTGGTTTGGCTTTGAAAATAGACTTATCATTAAAAAAAATTCACTGTCTGACCTTGTGACTTGGAGGGTGAAATTTCTTCTGGAATGATCTATGTGACCCTTTATTTAGAAAAACAGATATTTTGTGCAGAATTAGGTACCATAGAAGGAGAACTGGCTGTGCCTATGCCAGGGAGGAGACGGGGCCTGCTCCAGGTGGTCCCTGTGGGTCTCAGAAGGAAGGAGTGTGCTGAGGGAAGGACTGAGCCCCACCCCATGCCAGGTGCTGTTCAAGCACCTTCTATAGAACAACTCATTTCATCTTCATGACTACCCTATGAGCTAGACACTATTGCTATCCCCATTTTACAGGTGAGTAGACTGAAGCACAGAGAGGTTAAGGACCTTGCCCAAGACTTCACAGCTTGTAAGTGGCAGAGTTGGGAGTTAAGCCATGACAGTTTGATTTCAGAGACTGCACCATTTACAGCCTCACTGCTCCCAGGCAGATGTCCTGGAATCCCAGAAAAATAGATGTGAACAAAGTGATTTTCTTCTAGTTCCTTTCAAATTTTTTACTCTGAAACATATGACATGTTCAGGTTATTAAAGCAAGAATGTTTGTTGGCCAGGCATGGTGGCTTACACCTGTAATCCCACCACTTTGACAGGCCAAGGCAGGAGGGTCACCTGAGGTCAGGAGTTCAAAACCAGCCTAGCCAACATGGTGAAACCCTGTCTCTACAAAAAGCACAAAAATTAGCCGGGCATGTTGGCAGGCACCTGTGATCCCAGCTAGTAGGGAGGCTGAGGTAAGAGGATCACTTGAACCCAGAAAGTAGAGGTTGCAGTGAGCCAAAATCACGCCACAGCACTCCAGCCTGGGCGACAGAGTGAGACTCCACCTCAAAAAAAAAAAAAAAAAAAAGTCTGTCAATTCCATGCATGTCTAGAAACTCCCACTCCCAGAGTCCTTTACATCGATGCCTCATTCGATGTCTTGGCACTATGGGAACTTGCATGGCCATAATACTTAGAGAAGGGTGAAGGGGGAGATTTGATCTGATACATAAAGTAGAATTTTAAATAAAGCAAAAAGCAGCAAATGCAATGAGAAAAAGTCTATAGGAACAAATGATGGAAAGAGGCCAAAAGGCTGGAAATAGAGCTCTTGAAAACAACCTTTGCTATTCTTGAAGCAAAACAAGCTGACTGCTGAGGCTCTTGTTAGAGAAGATTGAGTTACGTTCCTGAATGCTTTCTCCCAGTGTTGTTTTCCTCTCACCTCTGGATGGATTAGACTAGAGAATCTAATATGATTTGCTCATTAAAGCCCATCTGCTTCCTTTTCTGATCTGTCCTCTCTTCTCTATCCTTCCTGATGTTTCTTTTCCTTTCTTCGCAAGCATGAGCTTTGCAGTTAAAGAGACCCAGCCACTTCCTGCCTCTGCCACTGATTGGCTGTGTGGCTATTCAGGCAAATGGTTTAACTGGTTCAGCTTTATTTTCCTCATCAGTTAAATGGGCACAACAATAGCAACTCCACAGAATTGTGAGAATGAAATGAGGCATATATATAAAGTGCCTAGCCTGGAGGGGTGCATATAATGGATTTTAGTTCCTTTCTTTTCCCCATTTCTCTTTCCTTCCCCGTCATTCCTTAATTCCTTCATATTGCTCGGCTGCACTGCTAGGGGAATAATCGCCTTCAATGGCCAAGATTCTTCATAGGGTGAATCTCAGGCATAGAGAGCTCTAGTGTTCAAAGCTACAACATAATTTCCAAATAAAGCTTTTAGAGGAGAATTTATCTGTAAATATCAAACACAAGTGCAACCACTTAAACATTATTAAATATTTCATCAAGCCCAGGAATGCCAAATATTAAAGAGAAAGCCATTCTAGTAGATTACTCTTGTTAGTGTTATTAATGTTAAAATAATTATATACAATTGTAATTCATTATGAATTAAGGGTTCATTGGTAAGAGTCAACAGACCTCTGTTTTTATTATAAATTGTAATAATGGATTCTATTAAAATCAATTAATAATACCCATGGGGAATCCAGTCCTTGCCAGTGTTTGGATAACAGAAAAAACATCTACCCTAAAATAAAATACAAAAATTCCAATCTCCAGGCTAGATCTAAGGCTAGTTGAGCATTTTACATATACTGCAAATTAAATAGATTTCATGTTGTGGAATGTCAAGTTATCAGGACAATGTTAAAATATCCAAGTGATATCCTATCCTATAGACAAGAAGATATGAGCATCCTCTGAAGACAGAACTTGCTAAAAATGGAAACTTACCATTGCAGAGTAGCAGGAGTGGAGTGGGGCTTGGATGCTCTATTATTTTCTTTTTCCTCATCTGTTAAAGGAAAGAAAAAGAAGCTAACTTCAGTAGGAAACAGTAGGAAAAAGTAAAAGTCCTCTCGACTCTCCCAAGTTTCAAAAGACTATGTTTCTTTGAAATGTTGATGCTTTGAAACAATATTTTGGCTTTTCCAACATGTTAGACTCATCATACTTTAATACTAAAAAGGGGAAATTGACTTTTATTTTAAAACTCTCATGTCAATTTTGTTTTTATTTGACACAATGTGTTAGAGTTTAAAGAGCATTTCCCTTTATCACTGAGCAATGTGATCACACTCATCCACTTAATATTTTCCTAACTGAAGCAGGACAGACTACAATTTCAACCCTAAAAACATAGGGACCTCAGTCACTGCTATGGACTGAATATTTGTGACCCTCCCAAAATTTGTGTGTTGAAACCTAATCCCCCAGATGATGATGATATTTGAAGGTGGGGCCTTTAGGAAGTGATCAGTCATGAGTCTTATGAATGAAATTAGTGTCTTTATGAAAGAGACCCCAGAGAGCTCCCCCATACCACTTTCTCCCCTCTGAGAAGACAGAGAAGATAGTGAGAAGATAGCCATCTATGAACCAGAAAGTGGGCCCTCACCACACCCAAATCTGCTATTGCCTTGATCTTGGACTTCCCAGCCTCCAGAACTGGGAGAATGAATCTCTGTTAATTAATAAATCGTTGAGAATAAATAATAGAGAAATAAATCTCTGTTGTTCATAACCCACACAGTTTATGGTATTTTGTTATGAAAACCTGAACAGACTAAGCTATTCACCATTTGTTCTTTGTAACCCCAATGAAGCAGAGCCTTAATGTGGGGAGGGAAAGTGTTCAGAAGAATCAGGTTAGCAATGCAATGGAGCAGGGTTTAGCACATATTTTCTGTAAAGGACATGATAGTAAATATTTTAGGGTTTGTGCATCAATAGTAAAAATCAAGAATATTATGTAGAATTTATATGACAGGAGAGAAAACAAGTTTCCATGAAATAGTTATTAATAAAATTCAATGTAAGGCCAGGCACAGTGGCTCACATCTGTAATCCCAGCACTTTCGGAGGCCAAGGTGAGTGGATCACTTGAGGTCAGGAGTTCAAGACCAGCCTGGCTAACATGGTGAAACCCCGTCTGTACTAAAAATACAAAAATTAGCCAGGAGTGGTGGCATGCACCTGTAATCTCAGATACTCAGGAGGCTGAGGCAGGAAAATCACTTGAACCTGGGAGGTGGAGGTTGCAGTGAGCCAAGATCACAGCACTGCACTCTAGTCTGGGCAACAGAGCAAGATTCAAAAAAAAAAAAAATCCAGTGTAATAGTAATAATCGAATATAATATTTGTAATATATGTCTATTAATAAGAAGAATTAAATTAATTTTGGGGGTGTGGGTAATGTTCTTCTAATTGGGATTAAAATTAGTATTGCCTATTATTAAATAGATTGCAAAAGTTGATCTGTAAAGACCATTTTTAACTTGCAGCCCTACAAGTATCGGGCCAGATTTAGCTCACATGACCCTGATTTGCTGATCCCTGCAATACCACAATCTGAATAACAGATTAATTTTTAGCATATCTAAAAAGAATTTGTCACAATTTCATCATGGATTTACTGAGAAATACATATAATCAGTCTCTTATCCAATTCCTAATAAAGATTATTGATAGGAACAGTCAACATAAAATTCCCTGACCCACAAAATTTGGCCCAAGATAATTAGGATAAATAACAATCTCAAGAAGAAAACTAATAATGTCAAAGCCTACAAATATTATCAATAAAATTTAATATAGACATTAAAAAGATCAATGAAATCAATCTGTGGCATAAAATTTATATGGAAAAGAATTGGTATCTATGAAAATAGTTTAAATAAAACAAAAATGAAAATAAAAAAATGAAAATGTCATATGATGTATAGAAAAATTTTTCTAAAATTAAATTAGCTCATCAAAGCTGAATCTAGAAAATATCTTCTTGATGAAAATTTATCAATATTGGTGTAATTCTGATTTAAATGTCTGCTTGTAAGCACTGTGGCAGATACTGTTGTTGCTTAATCAAAACCTACATGTACCCACCTTCTTCCTTATTTGTAGAACGCCAGTTTAGAGGGGATTGTGTGTTCAAGGAGAATGACCCCCTTTCAAATCCTAGAAAGGTGAATGTTGATTCATTTACAACAATCATGGTAATTAATTTTATGTCATCTAGCCACTGATTGGATTAGGTGGAGCATGTAACATGATGCGGGCCGATCACATTTCAGGAGACACTCTCTCTCGGGGCTTCTGGGAAAAGTATTTTTCCCTAATAAAATTGAAGGAGTGAGAGATTCTGGCCTGTTCTACTTTTGAATGTGGCTATGAGATGACACAATAACTAGATGAAAGCAGCAAACTTGGGATGGGGAAAAACGCAATCTGAGGACAAAGTCAACACCTAGGAAGGCAGAGAAAAAAAGGGAAAGCCTGGGGGCTCTGATTGTCACATGTGGTGCCTCTGTTGAACCAACCCAAACAATGGCTGCCTCCTGTTCTATGAGATAGCACAGTTTCTTCAGTTGATAAAACCTCCTTTCATTGGGTATTCTCTTCCCTGCCACCAAAACCATTCTAACTGGTAGTTAGAACCCAAACCACACTAATGCTAAATGTTCTCAGGAACGGAATGTAAAATACATCGTAGACTCAACACTTGTTCATGATGCTTTGTCAACCTGGAGTTCTTCTAAATAGATGTTTCTCATCCTTTCCAGCCTGGAATAAATGCCACCAACTCTTTGAAGCCTTCCTTGATACTCTCTTAGTCAGGAATCAATCATTGATCCTAACTCTGTGCTTCTATAACACATTATTTGCCTGTTAGCTGCCCAGTGTAGCCACCTGGATCATTATTTCTTTCTTTTCTTTTCTTTTTTTTTTTTTTTTTGAGACAGAGTTTTGCTCTTGCCACCCAGGCTGGAGTGCAATGGCACGATCTCAGCTCACTGCAACATCCACCTCCCAGGTTCAGGTGATTCTCCTGCCTCAGCCCCCCAAGTAGCTGGGATTACAGGTGCCCACAACCACGCCTGGCTAATTTTTTGTATTTTTAGAAACCCCATTTAGAGATGGGGTTTCACCATGTTGGTCAGGCTGGTGCCAAACTCCTGACCTCAGGTGACTGGAGCATTATTTCTGTATACATCCATCCCTTCTGCTCAAGCATAAACTCAGTGAGAAGGCAGGGGTGGTATCTCAGTCATCTGCATTACCTCCTGCAGGACCTAGCATAGTGCCTTCCACTTAGTATTTAAATACTTAAGTGTGCCTTCTCCAGTCTTAAAGAACAGCACAATAAAGACATGAACATGTGGGTCTCACAAGAATGTGGGTAAGTGAACCCCTAAACACATAGAACAATACTCAACCTCTGTTGTTCACAAAGAAGTGAAAAGGAAACAAATAATGAGGCACTCCTTATATCTCTGAGGGAAAAGCAAATTTAAATAATGACAATTTTTGATGCTGGTGTATACATGGTGAAATTGACACTCTCAGAGTTCTTTATACCTGAAGGTAGTGTTAATGTTTTTAGTATGCAGTTTGGCAGTAATACTGAGGGACATCTAAAATGTTCAGCTGCTTGTCCTCACAACCCAACTTCTAGAAATTATAATACTGAGCAAATAATTGAAAGGAAAGAAAAGGCTATATGAAAAACATGGGACCGGGCATGGTAGCTCACCCCTGTAATCCTAGCACTTTGGGAGGCGGAGGGGGGCAGATCACTTGAGGCCAGGAGTTTGAGACCAGCCTGCCCAACACAGTGAAACCCTGTCTCTACTAAAAATACAAAAATTAGCTGGGCATCGTGGCGCACACCTGTAATCCCAGCTACTCGGGTGGCTAAGGCACAAGAGTCTCTTGAGCCTGGGAGGCGGAGGTTGCAAAGAGATCACGCCACTACACTCCAGCCTGTGTGACAGGAGTGAAACCCTGTCTCAAAAACAAACAACAATGACAAATTGTCAATTGTATTTTTTTAAACAAGAAAAACAACCAAAATCTACCTCTACCTAGCTTGCACTGGCATGTTGTTAGTATTTTTGTTCCCCCTAAAACTGGCGGGGTTTTACATTTTTGTTTCTTTAAATTTCAGCATTTTGGTCCACCTGGACAGGTTGTCAAAAGACCTAGATTCGAATAATCCTAACACTTACTGGCCAGAACTGAGCAAATCACTCAACTTACTTGAGCTTCATTTTTCCTCATTTGTAAAATGGTCATCTTCTATGGCAATTATAAGAATCCTATTAATTTGTTCAACAAATATTTATTGAATATCTTATTTGTGCCAACTAGGCACTGGGGAGAAAGAAATTAAACTCTTGCCCTTGAGTTTGGTTGGGAAAAGAGAAAGGCAGAGGAGAGAGAGGACAAATTCAGCAAGAAGTGGTAAGTGCTGTGATACAGGTAGGCACAGAGGAGTCGGCCAACCCAGACTACATGAAAAAGCAGAGCTTGTCAGAGAAGACTCCCTGGAAGAAGTGATAGGTGAGCTGTGTCCTGGAGTGAGCCAGAGATGGGCACCAGATGGGGGGAAGGTGGGATGGAAGTGAGGAGTAGGGTGGAGAAGGTGAGAGCAGATAAAGACAAGGGGACCTGACAGATTATGTCACTTTCCCAGAAGCAAGGTGGCTGCAGCACGGGTCTCTGCTGGGTGTGGCAGAGTGGATCCAGGTGAGTATGGAACGTGATGTGATGTTTAACAATCTAATTATCCCGTTTAAGTCTTAAGACAGTCATCTCTAAATGGAGGATAATAATAATCCCTACCTCAAAAGGTTGTTGGGAGGATTAAGTGAAATGAGCTTAACAGAGGGTAAGCGTTCAAAAGCACCCTCTGCAGCCATCTGCGGGGAAAGGTTGCCCTTGGCTGTGCCTGGCCGGCCAGGAGGCTTTTGGAGCAATTCTGTCTGCTGGGATCTGCTGCTTTGGAAGATTTACAGGGGCAAAGACAATGGCATCACCAAGGACCTCACAAGGCAAACACACACCAGGGGACGTCACAGCTCCATATAGGAGACGGCACTTGAGCTGAGCCCTGAAGGGATGGTTGAGGTTTTTAAAAAATAACGTTGCTTTATATTCACAAAAGTAATGCATGTTCATCTTTTTAAAATTAAGAAAGTATGGAGAAAATATCTGAGAATCCAAGCTCCTCTCAACAGAGGGAACAACTGTTATCTTTTTATCCTATTTGCCTCATCTTTTATCAGGGTTCTTTCACACACAAGCACATGCATATCTACACTTAAAACATGTGAGGGTCATACAGTCCATCCTAGTTTGTAACCTGCCCTGTTCATTTTGAAGAGGACCTGTCAGACTCTGGGAGGAGGCCACCAAGGGAGAGGGTACTCCAAGAGGCAGAAGCAGCAGGAGCAAAGGCAAGGAACTGGGACCTGGGGCCCAGGGAAGATGCATGTGGTCCCATTGGTGGAGCCAGGGAAGCTCCCTGTTCTGGGATTCCATCGCAGTGTCTCCCACTCAAGCAATACTGCCTTTGTTATATCAGGTTTTTTTCCCAACTAAACTTTGTTATGGCCCCATTTCTGAGTATCAGTGAATAAAAATAACTTGGCTTTGAGGACAGGCAGGCATGGGTTTAAATTCCAGCATTGCCCCCAACTGTGTGGACTTTGAGCAGCAACTTGACTCATCCAAGCCTGAAGGCCCTTATCTAAAAAAATGTGAATCATAACTTCTGTCACAAGGATGTTTTGAGGATTAAATATAATATGTTAAGAACTAGATACAGTTTTTAAAAATGCCATACTAATAATAGCATTCATTGGTCAAGTACTTAAGCCAGGCACTACACATCACTTTTCATATGCTACCTCATTTTATTCCTCCAAATATTGCTATGAAGAAGTTTTATATCCCCATTTTATAAATAAGGAAACAGATCTTTGGTGAGGGTGAATAATTGCATGAGGCCATGTAGCTGGTGAATGGAAACAGGACCTCACTAGGTGCTCAGCAATCCAGTGGCTACTGATAGTGTTTAGAAGAGAACTGGTCTACCCCAAAGCCAATGTGGGCCCTCCAGCTCAGTCAGCAAACAGGTGCTGTCCACCTCTGCTGGCTCCTTTCCTTAGATCACTGGTGACTTTGTGCCCAGGGTCTGAATGCCCAAGCCCTTTTCTTCTAAAGTAGGAGGTGTGTCACACCCAGGCCTGACCCTCCTATTTGATGGCTCTCTATCTCAGTTCTCCTGAAGTGCTGGCTATTTATTTACTCATTCATCAGATATTTATTGAGCGTCTGCTACATTCCAGTCCCATGACAGGTGCTAAAGGGTAAGAAAAAACAGACGTAGTCACTGCTCTCTTGAGGCCATAAATTATCAGCCAATTAAATGTAAGTCCAAGCCAGATACGGTGGCATGCACCTGTAGTGCCAGATACGGTGGCGTGCACCTGTAGTGCCAGATACGGTGGCATGCACCTGTAGTGCCAGATACGGTGGCATGCACTTGTAGTCCCAGCTACTCAGGAGGCTGAGCTGGGAGGATCACTTAAGCCCAGGAGCTCCAGACCAGCCTGGGCAACATGGCAAGACCCCATTTCAAAAGTAAAGTAAAATTAAAACAAAACAAAACAAAAAGAAACCCCAAACTTTAAAATTAAGTCCTAGGCAAGAGCTGTGAAATGCAGGTCCAGGATGCTATAGCAGCACCAAGTGTGGGGTATGAGCCTGGCTTGGGCATCTGAGGAGGAGCAGCAACCTTACCTAGGAGAAGAGAGTAGAGAGTAGGAGAACACATTTTAGGTAAATAGCCATAGTTGATAGAGACTTTAGGAACTGGTCCTGCCAAATGCCTTTTCGTTTTCACTGGGAGACATGCCTTGAACCAAACAAGATTCATCCTGTAAAGTATCATTTTAGGCCAGCAGGATTCCTGGAGCCATTCGCAGGCACACCTGCAGTGCCCCGCTGATGGTCCTGCCAAGGCTGGAGAGCAGTGGTCTGCTTTAAAAAAAAAACTCCTGCCAAGATGCTGCCCCAGCGCCTGGTCTTCTTGCCACTCCGTTCTGCTCCCACTTGGCAGTTATGATTCCTAACACGGTGCAGAGGTCTCAGTCCAGTTTGCAGTGGTGAGCATCTCTGCTCTCCTCTCTGCATCTACCTCCTGACATAAACTCTGGGGCCAAATTTCCAGGCTCAAATCCCAGCTCCACTACTTATTAGCCACGTGACCTTGAACAACATTTTGGTTCCTCAGTTTCATTATCTGTAAAATAGGGATAATAATAGTACCAAGCACATACAGCTGTCATGAGTATTAATTGAACCACTTCCGGTTCAAAGGACTTGCTATCTAAGTGTTCCCTGCTCCTATAATGGTTATTGCTCCTCCAGAGGGACCATGTGCCTGAGGTTTGGCAAGCCCTGCAGCAGGGACAGGGTTATTCACTCTGTGCTGCCTCAGCACCCTGACTGCTCCCCAGCAAAGTCCCCATGGCAGAGTGTGGTCGCTGCCCATGGATCATTTTAATCCATTCAGGCTGCTGTAACAAAATACCACAGACTGGGTGGTTTTTAGACACAGAAATTGATTTCTCACAGTTTTGGAGGCTTGGAAGTTCAAGATGAAGGCACCAGTGATTTGGTGTCTGGTGAGGGTCTGCTTCCTGGTTCAAAGACAGCTGTCTTCTTGCCCTGTGTTCACACATGGCAGAAGGGGTGAGGGAGCTCTCTGGGGCCTCTTTTATAAGGAGACACTAATCCCATTCACAAGGGCTGAGCCTTCATGACCTAACCCTTCCCCAAAGCCTCATCTCCAAATACCATCACATAGGGGGTTAGAGTTTCAACATATGAATTTGGGGGGATACAGACATTCAGTCTGCAGCACTGACCACTGGGTCTGCCTTGTTAGCTTGTAAGCTCTGCAGGGTGCAGACCTTGCTCACCGTTGTCTCCAGCACCCACATGTGGTAGGGTCGGAGGAAGCACTTGTGGAATGAGTGAATGAATAAAATGACACCACAATTAAAAGTGGAGCCTTCCCATCTGATTTCAGTAAGCATACAAAACAGCAGTACCATCGGGGAATGTTTATTGAGGACTCATATTGTGCCAGGCACTGTGCAAAGCTCTTCATGGTATGGCATTTAGTTTTCACAGCTGCCCTAGACAGTGAACAGTTTAATGCATGTGAAACATCAAATGCAGTGCCTTAGTGCTTAATCAATGTTAGGCCTAATGATTAGTATTATCCCCGTTTACAGAGGAAGAAACTAAGGCTCAGAGAAGTGAAGGAATTTGTCTGAGGTCACATAGTGAGTGGCAGAGCAAAGACAAGGACCCAGGCTAGTTGATGTCAAAACCTCCCCAGACCCAAACATTTATAAGCCTCATTCTGTCTTCAAACTCATAGTACTGGACTGAAGATTTTAGAGAAGTTATTATCTGCCTCATCATTTCCTTTCTGCCTCCATGTCAAATGAATTCACATTTGGGAATCTATTCCAGAATATTTCCTGCCTGGAGTCAGTGTGGCAGAGTTTAATATTGAGGAAACACATTTCTAAATTAATTACTTCTTTTCAAATCCCAGGAAAGGTTCAAGTTTATGTGAGTCTCAAATTTCACTTCAAAGTTCTAATTCTATTTCCTTTCATTATACTGACCTGGCTGCACCTGGCCAGAACTCACCTGTTGGGAACATGGGGCTGCCAAACGTTTCATTTCCCCTCATTTGCCTCGTTTCCAGCCCCTGCAAAGGGCACCAGCTGATGAGCAGGGTGACTGGCACCCAGGCCTTTGGCAGTGGGCATCAGCCTCTGGCAGCAAACCCTTCTCCCCGTGGGAACGTGGCTAAATCCCAAACAAAACTGTGATGTTGGCAGCATTTGCTGTGAGGGGCCCACACCTGCTTCCTCTCGCCTCCTCTGGGTGAATTCCTTCATAATCTTGGAGCGAGAAAGAGGCTGTCTAACTTTGATACAAAATCACAAAGCCATAAAAGAAAAGATTGATAAATTTTACTATATAAAAAATCCAAAATTTCTATGTGAGGGAAACAAAAACCACAACATGAGTACAAAGATAATGACTCACTCAGGAAAACTGCAATCATTCCACAGACAATGGTCTCATCTGCCCACCATAGAAAAGAGCTCCCAAAAAAATAGCAGGAAAAAGACCAAGAACCAAAAGAAAAAATAGGCATGCACATGACACACAGTTCATGGAAAAAACACAAATGCTCTTAAAAGGTGGAAAGATGGTCAGTTTTAATCAATAAACATAGAAATTACACCAAGATGGCATTTCTTACTTATCAGATTGGCAAAAATCCAAATCACAACCGCACAACTCTGCTGTGAAGCTATGAGAAACAGGCACCCTCCGACCTTGCAGGGGGAGAGCGAACCGTGCCTCCTGGCCAGACAGTGGCTCACACCTATAATCCCAACACTTTGGGAGGCTGAGGCCGGAGGGTCATAGTGAGACCCCGTCTCTACAAAAAATTTAAAAAATTAGCTGGAAAGACTGGGCATGGTGGCTCATGCCTGTAATTTCAGCACTTTGGGAGGCCAAGGTGGGCAAATTGCTTGAGCTCAGGAGTTCAACCAGCCTTAGCAACATGGTAAAACCCCATCTCTATAAAAAAATTAGCCAGGCATGGTGGTGCACACCTGTACTCCCAGCTATTCAGAAGGCTGAGGTAGGAGCCATCACCTGAGCCTGGGAGGTTGAGGCTGCAGTGAGCCACGATTACACCACTGCACTCCAGCCTGGGTAACAGAGCAAGACCCTCTCTCAAAAACAAAAACAAAACAAAACAAAACAACAAAACAAACAAAACCCAGGGCTTCCCTGTATGGAAGGTCATTTGGCAGAATCTACTGAAATCCCACGTACCCTTTATCCAGCAGCCCCAGGTCTGTGAACTGATCCTACAGCTTTACCTGGACACATCCGAAACGATGCATACACAAGGTTATTTGTTGCAGCTTGTCTGTAGCAGCAAAAGTTTGGAAACAGCCCAGGTGTTCATCTGGGTAACTAAATTAGAATGCATCCTCACAATGGGATACTATGCAAGTATTTTTTTTTAAAGATGAAAACCAAAAAAGAATGAGGACGCTTTCTATGTTCTTACTGATATGGAACATTCTGGTTTTTATTATTAAGTGAAAAAAGCAAGTCACAGCACAGTGCATATAGTATGCCACTTTTTTGTGTTAAAAAGGTAACAAATGGCTGGGCATGGTGGCTCATGCCTGTAATTCCAGCACTTTGGGAGGCCAAGGCCAGTGGATCACTTGAGGTAAGGAATTCGAGACCAGCCTAACCAACACGGCAAGACCTTGCCTCTACAAAAACACAAAAATTAGCCAGGCATGGTGGTGCATGCCTGTAATCCTAGCTACTCAGGAGGATGAGACAGGAGAATCACTTGAACCTCAGAGGTAGAGGCTGCAGTGAGCCGAGATGGCACCACTGCATTCCAGCCTGTGACAGAGCGAGACTCTGTCTCAAAAAAAAAAAAAAAAAGGAACATATATTTGAATTTTTCATTTGCATGAGGAAATACTCGAAGAACGTGTAAGTAACAAAAGTGTTAATACTAGGAAGCTGGGGTAGAGTGTTGCAGGGGGAAGTTGGAGGTGAGACCAGGACTTCTCAATGAGTACCTTTTAAAGCATTTTGATTGTTGGACCATATGGCTGTATTATCTATTCAAAACTATTCTAACTTTTAAGCATGAACAAATTAAAAAGACCCTATAGGGGAGGGGCATCCACAGGAAGAATCTACTCAAATGGATAAGTGGTCCTGGAGTGCCAAAAACTGGAAGCAAATTATAAACACCCATAATCTAGGGAGGCTTTATGGTCTATTTTGTTTTCCTAATATCCATATGCTTACTGAGCACCTACTATGTACCAGGCCCTACTATGTTAAGTGCTGGTGAGATACAGTCAGACATAGTGCCTTCCCCTCAAGTATTTTGGCCCCATGGAGAGACTAAATGGAGGGTGGAGGGGCCCTGGCCTGGCAGTGTGCTCAAAGCCCAGAGGAAACGGTATGTCCTTCTTCCCCAGAGGAGTGGGGAAGGTAAGCTGGTGAAGAGAGGACAGATAGACTGACACTGCGGGCAGAATGGGCAGCCCTTGATGACACTGTGGGCATGGAGGTGAGGAAGGGGAGGAGCCAAGGAGGTCATCTTAAATCACAGCCTAAACACTGGGGCCGTGCCAGCCAGCTAGCAGTCTCGAACCTGGGTTCCCAGCCAGCACTAAAACTGCAGCAGACACCCCATGGGGGCAATCCAATTCTTTGCAAGTGTCCCAGGAGGTCTCTCCTGTTGAATCCTGTCCTGGACTCTCAGTGTTGCCCTAGCTCTAGGAGCTGCCTGAACGCCTTTCTGCTATTGGCAGGGCATTTGGCCTACATCTCAGTGGAAATACAAAACAGCTCCTGACCACCCTGAACTTCCTTCTTCTCCTGGAGACATTCCATCTCACCATAGTCTTCTCCTCTCCACAACAGATAAGGCCGAGCAGTTCCTTCCGTCTTTTTTAGTAAAGAATTTCAAATAAGGTTTAATGACATTTCCTCTTCTCTGGAAATCTTTTTATGAAGTTATAAGAAACCAAATTGGATAATCAACTAAGACATGCTGAGTGAGGTGAATGGAGTGAGAGAGAGATGTAACTTCCATTTACGTAGCCTTGAATTGTGATGTGTTTTGTTTTGTTTTGTTTTGTTTTTTTCTGAGACGGAGTTTCACTCTTGTTGCCTAGACTGGAGTGCAATGGCGTGGTCTCGGCTCACTGCAACCTCTTCACCTCCCAGGTTCACGGAATCCTCCTGCCTCAGCCTCCCAAGTAGCTGGGATTACAGGTGCCCGCCACCATGCCTGGCTAAGTTTTTCATTTTTAGTAGAGACGGGTTTTCACCATGGCCAGGCTGGTTGTGAACTCCTGATCTCAAGTGATCCGCCTGCCTCGGCCTACCAAAATTCTGGGATTACAGGCATGAGCCACTGTGTCCGGCCCGCAATGATATTTTAATACAATAGTGATGAGTCACCTTAAGTGGTGACCCCAGATTTTCTATGCCATCATGCCACTGAATTAGAACTTTTCCCTACCATTTGCTATAGATATCCTCTGTCCCCACTGGACAGTCAGTAACACAAGAGAGTAAAGGAAGAAGTGTACACTCAGAGTGAGGAACATGGTAAGACAGGAGAATGGCAGTGGCTAGGAGCTGTGAAAGGGCAGAGGGAACGGGACACAGCATGGACTGTCTCAGGAGAGGAAGAGCCTCATTCCATACATTCCACAACAAACATGCACACATGCATGTGTGTGTCTGATACCTCGTGGAGGGAATTGGAAGGTTCTGGACTCCCGCCTAGGATACAGGATGGAGTCATTTCATTTAGATGTTAAGGAAATGGTGACCTGAAGACTAGAGGACTTGAGCACCTCTTGGTTACATTTGACTTATTCTGTCTCTGAAAGAGGGAAACAGGAATCCCAAAGAATCCCATTGGGTTCCTGCTCTTTGGACCCATCCTATCCTCCCAGTTTCTCCAATTTCTTCAAACCCTCTAACACCTGCCTAGTCTAAGGCCTCAAACTTGGAGTAGGTAGCAGCCCTGATGTGTCTGCTGGCTTGAATCCACCTGCATAGAACCTCCACGCCAACCTTCTGAAAACACCACTTTGATTTGTCACTCCTCAGCCAGCTCCTTCAGTGGCACCTCAGACCTCAAACTCTAGACCCCTTGTTTGGAATTCAGGTCCCTCAGTGATGTGGCCCAAACTCATTCCTAGCCCTATTTCCCATGATTCTTCAACCTCTCTGTTCAAGCCAATCTGGAAAACTCTCCAAGCTCAAGACCAGTCTCGTAGCTTTCTGCCTCCCCCGATTTTCCCATCACTGCAGGAACCACATGGATCCTTTGAGGCCCAAGGCAAATGTCACCTCCTCCAAGATGCCTTCCCCAGAGTCACCTTTCAATCTTGTGACCTCTCCCAGACTTTAGCATGCATAATTAGTAAATCATCTGCAAGTATTGTTAAAAGGCAGAGCATGTTTCAGTGAGTCTGGGATGGGCCTGAAATACTGCATTCCTAACAAGCTTCCAGGGAGGTCTATGCTATAGGCCAGGATCACTCTTGGTGTGGCAAGGTCTTAAGTACAACTCATATCATTTGAATGAAGTCAATCACATATGGCCTTGCATTGTTAATATTCAAGTATGTGCCTTAACTTCTCTTCTAGATTGAAAATTCATTGAGAGCAGGGATCCATGGAAAAGACAGTTTATGTAGTCAAAAGAGAGCCAGCAATAAAATCAGATAGCTCTAAATTAAAGTCTTAACTCTACCACTTACTTGCTATGACATTGAACAAGTCACATAATCTCTGAATCTCAGTTTCTTCATCTGTAAAATGGGGAGAAAAAATACTTTCCCTCCAGAGGATTAAAAGAAATCATGGTTGTGATTATGCCCAGCATACTGCCTGGTGCTGAATATATTTTAATATTGGCTCCCTCCTCTTTCTTTCATTATATAATTTTGGGATTTCCATGGAGTCTAGCATGTAGTAGGGGCTCAGGGAATCTTCTGGGCCCAACTTTTGCAGAAATTTCTGTTCTACCCATACAACTCTGTCTAATCCACACTGCTGAGCTTTCCTCTCTGTATATGATGCTCCAACAGTCACGGACTTTTTAATATTTTACAGTCACAATCCTCCTGTTTGTTGGTGAGTATGCCATGAGAAGCATACATATCTACTGACATCTACTAGGGGAAAAATGCAATTGTTTAGATTGGAAGTGAGAATTCATGAGACCTGAATTATGGTAAATAACCCATCCACTCTTGCTCGGTTTCTTCACCCATCAGGCATTTAGGACTTGACCCCACTGGTCCAGGGTTTTCTTTCCAACTGCATTCCATCAAAAAATATCAGTCCCATATCACATTTCCTCACGCTTACTGAATCTCTAGCGAATCAACTGAATCAATCTTTTCTGGGTTGCTAAAGGGACGTAACAGAGCATTTGACAGATATCAGAAGACCTCAGTAACAGTCCTGATTCTGCCACTAACTAGGAGTGTGATCTCTGGCAAATCACATCCCTTCTCTAAGCCTCAGTTTCCTTAACTGTAAAACAGGAGAGTTGGGCCAAGATGATCCATAAAATCTCATACTATTTTATTCTAGGCTAACAAACTGAATAGTCTCCCATTCCGAGCAACACATTTTCATTTTGACCAGGTCCCTGGTGCTGATACTGAAAGGCTCATGCCAGAAAAAGCAGTCCTCTCAGTGGGTAGAATCTTGACTTCTCTGAAATCACACCCCGAGAAGGCATTTTTTCAATTGGCCCGGTCCAGAGATACACTCTATGGCAGGCCAGCCAATAGCCAATCGTTAATTTTTTCCTGCTTGCTAATCAAACCCCAGTTTTATCCAAGGCAATATTATGATAGCCCAAGAGGTAAACCATGATTTTTCTAACCAAGAGTTGGTAAGCTTTTTCTGCATAGAGCCAGATAGTAAATATTTTAGGCTCTGTGGGCCACATATGGTCTATTCCTTTTCTTCTTCTTCCCCCCTCCGCCCCGCCCAACACTCTTTAAAAATGAAACAAAAAAAAAGCCCGGGCGAGGTGGCTCACGCCTGTAATCCCCACACTTTGGGAGGCTGAGGCAGGCGGATTATGAGGTCAAGAGATTGAGACCATCCTGGCCAACATGGTGAAACCCCATCTCTACTAAAAAAAAATACAAAAAGTAGCTGGACGTGGTGGTGCGCTCCTGTAGTCCCAGCTGCTCGGAAGGCTGAGGCAGGAGAATTGCTTGAACCTGGGAGGCAGAGGTTGCAGTGAGCCAAGATCGCGACACTGCGCTCCAGCCTGGTGACAGAGTGAGACTCCATTTCAAAAAATAAAATAAATAAAATAAAATAAAAATGAAAAAATTATTAGATCATGGGATGTATAAAAACAGCCCAAGGCTAGATTTGACCTGTGGTCAGTCCAATTATCATAATCTTATTCTTTGGACAAATCCTCTTTCATCCTTCCTTTCAGCTATAAATGATAGAGTTCTGGACAAAACCAACGTAAAATAAGTCTGTTGAGGGCTTCTGGGAAAGATTTTGTTGTTTTCTGATAAAAGAGAGACACACAAGAAGAAAAGTAGCTGGCACCTCCCCTTGTTCCATTTTATTGTCTTAAATGTGGACCTGATGCCTGGACCTGCAGCAGCTGCCTTGTGATTATGAGGTACTAACTCGGGGACAAAATACCAACAATGTGGGGACTCAGCAGAAAGACATAAACAGCCTGGGTCCTGGAGGATGCTGAGTTGTTGAATAAACCCCGGAGCCTACTCCTTCCCATCTTCGGTTAAATAAAATAATAAATATCTACATCATTTAAATCATCAGGTTTCTGTCTCTTACAATCCAAAGCATTCTGCTGGATTTTTGTTTTTTTGAGATGGGGTCTCACTCTGTCACCCAGGCTGGTGTGCAGTGGCATGATCTTGGCTCACTGCAACCTCCACCTCCCTAGCTCAAGCATTCCTTCCAACTCAGCCTGCTGAGTAGCTGGGACCACAGGCCAAAGCATTCTTAACATGCTAAAGCAGAGTGGTTTTTTCCCTCGTAAGTAATTTTTAAAACTTCAACCATGTCCTGTGCCAAGTACTGGGGTTACAACAGTGAACCACACAACATTTCTGCCTTCTTGGGGCTTTCTAGTCTAGTAAAGGAGATGACAAGGCACAATCAAATATTGACACTCCAGATCAATCACTAAGCAGGGGTGATGAGCTCTACTCTTGGTGTTCCTACTGGCAAATTATGAAATCTCCAGTGGCAAGTCTTTGAAACGTGAGGGTTCATTACTTTCTGAGAGGTAGACAAGTGCAAAAAACACTATAAAAGACTAATGCTGGGTCAGGCACAGTGGCTCATGCCTGTAATCCCAGCACTTTGGGAGGCCAAGGCGGGCAGATCACGAGGTCAGATTGAGACCACCGTGAAACCCTGTCTCTACTAAAAATACAAAAAATTAGCCAGGTGCAGTGGTGGGCGCCTGTAGTCCCAGCTACTCGGGAGGCTGAGGCAGGAGAATGGTGTGAACCCGGGAGGCGGAGCTTGCAGTGAGCCGATTTCATGCCACTGCACTCCAGCCTGGGTGACAGAGCAAGACTCCATCTCAAAAAAAAAAAAAAAAAAAGACTAATGCTGAAAGGCAGACATATAGACCTGAGTTCAAATCTCAACTCTACCACTTACCAGCTATGTGACTTTGGGCAAGACTCTTGACACCTGCTAGGGGGAAAAAATGCAATTTGGGCAGGGTGCAGTGGCTCATGCCTGTAATCCCAGCACTTTGGGAGGCCGAGGCAGGCAGATCACCGAGGTCAAGAGATCGAGACCATCCTGGCCAACATGGTGAAACCCCATCTCTACTAAAAATACAAAAATTAGTTGGACGTGGTGGCACGTGCCTGTAGTCCAAGCTGCTCAGGAGGCTGAGGCAGGAGAACTGCTTGAACCCAGGAGGCAGAGGTTGCAGTGAGCTGAGATCACTGCACTCCAGCCTGGCAACAGAGTGAGCTAGACTCTGTCTCAAAAAAAAAAAAAAAAAATGCAGCTTGGAGTGGGCTAAGGACTTGAAGGGAATTTGAATGCAAGTATGCTTGAGCTTCAATTTCTACATATGTAAGCAAAAGCTCATAATCATAAGCCACCTCTTTGGACTATTGTGAGAAAGAAATGAGATCATGGAATTAAAGCACTTCTCATTGCTCAATAAATGATAGCTATATATACATATTAACTATAAATATATACATATATACAATTTTGCTTAACAATAGTATTCTTAGAAAGAAAAAAGACTGGAAGGAAACACAAAAACATCAAGAATGGTTATCTCTACATAGTAGGATTAGAGGCAATTCTTTTCTTTCCTCAGATATTTTTCCAAATATATGTACATGTAACTTACAGTTGTGGGACTGTAAGTTATATTATATTTTTTTAAAATATAATCTTTGTGTTTTGAAAATAAATGCAAAATGTGAACTGAAACTTCTTTATTCTTTTATTTGGACAAGAGTCAGGTGGCCCATGTTCTAGATCTAGCACTGGTATTGACTTCTTGTATAAGCTTAGAAAGCCACTTCACTTCTCTAGGTCTCAATTTCCTTGTCTAAGAGTTGTTGATAATCAGACTTCCAGTTCCCTCCATGATAAAGTAGCTTGCACTAGATTAACTCACCCACCAAATTGTAAAAGCTAGATAAAATATACAAATAGCTATTTGGAAACATTGGAGAGCAATAAATGCAGACAGGACTAGAGGAACTACAAGCCTTGAAAGAAAGGAAGCACCAGAAGTAAGCTCTACAGCCACCTTGGCGTTTTCCCGAAACACCAAGATCTTTCCAAAGATCTTTCCCGAAAGATCTTTCCAAATTGCTACACTGGGAAATGGAACCCAAGCAAAGAGTATAGTCTATTGAGCTAAGGAGAGTTTGGGGATGACAGAGTAGCTAATATCTAAGGAGCAAAATTCCAAAGAGAAGAGAACTTTAAACAAAGAGACAAACATACTTGTATTCAAATTACCCCTCAAGTCCTTAGCCCACTCCTAAGCTATACATGCAGATTGAGAAAACAAGAAATTGAGGGAAAAGTAGCAGCTTAGAGACTAAAGAGCCAATCATTAATTGGTTAGGGTTGGAGTCCAAGCTGGGTCAAAGTAAAGGGAAGTCGGTAAACACCCAGTGCTTTCAGCAGTGAACCCAGAAAGGCCAGGCTTTAGGAATAAAAACCACACCCTAGTAGTACAGACAAAAGTGAAATAGACTAGACTTAAGCAAGGCTTGACAAGATTAAGGAGATCTGCTAGCTCTCTCTCTGCCTGCTAGAACAAAACTCAACACTTGCTGTGTTGTGGGAAGTCAGGGACCCCGAACAGAGGAACCGGCTGGAGCTGTGGCAGAGGAACATAAATTGTGAAGATTTCATGGACATTTTTCAGTTCCCAAATAATGCTTTTATAATTTCTTATGCCTGTCTTTACTTTAACCTCTTAATCCTGTTATATTCGTAAGCTGAGGATGTACGTCACCTCAGGACCACTGTGATAACTGTGTTAACTGTACAAATTGATGGTAAAACATGTGTGTTTGAACAATATGAAATCAGTGCACCTTGAAAAAGAACAGAATAACGGTGATTTTTAGGGAACAAGGGAAGACAACCATAAGGTCTGACTGCCTGTGGGGTCAGACAAAAAGAGCCATATTTTTCTTCTTGCAGAGAGCCTATAAATGGACGTGCAAGTAGGGAAGATATACTAAATTCTTTTCCTAGCAAGGAATATTAATATTAATATTCCTTGGGAAAGGAATGCATTCCTGGGGGGTGGTCTATAAACAGCCGCTCTGGGAGTGTCTGTCTTATGTGGTTGAGATAAGGACTGAGATATGCCCTGGTCTCCTGCAGTACCCTCAGGTTTACTAGGGTGGGGAAAAACTCCACCCTGGTAAATTTGTGGTCAGATCGGTTCTCTGCTCTCGATCCCTGTTTTCTGTTTTTTAAGATGTTTATCAAGACAATACATGCACCGCTGAACATAGACCCTCATCAGTAGTTCTGCTTTTGCCCTTTGCCTTGTGATCTTTGTTGGACCCTTATCAGTAGTTCTGCTTTTGCCCTTTGTCCTATTCCCTCAGAAGCATGTGATCTTTGTTCTGCTTTTTGCCCTTTGAAGCATGTGATCTTTGTACCTACTCTCTGTTCTTATATCCCCTCCCCTTTTGAAACCCTTAATAAAAAACTTGCTGGTTTGAGGCTCAGGCAGGCATCACGGTCCTACCGATATGTGATGTCACCCCCAGTGGCCCAGCTGTAAAATTCCTTTCTTTGTACTGTCTCTCTTTATTTCTCAGCCAGCCGACACTTATGGAAAATAGAACCTACGTTGAAATATTGGGGGTGCGTTCCCCCAATATTGTTGGAGAAAGCTAACATCCTTCACCCAGAGGCTCTGCAACTTTGCATTCATAATGTCCAGCATTGGATAAAAAACTATGAGGTATTATTGAAAAACCTCAAAAGGACCAAAAATACCTGAAATCCAAGAAATAGCCAGATAATAGAAATAGATCCAGAGATAATTCAGATACTAGACTTATCAGACAGGAACTTTAAAATAACCATGGATAATATGTTTGAGGAGATAGAGAAAAATATGGGCAAATTAGAGGAAATGGACAAAACAGAAGAAAAAATGGAGAATATCAATCAAGATTTAGAAACTATGAGAAAAGAATCAATTGGACCACCTACCACAGAAGAATACAATATCTGAAATTAAGATCACTTGGATGGGCTTAATAGAAGACTAGATATGATAGAAAATGGGAATTTAGAACTGAAAGGCAGGTCAATTAAAAAAATACAAAACTGAGGTACAAAGAGATGAAGATGGACAAACCAGAGCAAAACATAAAAAAATGAAGTATAATCGAAAAGTCTAATATTCATGTAACTGCAGCTCCAGAAGATGAGAATAGTGAGGGAGACAAAATATTTGAAGAGACAATGGCAAAGAATCTGCAAATTTGATGAAAGACAACACACAGATTCAAGAAGCTCAGTGATCCCCAAGAAGAATAAAAACAAGAAAGCCATATCTATGCACATCATAGTCAAACTACTGAAAACCAAAGGCAATGAAAAAATTTTTAAACCAGCCAGAGACAAAAAGACACATTGCATTCAAAGGAGTAACAATACATCTGATGACTAACTTTTCAATAGACATTTTTGGACCCCAGAAGACAGTGGAATGATAACTTTAAAGTGTTGAAAGGAAAATTAAAATTAAAAAAAGTCTCACCAACCTAGAATTTTATCACCAGCAAAAATATCTTTCAAAAATATATGTGAAATAAACATGTGTTTCATGATCTTCAGTATACTACACAGTATGATAATAAATCTGCAAGGAATTTATCTGAGTTAAAGAAAAAATGATTCCAGATGGAAGCATGAAACTGCTGCAGGAGAAAGAACCCTGGAAAGGGTAAATTTGTGAATAAATAAAAATAAATATTAACTGCTTAAAACAATAATAATTATGCCTTGTGGGGTGTATAACACTTGTACAAGATGTATCCATTAAAACCAGAGCTCAGAAGGTGAGAAAGAGGAAAATGAGGTTAAAATGTGATGGTGCTCTTTCACTGAGCTTGAAGTGGGGGAAGAAGTAATGTGAGGTAGATGTATTAATAATAATTAGTGAAGAATGCAAAAATGCATATTGTAATCCCTAATAGAACCACTCTAAAAGAA
The DNA here is from genome assembly GCF_000001405.40 of Homo sapiens. NCBI lineage: Eukaryota > Metazoa > Chordata > Mammalia > Primates > Hominidae > Homo > Homo sapiens. Next base: position 106,618,901 of record NC_000012.12, on the reverse strand, counting down.
TGTATAATTGAAAAGCTAGCAGAAGAAAACATCAAATATTTTTAAAAACTCTATTAATCCCTTCCCAAAAAGCTAAAAAGTAAGAATAAAGGAATAAAGACAGATGGGAAAATAAAAAATAAATAGTAAGTTTGTTGACTTAAACTCAATAATGTCAGTAACAATATTAAATTTAAATGGTCTAAATTCAAAGATTATCAGACTGGGTTTTGTTTTTCAAAAAAGCTATAGTGAAAAACTTTACTAAACTAAATGTAGTAAGATTATATAGTAAGATTGAAAATAAAAAGATGAAAAAGATATACCATATCAACCCATGTATAAAGAAAACTGGTGTAGCTGTATAATATCAGACAAAATAGACTTTAAAGCAAAAATTCTTACTAGAGAAAAGGTAGAAATATTTAACAATAATAAAAAAGTCATTTCAATAAGAGGACATAGCAATCCTAAATTTCTAAGAAATTAATACTTCAAAATATATAAAGTAAAAATTAACAAAGCTAAAAATATCGATAGCCATAACCATAATCAGAGCTGGAGATATTAACATACCTGTCATAGTAACTGAGAGAACAAACAATAGCAACAATAAAACAGTAAGGATATGGAATATTTAAATAACATAATTAACCAACTTCACTGTTGTTAATCTATAACATATGTTATCTATAACATATAATCTATGTATATAATCTATATACATATGTATATAATCTATAACGTATGTTAATCACATAACTGTTATCTATAAAACACTCCATCCAGTATACATTCAAAATGTACATTCAAAATGCAAAATACTCATTCTCCTCAAGTGCACATGGGCATTAACCAAAATAGACTATATGTTGGGACATTTAAAATATACATTCAGCTGGGCGTGGTGGCTCACACCTGTAATCTCAACACTTTGGGAGGCTGAGGCAGGTGGATCACTTGAGGTCAGGAGTTCAAGACCACCCTGGCCAACATGGTGAAACCTCATCTCTACTAAAAATACAAAAATTAGCCAGGCATAGTGACAGGCACCTGTAATCCCAGCTACTTGGGAGGCTGAAGCAGGAGAATCTCTTGAACCTGGGAGGCAGAGGCTACAGTGAGCTGAGATTGCACCACTGCACTCCAGCCTGTGTGACAGAGCGAGGCTTTGTCCCAAAAACAACAACAACAAACCCAAAATGTACATTCAAAATGCAAAATATACATTCTTTTCAAGTGTGCATGGACATTAACCAAAATAGACTATATGTTGGGACAGACACTAAGTCTCAACAATTTCAAATTTTGAAATAATACAGAATGTGTTCTGTGACCACAGTGGAACTAAAAGAGAAATCAACAACAGAAAGACAATTAGGAAATCTATGAATGTTTGGACATTAAGCAACAGATTTCTAAATAAACCATAAGTAAAAGAAGAAATCACAATAAAAAATTGAAAATATGTTTAACTGAACAATAATGAAAGTGTGATATCAGAAAAATGTTGGGATTAATTAAGCAATGCTTAGAGGAAAATTTATGACTTTAAATGTATATCTTAGAAAAGGTTGAAAATCAATAATCTAAGCACCTATCTCAAAAGCTAGAAAAAGACAGCAAATTAAACTGAAAGAAAGTAGAAGGAAGAAAGAAAAATAAGAGCAGAAATGAATGCAATTCTTAAAAGATATAAATTGAGAAAAACAACAAACCCAAAAGTTGGACCTTTGAAAAGACTAATAAAATTGATAAACCCTGGCAAGACTGATGAAGAAAAACAGAGAAAACATAAATTGCCAATATCAAAAATGAAAGAACATCAACATAGATGTCAAAAACAGACAAAAGTGGCCAGGCACAGTGGCTCACACCTGTAATCCCAGCACTTTGGGAAGCTGAGGCAGGCAGATCACAAGGCCAGGAGTTCGAGACCAACCTGGCCAACATGGTGAAACTCCATCTCTACTTAAAAAAAAAAAAATACAAAAATTAGCCGGGCATGGTGGCGCACACCTGTAGTCCCAGCTACTCAGGAGGCTGAGGCAGGAGAATTGCTTGAGTCTGGCAGGCAGAGGTTAAAGTGAGCTGAGATCACACCACTGCACTCCAGCCTGGGAGAAAGAATGAGACTCCGTCTCAAAAAAAGTAAAGGCAAAAGTAATAAAAGGAAAGTTTGAACATAGTGTAAATAAACTTGAAAATTTAGATGAAACAGATTCCTTAAAAGTAACAATTTACTAAAAGTAAAAAAAGAAATAAAAATATAAATAATCCAATAACTATTTAGAAAATTGAATCCATCATTAAAAACTTTCCCTCAAAGAAAATTCCAAACCCAGTTGTTGAATTCTTCCAAACAATTAAGAAATAAAGAATACCAATCTTATATAACTCTTCAAAACAATAGAGACATAGGAAACTTCCTACCCCTTTTCATGAGACCTCTGTAATCTTGACACCAAAACCTGACAAGAACATAATAAAAAAGAAATATCATAGGCCACAAATCTCATGAACATAGATGCCAAAATCCTTAACAAAATCCAGCCTGAAATATATAAAAATCACACCCAGAAGTATATAAAAAAGATAATACTCTGACCAAGTGTGATTTATTACAGGAATGCATGATTGGCTTAACATTCAAAATTCAACCGATGTAATTCCCAGTATTAATAGAATAAAGGAGAAAAATATATGATCATCAAAACAAATGTAGAAAAAGTGTTTGATAAAATTCAACACCCATTTAAGAAAAGTCTCTCAGAAAACCAAAGATAGAAGGGAATTTTCTCAACCTGATAATGAGTATCTACAAAAATCCACAGCAAACATCTCACCTAATGGTGAAACACTAAATGCGTTCACCACTTAGGTTGGGAAAAAGGCAATGATGTCCACTATCACCACATCACCTCAAAATTGCACTAGAGAACCCAGCCAGTACATAAGACACACAAAAGAAATAAAAATACAAAGATTATAAAGGAAGGTGCAAAGCTGTCATTATTCTCAGGTGACATGATGATGTTCATAGAATGTTCAAAAAATGCAAATTTTAAATTAATAAGCACATTTAGCAAAGTGGCTAAATATGAAGTTATTATCTAAATAATTGATTATCATATGCTAGCAACTAACAATTAGGAAAAACTTTAAAATATTACTACTTACATTAGCATTGAAAAACATCAATTATCTAGGAATAAGTCTAAAGAAAGATGTGTAAAATCTCTACAGTGAAATCTACAAAACACTGCTGGGAAAAATTAAAGATGATCCAAATACATGGAGGCTCTAATACAACATATATTAATTGGAAATTTGATGTTGTTAAGGTGTTCTTCCCAAATTTATTATAGATTCAATGCAATCCCCATCAGAAATCCTAGCAGGTATTTTGCATATGTGAAAAAATGACAACTAATTCTAAAATCAATATGGAATTGTTAAGAATGTAGATTAACCAAAACAATACTGAAGAAGTAAAGAAGAACAAGAGGTCTTATGCTACCAGATATCACGACTTATTTTATAGGTGCAGTAATAAAGACTGTAGTATTAGCCCAAAAATAGACAGTAAGACCAACAGTTTGGAATAAAAGTCCAGACCCAGATCCAAATATATATAATCTGCCAATTTATGATGAAGGCACCACTGAAACTCAGTGGTTAAAGAGTGACCTTTTCAAGAAATCGTGCTCTATCAGTTGAAAATTAATAAGAAAAAAAAGAACTTTGATTACTCCTTCACACCATACACAAAAGTTCCAGATGAACTATTGATATAAAAATGAAAGGTAAAATAGTAAAGCTGCTAGATGATATGTTAAAAAGACCTTCATGAACTTCAGGTAAGCAAAAATTTCTTAATAGGATACCAAAGCACTAACTATAAAAGAAAAACATTAATTAAATTTTATTAGAATTGAAAACTTGTGTTCATAAAAGTTATTATGAGAATATAAAAGCAACCCACAAACCAGGAGAAGATATTTGTAATACTTTTACCTGACAAATATTAATATCTCCTATTCAAGATATAAAACCAACTCTTACAAACCTTTAAGGAGAAAACCAACAACATAATTTTTAAAAACACACAGGCGGCCAGGCGTGGTGGCTCACGCCTGTAATCCTAGCACTTTGGGAGGCCAAGGCGGGTAGATCACGAGGTCAGGAGATCGAGACCATCCTGGCTAACACAGTGAAACCCCGTCTCTACTAAAAATACAAAAAAATTAGCCGGGCGTGGTGGCGGGTGCCTGTAGTCCCAGCTACTCAGGAGGCTGAGGCAGGAGAATGGCGTGAACCCAGGAGGCGGAGCTTGCAGTGAGCCGAGATCGCGCCACTGCACTCCAGCCTGGGCAATAGAGCGATACTCCTTCTCAACCAAACACACACACACACACACACACACACACACACACACACACACAGGCAAAAGACGTGAAGAAGGGCCGGGCACAGGGGCTCACGCCTGTAATCCCAGCACTTTGGGGGGCCGAGGCAGGTGGATCATGAGATCAGGAGTTCGAGACCAGCCTGGCCAATATGCCGAAACCCAGTCTCTACTAAAAATACAAAAATTAGTTGGGCATGGTGGCATGTGCCTGTAGTCCCAGCTACTTGGGAGGCTGAGGCAGAAGAATCACTTGAACCTGGGAGGCAGAGGTTGCAGTGAGCTGAGATCATGCCACTGCACTCCAGCTTGGGTGACAGAGTGAGACTCCGACTCAAAAAAAAAAAGACATGAAGAGGTAATTCACAAAAGATACAAATGTCTAATGAGCATATAATAAGATGCTACAGTCATTATTTATCAGAAAAAATGCAACCAAAATGACATATGCTATTCACCCATGAAAATAGCTAATATTAGAAGGAATGGCTATCCCAAATGTTGGCAAGGAAGTGAAACACTGAAACTTATAAATTGATAGTGGGAGTCTAAATTGGCACAACTTTAGAAAACTGTTTCGGCAGTATCTACTAAAACTAAATATACCTATACATTATGATCTAGCAATTCTACTCCTGGGAACATACCAACAAAATAAGTGCTCATGTTCACCAAAAGATATACAAGAATGTTCAGAACTCTAATCCTCAAACTCCTTCAAAATAATGAAAGAGGAGGGAACATATTCGAATTTATTCTATGAGGCCAGCATTATCATGATATGAAAGCCAGACAAAGATACTACAAGAAAAGAAAACTACAGACTAATATCCCTTATAAATATTGATGCAGGCCAGGCGTGGTGGCTCACACCTATAATACCAGCACTTTGGGAGGCCAAGGAAGGTGGATCACCTGAAGTCAGGAGTTGGAGACCAGCCTGGCCAACATGGTGAAACCCCATCTCAACTAAAAATACAAAAAATTGGCTGGGTGTGGTGGTGGGCGCCTGTAATCCCAGCTATGTGGGAGGCTGAGGCAGGAGAATCGCTTGAACCTGGGAGGCAGGGGTTGCAGTGAGCCAAGATTGTGCCATTGCACTCCAGCCTGGGCAAAAGAGTGAGACTGCATCTAAAAAAAAAAAAAAATTGATGCAAAAATCCTCAGCAAAATACTAACAAACAGAATTCAGCAGCATAGTAAAAGGACTACAGATCATGACCAAATGGGATATATTTCTTGAATGCAAGGATGGTCTGGCATACAAAATCAATAAATACATTATATTGATTGATTTTTGTTTGCCAGACCATCCTTGCATTCAAGGAAGGAAAACTACATAACCATCTCAACTGATGCAGAAAAAGCATATGACAATACTCAACACCATTTTATGATAAAAGCACTCAATAAACTAAGAACAGAAGAGCATTACCTCAACATAATAAAGGTCATATATAAAAAAACAACAGCTAACGATGGTGAAAGACTGAAAGCTTTTTCTCTAGAATCAGGAACAAGACAAGGTTGCCTGCATTCACCACTTCTATTCAAAATAGTACTAGACGTCCTAGCCACAGCAATTTGGCAAGAAAAAGAAATAAAAGCATTCCAAATTAATAAAAAGGAAGTAAAGTTATCTCTTTTCACAGATGAAATCATCTTTTTTTTTTTTTTGAGACGTAGTCTCGCTCTGTCACCCAGGCTGGAGTGCAGTGGTGCAATCTTGGCTCACTGCACCCTCTGCCTCCCAGATTCAAGCTATGCTTGTGCCTCAGCCTCCCAAGTAGCTGGGATTACAGGTGCCTGCCACCATGCCCAGCTAATTTTTGTATTTTTAGTAGAGATGGGGTTTTGCCATATTGGCCAGGCTGGTTTCGAACTCCTGACCTCAGGTGATCCACCTCCCTCGGCCTCCCAAAGTGCTGGGATTACAAGTGTAAGCCACTACACCTGGCCGAAATGATCTTATATGTAGAAAACCCCAAAGATTTAACACATACCCAAACACAAAAGTACTGTTAGAACTAATAAATGAATTCAGCAAAGTTGCAGGACACAAAATCAGCACACAATAATCAGTTGCATTTCTATACACTAAGAATGAGCAATCTGAAAAGGAAATTAAGAAAATTTCATGTACAATAGCATCAAAAAGAATAAAATACTTAGGAATAAATTTAACCAAGGAAGCAAAACACTTGTACACTGAAAACTAGTAAATGTTGTTGCTGAAAGAAACTAAAGACACCAAATAAATGGAAAGACATCCTGTGTTCATGGACTGGAAGACTTACTATTAAGATGTTAAAACTATCCAAAGCAATCTACAGATTCAATGCAACACCTATCAAAACCCGAGTGGCATATTTTTTTTTCCAGAAATAGAAAAATCCATTCTAAAATTCATATGGAATCTCAAGGGACTTTGAATAGCCAAAACAATCTTGAAAAAGAAGAACATGAAAGGTCACACATTTCCTGATTTCAAAACTTACTACAAAGCTACAGTCTAGTTCTGTCATAAAGACAGACATATAGACCAATGGAATAATATGGAAAGCCCAGAAATAAACCTCCACATACATGATCAAATGTTTTTTGACAATGGTGCCAAGACATTCAATGGGGGAAAGAATAGTCTTTTCAACAAATGGTGCTGGGGAACCTGGATACCAACATGTGAAAGAATAAAGCTGGACTACAGCAGGCACAGTGGCTCATGCCTGTAATCCCAGAACTTTGGGAGGCTGAGGGGGGCAGATCACGAGGTCAGGAGTTTGAGACCAACCTGACCAACATGGTGAAACCCTGTCTGTACTAAAAAAATACAAAAATTAGCCTGGCGCAGTGGCATGTGCCTGTAATCCCAGCTACTCAGGAGGCTGAGGCAGGAGAATCACTTGAACCTGGGAGGCGGAGGTTGCAGTGAGCCGAGACAGCGCCACTGTACTCCAGCCTGGGCAACAGAGTGAGACTCTGTCTGAAAAAAAAAAAAAGAATAAAGCTGGACTCTTACCTAATACCAGATACAAATGTTAGCTCAAAACAGATCACGAATCTAAATGTAAGGTCTAAAACTGTAAAACTCTCAGAAAAAAAAAAGGCGAAAACTTCACAACATTGGATCTGACAATGATTTCTTAGATATGACACTAAAGGCACAGACAACAAAAGAAAAAATAGTTAAATTGGATGCATCAAAATAAAAATTTCTGTGCATTAAAGAACACAATCAACAGAGTGAAAAGGCAACCCATGGAATAGGAGGAAATATTTGTAAGTCACATAACTGATAAGAGGTTAAGATCCAGAATATGTGAAGAACTCCTACAACTAAACAACAGAAAACAACCTGATTTTAAAATGGGCAAAGGACTTAGACATTTCTCCAAAGAAGATATGCAAATGGTGAATAAGCACATGAAAAGATGTTCAACATCACCAATCATTAGGGAATTGCAAATGAAAACCACAATGGGATACCATTTTATATTCATTAGAATGGCTATTATTAAAAAAAAAACAGAAAATAACAAATGATGACTAGGAAGTGGCAAAATTGGAACTCTTGTGCCTTGCTAGTGGGAATGTAAAATGACGCAGCCACTATGAAAACCAGTTTTGTGGTTTCTCAAAAAATTAAACACAGAGTTACCATATGATCCAACAATTTCATTTCTGGGTATATACCGCCAAAAGAATTAGGAGCAGAGACTTGAAAAGATATTTGTATGCCTGTGTTCAAAACAGCGTTATTTACAGTGACCAAAAGACAGAAACAACTCAATTGCCCATCAATGTCTTAATGGATAAAGAAAATGTGACATATCCATACAGAGGAATATTATTCGGCCTTCAAAAAGAAGAAAATTCTGACACATGCTACAACATGGATTAACCTTGAAGGCATTATGCTAAGTGAAATATGCCAGTCATAAAAAGACAAACACCATATGACTTCACTTATATAAGATACTTAGAGCAGTCAAATTAACAGAGGCAGAAAGTAGAATAGTAGTTGTCAGAGACTGAGGGAAAAGGAGAATGAGGAGTTACTGTTTAATGGGTACAGAGTTTCAGTTTAGGAAGATGAAGAAAGCTCTGGAAATGAATGGTGTAGATGGCTGCACAACAAGGTGAATGTACTTAATGTCAATGAATTGTACATTTCAGATGATTAAATACTAAATTTTATGTTATGTAGATTTTGCCAAACTTAAATAAAACTTAGAATGTTCAGATATGTTTCATTCTTTTTTTTTTTTTTTTTTTTTGAGATGGAGTCTCACTCTGTTGCCCAGGCTGGAGTGCAGTGGCACAATCTTGGCTCACTGCAAGCTCTGCCTCCCAGGTTCACGCCATTCTCCTGCCTCAGCCTCTCGAGTAGTGTTTTATTCTTAATAATCAAAAACTTGAAACAACTAAATATTCATCAACACTTAAAAGGATCTGTAAACTGTGATATACTCATACAGTGAAATACTATACAGCAATGAAAAAGAAATAACTACTGCTAGAGACAACAAGATGAATGAATCTCACAGACATTATACTGACTGAGAAAAGTTACACACAAAAGAATACAGAGTCCATTATCCCATTTACATGAAGTTTTAAAAGCAGGCAAAAACGGGCTATAGTGATAAGTCAGGACAGTAGTGATTGACAGGGAGGAGACATGAGGAAGCCTCCTGGGGGACAAGAAAGGTTCTATATCTTTTTTGGGTAGTAATGACACCAGTGGATACAATATGTAAAGAAAAAAAAAACCCCATCAAACTAATTACACAAGATTTGTATACTTTATGTTCAATGTAGCTCAATTTTATAAAATGAAGTGACATGGTGATGATAGAATGACAATGCCAGCTAAGACTCAGGAGGGGGCTATTGAGTAGATCTAGCAAACATGCTAGGGGATTGTGGAGCAGGTGGGCCGGGGCTCATGCTTTCAGAAAACTGAACGAAGGAGATGCACTTTACCAACCATGGAAGAAAGACACTTCTGACTCTGCAAAAAATTAGACTTATAATAAGCTGATCCCTCTTTTTTAGTGTTTAAGGGAAAAAATACAAGTCCCATGTAGCCTACTGCTCTTAATATAGCACCCAGAAGCCCCAGTCTGACATAACACAGGACAAGGTGTAAACACAGGATGATACATCTTTCAGTTAACTCTAGCTCTCTAGTCCAAGAACCGGAAGAAATTTCTGCTTTCTGATATCAAGGACATTTATGGCTAAAACAACTATCCTGTGACACAACTACTTTGAACCCATATTTACAGTGGACACTGAGAATGGCCTTTCCCAACCAGGGTCCACATTTGCCCGCCTAGAGCGTCACTATAACAAGGTTTTTGGGAATGCAGGCTAGCAAGTCTCCTGCAGAAGATGAGTATGTAAACAGCAAGTTTTTGCTGTGGTCTTAGTTTCCAGGTCTTCCTGAATGGATTCCTCTCCCCATTGTGGAATATTACAGAGAGGACCTGGGATATTTCATAAATAGCTAGAGAGTGTCTTGTTCCAGGTGACTTGGCCCAGCCTAGCAATCTAGTGGCACTACCCTCCCATCAGGACATTGGCCATGTCTGGGATGTCATGGAAGAATGAGTTTCAAGCACTTACTTTCATCATTAGAAACATTCCCCAGAGATGTGTGGCTGGAATAACGTTTGTTTTCACTTTCGTTGAGACATCTTTCAATCCAGCTCTCTAAAAAAAAAAAAAAGAAAGAAAGAAAGAAAAGAAAAAGAAAAAAGAAAATCACAGAATTGCTGTGGGTGTTTGTGAAGAGACAGAACATCATAAATGCATTAGATTTAAATGCTCATCAATATTCATGTGGCATCTGCCCAGATTGGAATGGGATTTTGCATGGAGTTCCATGTGCACCATTGCTGCTGCTGATGAGACTGCTGAGTAGTTTGGATGCAAAATGGCTCTTTGAAGCCTCACTTGAGTACTTCTTGGTCAGATTCCATGAATTCTGGAGTATTTGTAGCACCAACTGAGGATTATCTTTCTGAGCAAAGAAGGTATGTTCCTGAGTAGCAGTTTGTAAAACCAGACTTGGCCAACTGAACCACTGGTGGTGATTTGTAAACTTGTGAATTAGCAGCAGAACTTTTCTTCAAGTGAAAACAAAGAGAAAAGCAGGTAAAACTTTAGGGACTCTGGTTGAAAGAGGGCAGGGAACCTTGTAGCTTGCCTCCCTTTGGCCAGGGACCCCTCAAAGAGCTCTCACAGACTGGAAGCCACAGCAGGAGAAGAAATCAAAAGCACTATGGTAGCTATGTAGCCCCTCTTTTTTTGTGTTTTTGAGACGGAGTTTTGCTCTTGTCACCTAGGCTGAAGTGCAATGGCGTGATCTCGGCTCACTGCAACCTCCGCCTCCCGGGCTCAAGCAATTCTCCTGCCTCAGCCTCCTGAGTAGCTGGGAAGGCACCCGCCACCAAGTTCGGCTAATTTTTGTATTTTTAGTAGAGACGGGGTTTCACCATGTTGGCCAGGCTGGTCTTGAACTCCTGACCTCAGGCCATCCGCCTGCCTCGGCCTCCCAAAGTGCTGGGATTACAAGCGTGAGCCATGGTGCCCAGCCACTATGTAGCCCTTTTAAAATCCAAGACTATGGTTTGTTTTTTTTTAATCCAATTTCAAAGGCTACCAATGTATTTTTTGCAATGTAGTGTAATACTTATTCTGTTTTCTAGACCACCCACCATTCATTCATTCATTCATTCATTCATCATTCAACAACATCAGCTAAGTACAGTCAGCTCTGCTATAACACTTGTCCTGAGAAAACAAATGCGTCCCAATGCAAGTGATATATTTGGGAACAATTTGAGCATAGTGCAAACTTTGTGTCTTTTTATGCTCCATTTATTTCATAAAAAAATTAGGTGAATGCAGAAAACTCCACGCCCCCCCCACCCCACCCCCCATTATACTTAGCACCACAGAAATATGCAGAACACACTCACGTTCACACCTCAGACACCTACCAGCTACTTCGGTCCACGTTGTGTTATGAGTCACACCTGCTCACTTCATAATAACTCACAGGCTGCAACCCTTCTGATACCCACCTCTAAAAGCAATCTTCAGGTCTTTTCCAAGGTGAAGTGCCATTTTTATTGTATTTGTGTATTTCTAAACCATTTAACACGTGCAAAACTGTGATATCATTTTTATTAGGTTTCTATCTTTTATTATGTGTCATTGACAAAGTTTTTCAGCATTGTGCCCCTAAGCTTATTTTTCCAGTAAACTGAGTGGTCTTTGTTGGCCGATTCTGTATAATGTGGTGATTTTTAGGAAGGCATATGGGGTATTATAGCAGAAGTGGCGACACCTATGGCTGCAGGCTTTTGGACAGTGTGGTTTCCCATTGCCTTCTTTATGATCTGGGAGCTGGTATTTATTGAACACCTATTTGAACATGCCAGGCCCTCTGCATAAGTTATTTCATTGAGTCCTCACAACAACTCTCTGAAGCAAGGATTTTAATCTCTGTTTTTCCTAGAAAGCAACTGGGATTTAGAGGGATTAAGTAATGTGACTCCTCATAATTCAAAGAGCCGAGGAAAAGATCATTAGTTAACACCTTAGGTTACACACCATAAAAAGAAGCCACGCGGACGAGTAAGCTATGCGGAGAGGGGAAATCAATGCCAACAGCTGGGAGAAATGTCGGATTTTTGTTTTGTTTTGTATTTTATGTCCCAACAAACTGCTCTTTTAAAAGCTGCTTCCAAAATTGTGAATAAGTAGGGGGAAAATATCTGAGGGGAAGAACAAGGGCCAGCTTGTTGAGAGGATATGGAAATCTGATATTTCCCAGGAAATACTGAGGAGCAGAGAAATTCAAAACATTAAAACGCTGCACCTTCCAGACATCGAATGCACAATGTGGAGACAGACAGCTTGTAATGTTTCAAAGCTGGGATGCACAAGGTAGGTGTCTGTCATCACACTGTATCCAAACGCACATCTGGTTACACATCTCCAGAGTTCTTTTCAGGATTCTCCAGAATGACTCCACTCACTTCTTCTCATCCTTTCAAGTCCTGGCACATTTTCCCTGGCAGCAGCCATAGCTACATTTAGATGGCATCTGCTAAAGTTTGCAGCCCCTGCCTCCACCAAACCTTACCACCAAAAGCAATATCTATAGTTCTGGGCCAACCCCTGGTCTTCCTAGATAGGTATACACACCCAGTCACTCTCACACACACACTCACATCTACACCCCAATCCCCCTTTCATCAGGAACTAAGGGAAACACTCTCCCTCTCACCCATTTGCCTGCACTGGATTCAGGCCTGATAACATCAAGGTCCTTAGAAGGGCCTGTTCTTGCAGGTGAGAACCCCCTGTGATTGATGGGACATTCTCTGAAAACTTCGTGGCAACATTCCCGAGAGAAGCTGGTTCTATTAACCAGGTAAGCCAAGAGAGCACAGTGCCCACCCGCAAGAGTTTGAGTAAAGAAAGAACTTTCCTCACGGCAGCACCTGTCCTCCACACTGTGCAATCCCACACTGGAGAGAGATGAAAGCAAGGCTACAAGAAGTGGGAGAGGGTGGGAGGTGCCATGAAAATGAAAGAGAAGACATCTCACCCATTGCACCCACTCAGATCACTCTGACCCCACAGTCTATGCCTGTAGCCAACTCTGCTCCCTGGGGCAATCCAGAATAAGTCTGGTCTCACTGGCACATTGCAGATATGAGAAGACAACCATCATTTCACCATATTTCTGGTTGAAGTACCCCCATCAAAGAACCACATTTGTTTCACCTCTTTCTTGGAAGAAATTGTTCCCATTTCTTTGCCATCCAGTTCACCTGCTTCTGGGTGTCTTCTAGTTAATCAATGTCCATGTGAACACGTGGCACTTGGGATAGACTCTGAGGGTTCAGACAATGGTCTGAGCAGTGAAAGAACCATCACCTATGTTGTTCTGGACAGTTAGAGTTCTCATGCATTCAAGGGTCTTGCATTTCAGACTATGTGGATGCAACACTCTGAGATATCCAAACCAGATTCGGGCCTTGGATCTGCAGGTGCACTTTGACCTCTGACTTCTTCCCTAGTGGAGCCCTTAGGAGTGGCATCTCCAATTCATGTCTCACAAGCCAGGTAGCTTCCTATGACTGGAAGGCCTCTATTTAGGTCAACTGAAGTCAATGTTATATACTTTAAAATTATTCTTAACAATGGATTTTGGTCTTGCAGAGGTCAAGAATTACTTAAGCAGAATGACATGTATACTGAATTTTGAATGAAACACTGTGTTCTTCCACCTTATTGATTTGTAGATGATGTGATTTCATAATAATAAAGTTCACTGTATATTGAGCTCTCACTATGGGTGAGGTATCATACAACTGCATTACATACATCATCATACTTAATACTCATCACAATCCTAGAGGTGGGTGCTATTAATAGGCCCATTTTAGAGATAAGAACACTAAGGCTCAGAGAGATTCAGTGACTCGTCCAAAGTCATCTGGCTAGTAAGAGGAAGACCAGCATTCAAATTCAGGTCATAATCACAGTTCTCTCTCCAAATGTGAACTGAGCTTTCTCCTTTTTCTATGTCCTGTTTAGTCCCCAGAACAATGTGCCAATTCTGCAGCATTTTTCTCAGTCTGCTTTGTATTCGAACTTTTCCTAAAACTCTACTTACATAATTTTGCTAAATTCATTTCCATATTCTTTGTCAGCCTTTGTCATACACAACAGCCTCTTCAGTTTAGAACTTAAACCACTTAATAATGGAGCCCGTTTTATTCTATTTCTTTTGACTCTCTACTAGTACTGTTATAAAATTTTTCCTGTAGTCTGGCCTCAATAACTGTTACATTAGTGACACACATGTCAAAGAATGCATAGCATATAAGTAGATACATCCACATATCTATAGAATTTCCTAATCATTTTCTTTTTTTTTTTTAACCACATAAGGCATGGAAAAGTATAACATATCAAAGGCGATTTTCCAAATAAAGCAAAATTCAACACACATTTATTTTGTGCCTTCCAGATGCAAGAAGCTGTGCTAAAGAGAAGCTGTAGCGGCCAGGTGTGGTGGCTCACACCTGTAATCCCAGCACTTTGGGAGGCTGAGGCGGGCTGATCACCGGAGGTCAGGAGTTCAAGACCAGCCTGGCCAACATGGCGAAACCCCGTCTCTACTAAAAATACAAAAATTAGCCGGGTGTGGGCAGCACACGCCTGTAATCCCAGCTACGCAGGAGGCTGAGGCAGGAGAATCACTTGAACCCTGGAGGCAGAGGTTGCAGTGAGCCGAGATTGCACCACTGCACTCCAGCCTGGGTGACAGAGTGAGACTCCATTCTCAAAAAAAAAAAAAAAAAAAAAAGAGAGAGAAGCTGTAGTGATATAAACATGAATAAGACTGGCTTCTGCCCTCTAGTTACCAAGTAGAAAGTAAGGCACGTGCTACTCCCTGAGCTCATGAGAGTGGGACCCTGTCATTTTTGTCCATCATCTCACACCCAGTGGCTGGCGCTGTGGCTGGCTCCATAGATGTCGCACAATAAATGCATGCTTTTTCTAAAAACTTTATTAAGCTCCTATTGTGTGGCAGGTACCATAGAAGCCATTTTCACATATGTTGTCTAAATTGGGACCAGAACAACATTACATGTTATGTTTTCATATCTCTATTTATAGATATGGAAAGTTAGGCTTGAAGCAAAAGTTCTAAAAGGAAGGCAGACTGTGATCAATGCTGCAATACTGGTACTGAGTTCTGGGGACTGCATGGGACATAGGAGAAAGAGAGTTCAGTTCATACTGGGATAACTTCCTATTCCCAATTGCCTCATTCTTGATCTATAAAAATCATCTGACCTGTTAGTAAGGACCAAGCTTGTGCTAAGTGCCCAACGGGATTTGCCTACAGCCGTGAGCAGAGGCTCCTGGGCTGTGAAGCATCCCTTCCCCTGATTCATCTGGGATTATGGGCAGAAAGGAGGAGGCAGATAATGCCTATGGATTTTCACTTTCAGGGAGTTCAGCCCACATACCTTAGAGGAAGATCTTTATGCCTCTGCACTTTGGACTGAAGATTTGGAAACCCCAATGTGAAGTTATTTTCTCGGGTACATATAATGAGGTTGAGCAGAGCCATATATAGTTATCATGTTTTCTACAAGGCTTCATTCTCTTTACAGCAGCAAAGAATAACCCAGAAGTAGCCGCATCAGGGACATGGCACGTCCAAGGCAGTTCAAGGTTCAGAGTGGTGCCTCACAAACCCATATTGACCTGGCAGGGAGGGCCTATTAAGACGGTTATCAAGAGCCAGGTAATCCTTGAAGTTTATAGCACACACTGACAGCAACCTCTTAGATTATCCCTGCATCCATTTATTCATTTTCCAATAATTATCAAGTGCCTTCGATGTTCAAACAGAGGGGATGAACAAAAGCTATTCAACAGGACACACATATATTACACAGGATATCTCTGGTGGACTAGCGTCTCAAGACCTAAAAGTATCTTGGGTTTTTTTGTTTATTCCATTTCTTTAAATCACTTATTTTTCCCACCCTTAACATGTAAGTTCGAATGACCTTGTCTATCTTGTTCAGTACCTTGTCCCCAAGAGCCTAGTACAGTACTGGGCACATAGCTGTAGCGATGCTTGTGATGAAGAAAAGTAAAGGAAGAAAAGAATAGAGAATGAGAGACAAGGAGGGGGGATTCTCCACCAGAAAGGCCTCTGGGAAGAAAGAGCCTATGAGCAGACACTGAGTTTAGTGAGGGAGCAAGGTTTCCCAAGATTCAGAGAGAGGGGACCACAAGGGCGAAGGTTACCCCCAACCCCAGGAAAGATCATGCTTGACTTGTTTGAGGAATGGCAAGAAGGCTCAGGTGGCTGATGCAGAGTGACTGACGGGGAGGTGGTGCAACATGAAAGAGAAGACAGAGACGGGCTTGGGAGAATGTGGGGTTTGGAGCTCAAATCTGACTGGATTTCAAATCCCAGCCTGGCCACTTACTAGTTATGTAACATTGGGATGGTTCCTAAATTGTCCTAAATTCCTACCTACCTGATTTCTTCAAAGATTAACTGGAATTATAAAGGTAAGGCACTTAGTGTGTTTGGCTTTAAGGGCCATAGAAAAATGAGGAAGGCATGGTTTCTATCCACCAGGAACTCACGGCTGAGTGACAGGGACAGATGCCTAATGGTGATGTCTGGCATTTATTGAGTAACCTCCAGGGCTGGTTGCCCCGCTCCACATGCTTCATCTCTGTTGCTCGCAGCAACTGAAGCAGAGACTTGACTAACTTTGATTTGCAAGAATGAAACTCAGATCCAGAGAAGCTAGTTGATGGCTGAGCTAGGTCAGGTCTGCCTGACTCCGAGGCTGGGGTGCACTCACTGCCCTCATGCCCACACTGCCCACACTGCCTCTACAAGCAAGCAGGTACCAGGAGTGTTTGGTATTATAATAAGATGCTGTGGGGCATAGAGAGGAGAGCTTCCATGGAGAGGAAAGCCTGGCTGCTTCACAGAGGGGGTGGCATTTCAGCTGGTCCTTAAAGGATTCAGCACCTGCCAGACCAAGGAGGGAAGCAGGGCATTTCAGGCAGGAGGGCTGCCTTCAGGA
This sequence comes from Homo sapiens, assembly GCF_000001405.40. NCBI lineage: Eukaryota > Metazoa > Chordata > Mammalia > Primates > Hominidae > Homo > Homo sapiens. The sequence goes on along the minus strand of NC_000012.12, from coordinate 106,601,852 downwards.
CAAAGGCACAAAGCTGTGAAAGGCCTGGTGGTTCTGGGAAAGGTGAAGAGTTCGCCGACCTGTGACTCCCAGTGGTGGGAGACAGGTGGAAGAGTCCGTTAGGAGCAGATTGCAAAGGCCTTGCCCGCCGGGCCCACCAGGCCGCGAAGCCTGCAGGCAGCTGGGAGCCAGCCGTGGTGTTCAAGCAGTGGAGAAGTGAACACGCTGAGTTTTGTTCCTGAGGCACTGGATGAGAACAGGGAGGTCCTGACTTATGCAATACCTGCAGAAAACGCTGCCTGACTTAAAAAGTGTCACCGGGATTTAATAGAGGCCATTATTCACACTATATCAACAGTCTCTCAGGGCACTGTGCTGAGGCCTATTTTAGGAAATTGCAGCTCCAGAAACGCTACATAAAAGAGTTGACATGCCACACTCACAGCTACCAAGGCGGGCCTGGCCCCAGTTCCCCCTGAGGGTGCCAGGCCCACCCCAGTCTCCTGTCCCTGGGCCCTGGTCATTACCAGTGGAACGGCGCCGTCGAGGCCTGGTCCTGTCGCCTCCCGCACCAGGGTGGGCTCTCCTTTTGATCATTCTGTCTCAGCCCCTTTCTGTCTCTCTCCTGGCTCCCTGCCGGTGGCAGTGGCGACACACAGGAGTTTGGAGAAGCCCAGGAAGCCAGCAGCTGTGGCCTCTCCAGGGGGTGGCTCAGGTCAGTGGGTTGCCATGGCAACGCCACAGGTCCTGCCCCAGGGGCTGCTGGGTTCCAGGAAGGGGCCCTGCCCTGCCTCTGCTTTCATTCCTTCCCTCATTTACCAAATATTGATTTAGAACCTACTGTTTGACAGGCTCTGAGCAGCTAGTGATCAACATGGCAGACAAGGTCTCTGCTCTCAGAGAGCTTATATTCTGTGGCGGAGACAGAGACAAATTAGCAAGAAGACAGCAGAAAGTGAGTGTTATGAAGAAAATAAAGCCATAGAATGGGAGATCAAGAGAGGTGGGGGTGCTTTTTGGGCAGTGGGGACACTGAAGGCCTCTCTGAGGAGGTGATGTTGGAGTGCAAGGGCCTGGGTGGGCTTGGGTGTGTGAGGAGGAGCCAGGAGGCCAGCATGACGAAGCGGGAGGTGGGGAGAGCAGCAGGAAATGAGGTAGAAAGTTGGGAAGAATCCAAAGTATGTAGGGACTCGCAGACCCTCCTAGGAACTTCACATTTATTCCAAGTGCGCTAAGAAGCTATTGGAGGACTTTAAACAGGTGATGCGGACTGCACTGGCTCAGAAAGGGTAACCCACATTCATTCATCCCTGTCTGCATTTGGCAACTATTTATGGGATACCATGCACCAGGGGCTGGCTACACAGGAGGGACACAGCCTCGATAGACAGTTCTTTTTGGAAGATTAGAGTTTAGTGTGGTCAACTATAAATAATCATACAAACAGAGATGCAATTACCAAGAGTGCCACGCGAGAGAAAAAAAGGGGGGTTGGGTCTAATCTGGGGGAGTTAGGAAGCTTCTTGGAGGAAGCAGCATTAAACTGGCAGCTAAAGAATGCGAAGGCATGAACCAGGTAGAGAGGGAGGAAGCGTGTTCCTGGCAGAAGGAACAGCATGTGCGAAGTTCTTGAAGCAGGCAGAAGAAAGATGCTTTCAAGAAACTGACAAGCAGCCTGAGCATGACTACACACATTGATTCAGGTATCAACACGTGTTTCCTGATATTATCCTGCTTGATGAGCACTTTATGAGATGCTATAGGAGATGCACATACATAAGCCTTGCTTCTGTACTCAATGCTGGGTTAAGGAGTCTAGATTGTATTCAGTAGGTGGTTGAGAAGCTCATAAAGTTTTTGAGTAGAGTGGGGCATAAGCAAAGCAGTTCTGTGGGCAGCTCCATCTGGTGCTGCTAAACATATTTTAGAGGGGAGAGAATGGAAGAGGAGGCCACGGAGTAAGGGTGACCGTATCCCTTATCATCCAAACCTGAACATTTTGAGATTGAAAAGCAATATTATTAATAATTTTGCCAGGATCACATGCATAAACCAGGATTGAGCCAGGCAAACCGAGACTTACTTGTCCCCCTCTGTAGGAGGCCGCTAGAGGCTCATTATGTCTTAGAGACCTGAACTGGAGGGATGAAGTAATTTGTTTAAAAAAAAAGAATGTAGTGGAGAAAAGATAAGAACTCTTTCCAGTTAACTGTGTTCACTCCCCAGCCAATCCATGTGATCACTGGCTCTATGTCTCCTCCTCATCAGCTGGAGTCTCAATCACAATAGGACACAGGTGAGCCTGAGATGACGCTAATATCATTCTCCTGGAATATGGCTTCCCAACACAAGCACCATCACCTTCATCATCATCATCATCATCATCATCATCATCATCATCACAGCGATGACTTGCCCAAGATCACACAGTTGTTAAGCTGCTGAGCAGGGATTTGAATCTGACTCGAACCTAACTACTCACCTGTGGTTATATACTCGTAATTATATATACATTAAAGTCTCATTGTGAATTCTAAGCTGTGTCTAACATAACACCAATTGTACAATAGGTGCTCAATAATGTGGCTGCCCTTTCCCACTTTAGGGAAACTCAATATGTAAAACTCTAAAGTGGGCAAGGAAATTAACTAAGGGTCATTGCCTGCAATGTACAAGAAAAAAAAAAAAACAACGAGGAGGAAAAAAAAAAGAACGAGGAAACTCCCAACGATGCACAAATGCCGTTTGTTCAGAGATCATGAACTCACCAAGAGTCTTCAGAAACTAGAGAAAATTCAACCTAAGGTGTTCAGTGCCATCTCCTGTTGAAGATAAATTCAATGTAAAAGCAGATCTCGGCTCTGAAAATATCCCTGGGAACACTAGCATTAATGTACATTATTGCATAACCAGGTTGTAAAAATTTCATTTTCCCTCAACTTCTGGGGAAGGGTGTACCTACTACTACTTAATGTTAGCAGACTTTTTTCTTTGTTTCTATTTCTACTATAACAATATTATTAAAACATAAAATTAGGAAAAGAATCATTGAGGCCAAGGCTACTCGCTCTGCACGGCATCTGATATTATTCCATCCTTGACATCATTGCCTTTTCTACTTTTGGGTTTTTATTTTATTTTTACCTCTCCTGCTCTGTTTGGGGATGTGAATTCCCCCAAAAGCTCAGGAGCCAGGCACTCCTGGCTACAGAAGCCAAATAGATTTTAACCCAGCCTGAACTTTTGAGGTAAGCCACCAAAACACCCTTCTCCTAGGCAAAATGCTTTTTTCTTTCCTGTAAGTCTACTGCAGAAATTACATTTTAAAATATTGAAAAGAGAAACATATTTTCCCACAATCCCACCACTCTAACCCGGTAACTACCTTTCTTTTCTTTTTTTGTGTGTGTTGGTCGCAAGTCTCATATCTATAAGTGCACGTAAGAGAACTGTAACTCTAGCAAACATAGCATTTCCATTCGTTTTTCTCTTAATGTTCTATTATTATGCAGATTTTTCCTAGGTCACTACAGTCTTCATATTCATCATTGTTTGAAAGATGCCAAACGTTCCATTGAGCAAGTGTTTCCATTTTCCATAATGTTTCAATAAACGACTTGGTGCATATCATTTTTTCTTTGTTTTGAATCATTTCCTGAGAGTCACTTAGAAGAAGGAAAAGTTACCAGGTGGGATTAGTGACTAATTACCAATGAATTTTCTGAATTCTAGGCTTAATACTTACTAGCGCAATGAATCAAGGCAAATTAACTTCTTCAAACCTCAGTGTCTCCTTATGCATAATACGGATAATAATAATCTGTCTACCTCATCTTAATAGTGTGAGATTTAGGTGAACAAATGCACAGAAAGCACATAGAATACTACCTGGACCAGAGCAAGTTCTAGCCACACAGAAAAACCGTAATCCCAATAGTTTGTTTTTGACAGAGGCACCCTTTTTCCTCTTTTTCTTTTTTATTTTTGCACCCCCATCCCAACCACCTTTTTTTAGAGATGGGATCTTGCTCTGTTGCCTAGGCTGGGATGCAGTGGCACCATCATAGCTCACCACAGCCTCAAATTCCAGGGTTCAAGTGATTCTCTCACCTCAGCCTTCCAAAGCACTGGGATTATAGGTTTCAGCCACCACACCTGGCCATGTTATTGTTTTTAATGTCAGTATAATAGTTAAGACCATGGACTGGCGAGCCAAACTGCTAGATTCAATTCTGACTTCTTTGCTCTGTGACCTTAAGGCAAGGGACTCAACCTCCTTGAGCCTTCGGTTCTTCATCTGTAAAACGGAGTAGTATCAGTAACAGCTCACAGGGTTTATGTAAGAATTGAGTTAATAAGGCACATCAGGTGCCTACATGATTTAAGCATTGTATGTCTTAGCGAATGTATCAGGCCCACCTCTAAGGCATCCCACCTTAGTCTGTACCTGAAATCACCTTTCCTGTTTGATTCTTGGATCTCCCAATACAATTAAAAGAACTTGGCCTTGGACGCCAGAAAGACACTAATTCTAATCCTCCCCTTACAATTGACTAAGTAAGCTCTGCAACCCTGGGCAAATTACTTAACCTCATGGGCCTCAATTTCCTTCCTATTAAAAAAAAAAACTACCCCATGAGGTTATTATGAGGATTAGAAGAAATAATATAAGCTCCTTAAGTGCTGATTGTACTTTATTCACCCACTATTCGTTGTATTTAGGACAGCCCTTGGCCCAGAATAGCAGATCAATAGAAGTGGAGGAAAGGACAGAAAGGAGGGAGGGAAAGAAATGAATGAATGAAGCACTCACACTGTGCCTAGCACATAGTAAGGGATCCAAAGAGTGTTAGTTAATCTGTAATTTATCAGGTACAAACAAGTTTGTAATTTATCAGGCACAAACAAGTTTGCAGGGGCCCTTGGGCCAGGCTTCCTAGAAAGTAAGGAAAGAGATGCAGCATCCTTTGTAATATTAAAAATGGATTGATTTATATATTAAATAAACATTTATTAAGCACTAACTATGTGCAAGCCACTCTAGCAGATGCTATGTACTGTGCTAAACACAGATAAAAATTACACAGGCAAAACTCTTGAAAAAGGAAAAGCTCCAAATAACCATATAAAATCGGAATGAAAAATACACTTTCTTATAAGTTTTTAATTGAGATATAGGTGGCCTGGTTTAAACAAAGCAGGATCAGCTTTGGAACAACAAACCTCAGTTTGGATACTCAGTTGCTGTACAGACCAATGCATGTGACCGAATCTTACTGGTTTTACCAGGTGTACAATGGGAATGAATGATCCTTCCAATTCACTGGTTTATGAGATATTGCCTCAAAAGACTGAACACAGTGGAAGAACAAATTCTATAAAATTTTGTTTCCTTTTCCTGTGTATTAGTACGTTTTCATGCTGCTGATAAAGACATACCTGAGACTGGGCAATTTACAAAAGAAAGAGGTTTGATTGGACTCACAGTTCCATGTGGCTGGGGAGGCCTCACAATCATGGTGGAAGGCAAGGAGGAGGAAATCACATCTTACGTGGATGGCAGCAGGCAAAGAGAGCTTGTGCAGGGAAACTCCCGTTTTTAAAACCATCAGATTTCATGAGACTCACTGACTATCGCAAGAACAGCACAGGAAAGACCTGCTCCTGTGATTCAATCATCTCCCACCAGGTGCCTCCCACAACACCTGGGAATTATGGGAGCTACAAGATGAGATTTGGGTGGGCACACAGAGCCAAACCATATCATCCTATGTGGTCTTTGTGTGTGGGGGTTGGGGGAAAAGGTCTTGGAAGTCACTAGAGGACCACAAGGTTCTCCTTGCAAGTGGTGCTTAAAGCAGCTTCTGTTTATTGAGCTTTTACAATGTGCCAAGACCTGTGCTGGTTCCTTTACATATTACTTTATTTAATCCTCACAATACTCCATGAGGTGGGTATTTGAATAGTGCCATTTTACTGAAAAGCAAACTGAGGCTCAGAGAGGTTACCTAAGTTGCTGAGTTCATATATCCAGCCCATGGCAAAACCAATTCTCAGGAAGCCTGCTGGATTCCAGAGCCCGCACTGTTAATGATTCTATCGATGATTATAGACTGTAACATGCTATACAAATGGAAGGTGCTGTTCTTTTAACAGCAAGGTTTTTATGTTGAACCTATTCTAAGTGAAATCATGTCTGTAAGTAAATAGAAATGAAGCCCTTGATGATGTGTGTAAGATGTCAGATTTCCCAAAGTAACTGGCAGGTGGGAAGATACTGGCCTAGTGGTGGTGCCAGGTTGAACTTAGAAGCTCTGAGAATGATTTGAGATGAAAGGCACACATTGCATGGAGGCACCCACTCAGGGAGGAGTGCCCGTGGGCATCCTCAGCAGCCTGCTGCTAGAGTCACATCTCAAGGCCAGTGGCACCCAGTCGCCCACTGACACCCACGACAGTACACTCCAAAGAATGGCAGTGTGAGCTGCTGTCTCCCACCAGGATGAGGGAATGACTGGACCTCCTGAACTTTATGCAGTAGAGGAGGTGAACTAGAATGTAAAACTCTCAGGTCTTCCTTCTAGCTCTGGAGTTGGGGAGGCAAGGAGGCAACCTGGCTTTGGAATCACAGTAATCCGTGTTCAAATCCTGGTTTGACACTAGGGGTTTGGCCTGGACATATTGTTAACTAGGCTGTCTGAATCTCAGTTTCCCCATCTGTAAACTGGGAGTAATAATACCATAGAGTCAATATGTGAGTTAAATAAAGTAACATGCATAAGTGTTCAGCACAGTGCCTGGAAAAAATTACAAGTTTGATTAATCTGCTACTCAATTTCCAAAAGGGACTCACTTGTATAAAAAAGAAACTAATAATTTTGAAAAAACTCATTAAGTTAGCCTGCTGTCAATTATGGAAATGATTCTGATGGGGTCTCTTCCTTGCCTCCCATCCTCCCTTGGGGTCCCCCTCCCTCTCTTTCTCCCTTCCTTCTCAAAATGCTCTGTTTATCATCAGCTATCGATATACAACATACAGCCTTGGTGTTTTCATTTCTTTTTTTTTTTTTTAATCCCTCTCAATACCAAGAAAAACTTTGAGCAGAACACGGGATCCATGGGGCATCCTTGTGTAGGTCCTCCGTGGCTTGGATCCCTGTGCACTGCTCAGCTCGGCAGCCTTTCCCAGCGGCGCTCAAGGCTCAGCCGGCCTCTGTGCGAGGCTGCCCAGTACATGCGGGGCGAGCTCTGGACTGACGGCGCTCCCACTCCCAGCGCCTCCTCAGCTGTGCCCTGTGAGGCAGCCGAGGCGAGAATGCCCCGCAGCCTGGGCACCCAGAGGAAACCTCAACGTAGCAGAGAAATAATTTATTCTTGTCATCACACCAAAGTTTTCAAACTTTAAAACGCAGCCTTGATTAGAAGAAAAGCTGTGTTTTTTCTAAAAGCCTGGCATTTCTGAAAAGGTCCCCTACCCAAACCACAGAAACCTCAAAAACTCTGCCCACTGAGTTGAAAATAAAAGTTCACGGAGACCAAAGCCTTTCTCACAACAACCGCTCGACGCTTTAGAAATCTTCTCTCCAAAGCTTAAAAGTTTTAATGTTTTAACTGAGGGCCTCAAGCCCTCTGGAATTTTTCTCCCTTGTAAACTCCCAGAGCTTTCTGAGGCAGACTTATTTATTTTCTGTGATGTCCAATAATGCTTGTTGGAGAAATTATTTTACTTTTGAAAAAGGAGTCACTGAGTAAAAGAAATAAAAGTAAAAGAAATTTTAGCCCGGTTAGTAGCCATTTAAGGAGGAAGCAAACTGTGTTGATTTTCTTTTTGGGGAGGCAAATAACTTTACAAAGGCACCCTACTTCTTCCCTCACCCTAGACTTATTATCAGCAGTGGAAGTGAACACCATGAAGAAAACTTGGCAAAATGTTTAGAATAATCCATCAGTTCCACCATAAATAGGTTTGAGTTTATACCATGGACCCAATTCTGCCAATTCTGGAACTTTATAAAATCCTAATGACTTCAATAGAAACTTGACTTATTCATGAGCATTTAGATTCAGTACACAAATTATAAATATGTTCTATGTATGGACACCCCAAATTTGGACTAATCACGTTCAGAAAAAGATAACGTAGAACTCAAAAACTCTTTCATGCTCACTTTTAAAAATTATAAATCCTATAATCGCAACATTCCAAGAAACACTTCCTTCTTCAAAAGTGTAATGTAACTTGCGATGATTTGATGGCCAAGATTCAAAACAAAGGCACTGACATCATTTTATTCACAAAATGCATTTGTGTCTCAAAAATTAGATGCTGGCTTGGAGATGTAATTGTCAATCACTAATCACTCGTTAGATTATCCAAATGTCCATTCAAAATCTAGTTCAAAGACTAGTTTGCTTCCATTGACTGATACTGTATTTTCTCCAACATGATGGATTCAGGACATCAGTGCTTATGTAGTGGTAAATTTCCATTCTGATTAAATAAATATCTGCTACATTCAGCAGTCTCACTTAGGTTGTGTCTAAACACCGGTCTTTAGCACAACTACTGGGTAGCTGGAAAACACACAGGACACAAAGTGCTAACTAACCTTCACCGGGTTGCAGCCTTTTCAAAGGCTTTCTCATTGTTCTTTTAAATTAAAACAAAACAACTACAAAAATACAAATCCAACGTGTCCATTTTCACCTCTCTACTAATAATTATTGATTGCTCCGAGGCACAATAATGCTTTTATGTTTTATGGAAGAATAACCAACCAGAAAAGTGGAAACTGTACACATCTTTTGAAGTATTCCTGCCTTGAGGGTGGGATATGACACACATAAACTCCGTAATCTCCCGGCACAGGTCAATCCAGCCCTAGTTGCCTCAATTTGGACCCAATTCAACTGAAAGCAAAATGGCTGCATTTCATTCTTTTCTGCTTTTTATCATCTCTTTCCCTCTCGTAAACATTTCAAGAACTCAAAAACTGCAGTGTTAGTAAACATCAAAGTGTAAAGACAAAAACAGAACAAATGGACGTTTTATCCTCACGTTAAAAATATATATATAAATGCAAGAAAGGCAAAAGAACCAAACTCTCTCTGCATCCTGCTAAAATGAGTTCCAGAGAACGGCTCACTTGAAACTGAGTTTTCTACTTCCTGAAAACCAAGTGTAAAAATGGCTCAATCCTTAAAACAGTGATGCCTAAAAACATAAGAGGGTTGGGTGGTTGAGGGGGCTGGGGTGGGGGGAAGGCAAGAGGAAGAGGCATGAAAAATGTGGGCCATCACATTCCAGAACTGGAAGGGCATCAGGAGTTGTGGAGGGGCCTCGATCAGGGTTGTGCAACATACGTCGTCTCTGAGTACACCACAGATCTCTCTTCCAGGATTTAAATTCAAGCCCACAGGTGTTGCCTCCACAAAGACACATTTTCCACTTCCTTTAACAGACTGGAAAACACAAGGATGAAATAATGGCAAACAGGGGCATATAAAATGCCTTCTTCATGGGAAAGGTGGAGAAATAAAAATAAAATTAGTCTTTTGGTCTAAACCCTTCAGAAAAAAAATGACTTATCTCAACATTAAAACTGGGGTTGTATCTACATAGTACAAGCACATCTAGGTATTCTAAAACAGTCTACATTTTTTTTTTCAGTATTCTTATCCCCTTTCCCAACTAGACACCTAGAATAAAGTATAGGAAGGCCAGATAATTATTGTTAATAATAATAATAATATCTGCCTTTTACCGAGCAACTTTTAGGAGTCAGGCATGAAATCAAATACTTAACACGTGCAATCTTACTGAATTTTCATAACCATCCTAGAATGTAGTGAGTAGACATTTTCACAAAGAAGGAAACTGAGGCTTAGAGAAGTAAGATAATTTGCTCTGGGTCACACAGCAAGAATGTAACTGATACAGGATTTGAACCTTGTCTGATGGCAAAGCTCATGTTCTTTTCACTAAGTCACACTACATACCCCTGAAGCCATATTTTAACACATATCTGTGAATGACTTCTAGATGCAATATATTGTTTAAGTTACCTAAAGGCTCCATATATTATCATATTACTTAGCTGCTTTTGCTTCATTCTATTATTCTTCCTGTTGCATGAATGAAGCCTTGACTTTCTCAGAGACAAAGCAAATATTAACCAAAGTTTGAGTGAATCCCAAAGAAGATGAAAGTACATTTCACGTGTGTAGTAAAGGTATGAATGATTTACTTATGTCCCTATTTTTGTCAACAATTATACATTTTGCCTTTACAGTTTAAAAGATTATTTTAGCCGGACGCGATGGCTCACGCCTGTAATCCCAGCACTTTGGGAGGCCGAGGTGGGTGGATCACAAGGTCAGGAGTTTGAGACCAGCTTGGCCAACATAGTGAAACCCCATCTCTACTAAAAATACAAAAAATTAGCCAGCGTGGTGGCGGGCACCTGTAATCTCAGCTACTCAGGAGGCTGAGACAGGAGAATTGCTTGAACCTGGGAGGCAGAGGTTGCAGTGAGCCGAGATTGAGCCATTGCACTCCAGCCCGGGTGACAGTGCAAGACTCCGTCAAAAAAAAAAAAAAAAAAAAAAAAAGGGACTATTTTAACACTTTCATATAGGGAGAAAATAGCACGTCATTTACTTTTGCTAAAATGCTACGTATGTTACTGGGCATTCCTCCCACTGCCACCCTCTCCCTAATGAAAAAAAGAAAGAAAGAAAGAAGAAGAGATTGTCCATACAGCTTCATGACTAAGAGTATGGATCTAAGAGCCAGCCAGCTGGGTTGTGGGCCCTCCGCTCAAATCCTGGTTCTGCCACTTACTCATCTCTTGGATAAGCTTTCTTTTTTTAATTTTTCTTTTTTTATTGTTCTTTTCCTTCCTTCCTTTCTTTTTTATTTTTTTCTTTGAGACAGAGTCTCACTCTCACCCAGGCTGAAGTGCAGTGGTGTGATCAGAGCTCAGTACAGCCTTGAACACCTGGGCTCAAGTGATCCTCCCATCTCAGCCTCCTGAGTAGGTGGAACTATAGGCATGCACCACCATGTCCGTCTAATTTTTTAAATTTCTTGTAGAGATAAGAGTGTCACTATGTTGCCCAGGCTGGTCTCCAACTCTTGCCCTCAAGTGATCCTCCTGCCTCACCTCCCAAAGTGCAGGGACGACAGGCATAAGCCACAGCACCTGGCCATTATATCCTTTCTCTGTCACAGTGTTTTTAAAACATTTGCTTTTTAAAATACAAATGAAAAGCTAGGTCTCCTACTTGCATTCTGCCTCAGGAAAGTTAGGAACACACAATAAGAGTGATCTTGCTTCCCAAGCAATCGAGGTACAGCTTGCCAGCCCAGCTTCCTAGGGCTCAGAAACTTATTGAACATGTCAGCTTCTAGTTTCAATTTTTCCTTTAACTTGTTGGTTTCTCTATTTAAACTGTAAATAATAACAGTTTCTTCTTAATAATTACAGTTTCTTCTTAATAGGATTGTTGTGAGCATTACACAGATAATGTACTTAAAATGCTTAGCAAAGTGAAGACACAGTAAGTATGGAACGTATGTTAACTATTACCACTTTCATATTTCATATTCACTACAGCTGTATCAGCTGGTTGTATCAATCCCATAAGAAAATTGAGGCTCAGCAACATTAAGCTTCCAGACCAAATGCTCACAGCTTTACGTGGCACAGCCACCCTATGAAGCCAACAACCCCATCACCATGCTCTGTCTTTATTACTCCAGATAGGTTTTTTTCCTTCATATTGCTAATCACTTACTGAAATTATCTATTTTTGTGTTTACTTATTTGTGGGTCTAGAACTTATGCTCTAGGGAAGCAAAGATGACATTTTTGTTAAGCCCAGTATGTAGCAGAATGCTGGGCACATAGGAGACACATAGTCTTCTTGGATGAATGAATGAACACATGAATGAAGAAAGCCAAGATTTGTCTGTGCCCCAAATCTCTACTCAACCGCTGTGATACACTGCCTCCCATTGCTGCCACCATTTAAAATCCCCCTTAAAGGCGGAGTCACAGGATTCCTTCAGAGGGGTTTTCTCTGGAGCCCAGGGAAGACAACATTCTGTGATTCTCCACTCTCATCCATCTGTTTCCCTTCTCACCAAGTGGGATTCAAATCCACCTAAAGCCAGTGTCATAACTAAACCCTGACCTATCACGACAGCAGAGTCTAGGTGATGTGGCCTGGGTGGGGAGAGGGCATGAGTGTTGCCTAGTCTGCTCTCCAATCTAGCTCTGCCATGTACCAGTTGAGACCTCAGGCAGGTTCCAGACCCTCTTTCATCCTAAAAAGAGACTATGCAGAGTTGTGATAAGGCTTCAATGGCTAATGTGTGAAAAAGTGCCTGTTACAGAGCTGATACATGGTAGGTACTCAGCAAGAGAGAGCATCCTTTCCTCTAAGCTCCAAAATGACTCAATTTTTATGTTCCTTGTAGTGCTCACCACTCTCAGTGTGTCCATACCTTCTCTTAGTAAATGCATTCTGAAGTCCTCGACAGTAGGGACTGTGACCTTGTTCATCTTCAGGGTCTGCCACCTAGCAGGTAGTCAGGAAGTGAGACTGAATAAAACCCAAAGTAGTCTATTTTCTTCTTTTTTTAAACTTCACTTTTACCTGATACCTCCAAATAAACTCTTCAAGTTCATTCTCTCTCTCCCCTAAACCTTAATAAAATTGCAAATATCTAAAATAGAGTGGAAGAGGTTAAAAACAACATTGGGGGTTTCTCCCACCGTCTCCATCCTGCAGAGCCTTATGGCCATCAGAGGGGCAGCTGAAGAGTTTCCCAAGTGACCTGCAGAACACGTAGGATGGGCTCTCAGGAACCTGTGGAGTAGAGACCTGAGTGTCCGGCATCCCAACTTGTGATGTCACCACTTTATATCTTCTCAGCCTTTTTGGAAAAGACACTGAGGCAAACAGACCAACTTGGCTTAGAAATCAGTCTTAAAATGTTGGAAATGAAAGAAAAACCCTATGTTTCAGAATAATGCCACGCTCATGGAGTGCCTGGGAGGCTCAATGTCAGTAAAACTACTTTATAAACAAAGTACCCAGAAGATTTGACATAGATGTCAGAACACAAACGCGGACACAGGCATATAATTGAGAGGTAGAATTTTATTGGGTTGATGCAAAAGTAATTGCGGGTTGTGCAAACCCACAATTACTTTTGCACCAACTCAATAGAGCATATCAATTTTTACACCCAATCCATTCTTTTGCAAATGAGGCAATGGAATCTCAGGGAAAGGAGAAGGGCTCCTTTGCCCAGATTGTCATCAGGAGGGATGCCTAGGCGTGAGAAGAGACTTCTTCCCAAAAACTTGAGCAGTGGAGGGTGGAGTGATTTTCCTTTGATGGCCGCATTTTAGTACATTGGCCAATGTGTATTCCTCTCTCACATATGTGAGGGTCTGTGATGCCAGCTTCATTATCTAGAAGCATTTCAGTGTTCCCTAAATTGGCACTGGATACAGCCCCATAAAGTCTAGTGTCTTTTAGTAAATCCTTTGGGGATGGAGGGAGTTGGCCAAACAATTAAGGAATGCACTGCAGGTGGCAATGAGAAAGGACATTCTGGGCCTTTAAAAAGAGTTGTTCATGGTTATTGACTCTTAAAATCCCAAATGATTTGCAAAAAATAATATATCATTAGTTCGAGGAGAAATTACCTAATTGTGCAGTGGGTCATATTTCAGATAGTGGTAACCAGCTCATATATTGCTTCCTGGATTCTACAGTAAAGCCAAAGGAATAGAGGGAAATGTCTACCTTGTCAGAGATCCCAGCCTGTGAGCTGTCTAACCCTTCATTTTACAGGCAATTAAAAATAATCTTGGAAAGCCTAGAAGATTAACCTAAAGTCATATTACAAGTGGCTGAGTTGAATCACGACTCAGCGCCTTTCTCACTGTAAAAAGGGGGGAAAAATCAGAATCTCCTCTTTACCCATCCCCACTCGCAAGATTTCTGGCCAGACGCTCCCTTCTCTTCCCGTTCCGTTCCCACCTTATTCTAACCCATCACCCTTTCAGATCGGGTTTGAGATAGGGGGTGAGAAACTCACCCTGGGCGACCCACGGGTCGTGGGGAAGAAAAGCCAGAACCTTTCACGTTGGTGAGCCTGTGGCTCCTGGGGAGGCGGGCGCACTGCCCAGCTGGCGCCTAACCTCCGGACGGGTGAGGGGGGAGGCTGGAAGAGAACCCGGAGAGGAGGGAGGGAGCAAGGGCTCCAAGGCGGGCTGAGAAAAGGTATAGCTGCTGGAGAGAAATTAGAGACCTCGGAGCCTCTGGGAAGCAGGATGGTCCAGCACTCACACAGCGGCGGGGAGGCCCCGTGCAAACTCCTCTCTCTTCCTCGCACTGGGCCCTTTGTTGTCGGCCTCTGCCTCTGGCTCCCGCTCCTGCCCTCCGGTCCCCCCGCCCCCTGAAGTCACCCCAACTGCACTCATAATATTTTGCTTTGCGCCAGGTCTGTTTTCCACCACCAACTTCCAGCAGTCTCCATGGTGACGCGCTGGGGACGGGGGCGGGAGCGGCTTTGGAAATCCCAGGCCCGAGGCGCCGGGCGGCCCCTGCAAACTTTTCCGAGTCTCTGGGACCTGCAGGCCGGGTAGGAAAGCGCGCTGTCCCAGGCTGCCGCACAGAGTCGCGTGCTGAATCCGGGACTCCGAGGACCCAGCCTGCGTGCAGCCTCCGCGCCATCAAGGGCTGCAGCCTCGGGGACTCGGAACCCTGGTACCATGCGGCTCTCACTTGACCCCGCTGCCAAATCCAGACGCCGGCGCTTAGCAGGTGGCAGAGATGGGGGCGCACATGCCCCGTTCGCCCGCGCGCGCGCACACACACACGCCCGGGGAGGGCGAGACTGTCTGGTTTGGGCGCTGGAGCAAGGCTCGGACCTCCGGCTCCTTGCTCTCCCAAGCCCGCAGACAGTGGCTCCTTCCCCAGGGCTGTGCCTGGGCAAGAATGGAGGAGGCTCGGGCCCTGTTCCCTCCAGGACGCACTTTGCCTTGTGGGCACGGCGCCAAGGCCACTGGACATCCCTACCCCGGGCCCACAAAGGCATATAATTAATTTGGTGGTAGAATTTTAGAAAGAATTTGTGCTGAGCTGGGGGCCTGTAAACTAGCGTGCCCTCCCACCGATGCGGCCCGGGGAACTCAAATCCGGCTCCAGGAAGTACTTTGGCCGCCTCAGCTCTGGGTTCTGGAGATGGGAGCGGAAAGTGGATGGAGGCAGAAGTTTCCAGCTCCAGCTTGGCAGTGGCCCTCTCTAACGCGCCATCCCGTTTTAAAAGAAATGATCCTTCTGTTGCGTAGGCGACCGACCCGGCCCGGCCCACTTTGCACAAGTTCTCGGTGGCCTAAAATTCTACCCACTTTCCCCCATCGTTCTCGAATTTCCGGATAACTTGAGTAACTGAGCAACGATCACCCGGGCAGAGCAGCCCTGATTGGACCCGGCGGCCACAAACACGTAGCTGCCGGTGGCCCGCGTGGGGAGCGCAGGCCACGCGGGGCTCAGCACCCACTTTTGCGCGGCGTGGGGCTGTAGCGCGGGCCGAGCGGGACGCGCGCCTGCGCTTACTGCAAACCGCGCACCGGCCAGAAGGTGCGTCGACTGCCCCTGCGCGCGCCTGTCGCCTTTGCCTCCTGCCGGAGCACCGCGGCGCGCGGCAAGCTGGGGCTTTGCCTCCGAGAGGGGCTTTGCTTTGTCGGGCTCGGCAGCGAGAGCGCCTAGGGCCCAGGAGGCGCGCGCCGGCTGCCCAGCTTCCCCCGACCGGGCCATTGTCTTAGCTCCACACTTGTTGAGTATTTTGGGGAAACCCGAGGAATATATTACTGGCTCAGTGTGCGGAACAAAGGGGCGCGTTTCCGCAGGTCATGCTGAAGTGGCCCCAAAGCAGGCCACTAGAGCCCTGGCCCCTGCAAAACTGTTCTCCCGGGCCCGAGGCACTTCGCGGGGATTTTCCTTTTAAGAGTAAGGGACGGTGGCCCCGCTCGCCGGCCTCTCTTATCCTGGACGTTTCCTACTTCGCCCCAGCACTTGCTGTGAGTCGGTTGTTCCAGTCCTTTCGGAATGATATAATAACAGCAATATTCCTGGTTCTGATCGCGCGCGATCTTATACAAAAGGAGCAGAATCGAACTGCTCCATGGAGCGCGCGTCTCTGCAAGCCAGGAGAAAAGACCCTTTACATAACAAGGGAAACTCAGAAGAAAGGCTAATTGGATTAAATTCTCTGGAAGGGAGGTGAGGGAAGGCTTCTGGACTGGACCACGCCGAGCCGCACTTCCCTTGTCGTCGGTTTTGCAAGTCGGAGTGAAATGTCACCTGGTGCGTCTAGTGTCATTTCTTCACACTGTCGTGTACCAAAACTTTTGATTTTGCGTTCAGGGTGGTGACCTAGGGATGTCTCGGATATACAAAAGGGAGAGAAGTGGATGGGGAAAGGATTTCATTTCAGAACGTCTCTGGAGTGTTTGCAGTTGAGGTGAAGAGGACCCGGTGCCCCCACGAGCACCAGTTGCATCGAGAACAGAAAACGCCACGAATCCACAGCCCCACAGTCCTCCCCAGAAGTACCGAGGGGCCTGGCCCTGTGGAGGAGGCAGCTAAAAGCCCCCCAGCAGGGCCACTGCAGGTTTGGGATGTAGGGAGACCCTATGTCCCTGCGTGGGCCGCTCGAAAATACTTGGCCACAAACTCTGCAGACATGCGTTTAAGTTTGTTAAGGATATTCATTTTTAATGTTAGGGTTCTCAGGAGGTGGTGAGGGCGCAGCGCTTGAGATGAAAAAATGGTGGAAAAGGCGCTTTTCTCTCTCTGGGCTCCCGCTTTACCGCCAGTAGAGACCTCAGCGGGGCCTGCCGTGTCCGGAGAGGCACGCAGGGCAGGCGACGCTTCTCCTTGCCTTCGTTTGTCATCGAGTATAGGAAGGAGAACTTCGGGGCTTAGCCTTTCCCCACTCCCTGGGGGCTCACACCCAGCCAGGGGAGTGCAATCAGGCGGGGCCTTGACTCTAGGAATCAGAGATCGACAACTACCCTAAAACACAGAATATCCCCCTGGCAAGAGCAGTCCGGTGTCCGGGCCACCAGGGCTGCAGCGGAAACCTGGAGAGGCCTTAAATATTTCTGCAGGGACCGAGGAAAGACCTTCTGGGGCAATGCCCCGATGACCCCAGCCCCCACCCCACTTCCATATCCAGCCTGCCTAGGGGTGGAGTTGGGGAGACATTCGTGCGGCATTTGTTTATTTGCTCAAGGAAAGGACGTGCATGCTCAGGGGACGGCCGGGGCTGGAAGGCACTTGTTGCTCCGCGCTGCAATGCTCAGCAGCTTATGCTTGCAGGCATTCTCTCAAACCTCGCCACGGCCCAGGCTGAGTCCACTGCCCTATTTCTGCCTCTCCCCAAACTCATCACCCTAAGAAATTCTGAGGCTGCAGGGGGCCAAAATGAAAATAGCCGGGTTGCAAGAATGAGCCTAGGGGAGGGGGTGAACTGTAAGAGAACTTCCACCTGCAAGGGACTTAGGGAGCGTTAACAGATCTAGAAGTGTGACGGCTCTTCAAAGGTGCTAGGAGTGGGAGGTGGCGAAAACTACTGGAGGAAGAACCGAGATACCGGGTGTTTTCGTTGTGAAAGATTCCTTGGCCTCCTTTTTTCGTTGTTAAGGACCGCCGCACCCCCAAAACTGACGCCCAGCAGCTCTTGAACTGCAGAGCAGTTTGCAGACCCCAACGCCGAGTTTAGCGGGCCAGTCTGCGTCCTGCCCTCCCTCCAGCAAGGTCACAGCTCCCTAGTGGAGCCCGGCGTTGGGTGCCCCTTCCTGGCAGAAAAGCTAAAAGCCCGACCCCACAGCCCAGGACTCCCACCTCCCGTTTCTGCGGATTCCCCCGGACCACCGGGTTCGCCGCCGCCACTCCCTCCAGCTGCGCGTCTCTACCAGCCGGAGCCTCGGTCCCCACCTCCCAGGCGCAGTGCGAAGCCGTCACCCTCCCCCGCCTCGGGGCGTTCCGCTCGGCTTCCCGGCCCTGGCCGCCAGACCCCGAGCGCACCGCTATTCCGAGGCCCCCATACCCTAGGAGGACCTGGGTCCGGGAGGGGGCGGTCGGCTGGCAAAGTTTCTGCAAGTGGCACCTCGAGCTCGCCGCGAGCCAGCGCATCTTTACGTAACTTTGTGTCCAGGGCAAGCGAAAGCGCGCTCCTTCGCGCGCGCGCACGCACACACACTCACACACGTACACAATCACACGCTTATACACATACTTCCACGCATCCAGTTACACACATCGCCTCGAATTGAAAACTTCTGCAAGCTCTGCGTTATTCTTTGGGGTTCCACTGTCAAGTTGACCCGTCTGAACTTTTCCCAACTTCTTTCTAAAGTTCCCCCTCTCCCTTCTCCTTCCCTCCCAATGTATCCCCCCAACCCCGCCAGTAGGACTAACCTGTGGAATCCATGTCGGGTTCCTCCAGTAACCCACAATGCATGCTCTTCCCATGGACAGCACAGGCGCCCCCCAAAAGTCCTGATGTTTGGGGATCCCCTGTGCTAGAGATGCCCAGGGAGGAAGGGAGGGAGGGAGGGAGAAGGGGAGAGAGAGAGACGCAGAAAGTGAGGGGGCACAAGGATAAAGGAGGAAAGGAAAAGAAAAGAAAAAGAAGAGGAAAGAAAAGAGAAAGAAGAAAAGAGGAGAGAGAGGGAGAGAAGGGAGCGAGCTCGGAGAAGGGGGAGAGAGAAAAAGCGAGCGAGCAAGGGGACACTCAGTAATCCAGCCGGGCAAAGCCAAACCCGTCAAAATGTTTGCGGATGTTTCATGGGAAAAAGCATCATTTTATAGGAGCCCCGATGGGAGCAATGTCATTGATAGGCCAGCCGGCCTGATGAATGGCCGCTCGTCAGATGGGGCCGTGGCGAGGCGCACTGTGAAGCCCATTGTGGGCCTGTTTTGAATAAGAAAAGCCGCCTCCGAAAAGGGGGGCTCAGAGCGACGCAATCCCAGCCCTCCGACTTCCCCCTTCTATTATAGCATTAGCAACGTTTTTCTTATTTAAAGTTCCAGAGGCCTTCTCCAGCCTTCGCCCGGCACTCATTATAGGCGAAATCAAAATTGGCTTAGATGTGGCCCCCTCCCCCTCCCGGCCCTTCCCCACCATCGGGCCCCGCGCCGTGCTGGCAGGCCGGGAGGGGGGCGCGGGCGGGGGGGGAGCCGCGGGGAACTCCTGGAGCCTGGGGAGTCGCCTGCGCTACCACGAGTGGGGCCCCACTCCCTTCCTTCTCTTGCGCCCCCACCCACCCCCCATTTTGGTCCTGGGTTAGATTTCGGGTGGTGGCCCTGAGAATGCGGGAGGGGGTATGTCTTGACCCCTTGCACGCGGATCCGCAGACACGCGTGGGGAGTGAAGCGAGCTTGAAGGGGAAAGGGTGGGGAAGGGGAACTGAATCCCTAAGACCCCATGCCCCAATATGAGCGTAACAAGGCCGCTAGGCGGGGAGGAGGTGAGTGGCTGGTTCGCCTCCTCCAGAACTTTCTGTCTTCCTCTGGGCCTGGGTCCTTCATCCTGTTTCTCTCCTTCCATCTCGCTGTCTCTCTCCGCCTGTCTCCCGGTGTCTGTTTCTAGCTCTCTGTCCCTCTCGTCCTCTGTGTCTCTGTCTCTGTCCATTTCTCCTTCCTTGGCTGCTAGTGTCTCTGTCCAGACCCTGCCTCCACTTCTCTTTGTCTCCCCCTAGGACTCTGCCCCTCTCTGTCTCTATCCCCCTCGGTCTCTCTGTACTGTCCCCCCTCCCCCGCCTCTTCCCGTAACTCTGTCAGTCTGTCTGTCTCTGTTCCTCCGCCCTCCCCCTGCCCTCCCCACCCCACCGCCGTCCCCCAGTCGGCCTCGAAGTTTGTGAGAAGCCCCGGCATCCAAGTGGGGACGCGGTTTTCCCAGGGACCCCCTCCTCGGCGGAGTTGAAAGTGCAGAAAGAGGGGGGCGAGGGCCGGGGGGTGCTGGAAGTGGAAGTGAGGGGGAGCAAGCTGCGTCTCCTGCGGGCCCCGATAAAGTGGCCGTTCGCGGGTCGGCCGCGCTGTGATTAGAATATGAATGGGGCCCGGCGGGCGGAAGAGAAAGGCGGATTACCCCGGGTGCTTTGACCATGGACAGAGGCAGAGCCGGCGGGCCGCGGCGGGGGCGGGGAAGCGCGGAGTCCCTAACGCCGTGCGGGAGTGGGGGTCTCTAACCCCGGGCCCCTGGCAGCGCGCGGCTTTCCGCGATCCTTCGGAAAGACGCCCCCCGCCCCCTCGGTCCGCCCCCTCCCCACAATCAGAGCTGAGTGGGACAATGTACGGAGACTGGGGAGCCCGAGGGGCCAGCACGTGCCGAGTTAAGGTCACGGTGCGGGAGGAAGAAGGCGGCGCGCGGTACCGGCTGGACAGAGCCCGGGATGGACTGACGGTAGCGCGGGGTTCGAATCCCAGCTCTGTAAATTCCTTCATCGTTCTGGGCCTCAGCTTCCTCGTCTGTGAAATGTAGCAAAGTTGCCCCCTCTCAAGCTTTGGGGGAAGATAACTGAAGCAGTGGTTATAAAAGGAGCCGGGCATTTGCTGTTCCCTCTACTTGGCACTCTGCCGGCTCCTCCTTCCTCACAGGTGCCTAACCGGCCGACACCTTTGCGTCACCCTGGTCTCAGCTGAGCGTCGCCTCCTCGGAGGGGCTGTGCCTGACCACTCTCTGCGAAGGTCCCTTCCTGCCCCGGCCGCTGCCGGGCTCATTACCCGGTTTATTTCTGGAGGACTTTGTTCACCACCCCATGCCCAGTGCCCAGAAGGGCGCCAGGCACATTCTTTCCCGCTGCGATGCTGGTGATGGGAAAGAGGTCGATGGAAACCTTTGGCAGCCGAATGCCATGGTGGCGGTCACCGCGCGTCCTCGTGGTGCGCCTGGCAGCAATGACAGCGGAATTCGAAGTCAGATCTGACTGTTCGCGTTCGCCTTTGTAGCCTTAGCTTCTCTGCCACTGGAATAGGCTGAAGAGTAAAAGCCTTCTTCAGACGGCGGGAGGGTCTGACAGCGCGTAGATGGAGCCTGGCCAGGGGCGTTCCGGTGGCAGCAAGGAGCGCGTCCCCAGGGTGGGCGGCTGCCACCGCCCGGAGAGTCCTTGAGGGATGCCACGGGGGCACGGGTGGTCTCCAGGGCGGATGAGACTATTATTGTTGCTATTATTATTATAATTTTTGCACGCAGAGTGGAGGTGGGTAGGGTGAGGTGAGCCGGGCTCACAGGCCAGGAGTGAGGCGGAAGAACCCGGAGCCAGCCCAGCACAGCTCAGAGCCGGGCCAGGTGCGGCTGGTCCCGGCCCAGCGCTGCTTCACCTGGGATGGCACGAGTTCTCGGGCATGACCATGCTGCAGCGCCTGGGAGCTTAAAGAAATGAAAATAATAATCGCTCATTCGTTCCTTGGCAAATTTTTATTGTGCATCTACTATGTGTCCAGAACTATTCTAGGAAGCGGAGGCTACATCAGTGAACAAAATAGACCAAAAAAAAAAAAAAAAAAATCTTGCTCTCCTGAAGCTTACATGGGAGTGAGGGGAAACAGATAATATATACAACATAGAATTAAGAGGTGGGAGACGAAGTCAAGGGAGGGCCTCTCTGAGAAGCTGACATTTGAGCTTAAAAGTAATGGTATCCAGGGGCTAGTCACAAGGGTGTCATTTGTGACAATTCACTGACTGTGACACTTGTGATTTTGCGCATTTTTTGGAATGTATTTCATACTTCAATAAAATGTTTGCTTAGATTTAATGCTGTCAACATCATAAATAGTAATAGCTACCATTTACTATTAATGTATTCATTATGTGTTTCCACGGGTTCAGGCGTCTTCCATGCATTAGTTCATTTCATCCTCACAACACAACTAATACATATTATTGTCGTCTCCACTTTTAGGAGAACTACTGGGGTTCTGTGTGGCTCTCTTGCCCTTGACAGACACTGTGGACACAGTAATGAATTATCCAATTCCTATCCTGCAGAGGCTTGAAATCTCAATAGAACATAGCACAGGGGCAGGGAGGGGGTGATGGGGAAATTGTGGGTGCTGTGAGAGCAAAGAGAGGGCAATGTGACTGATCCTGGGAGGCTGGTGTCAAGGCAGGCCTCCTGGAGGAAGTGGTGACCCAGGAGCTGAATTAGCCAGACAAGGGGGTTGAGGGTGTTACAGACAGAGGCACAGGCGAAGAGGAGAACCTGTGGAGTGTGTTTGGGACTGGAGCCTGGCCTGGCTGCACACGGAACCCAAGAGAGGAAGAGAGGATTAACAGGCCATTTCATGGGGAGGTAAGCTAGGGCCATGCCAAGAAATGTACCCTGGAAGGGTTTGGTGCATATAGGACTAAATCTACATTTTGAAGAGATCACAAAATGTGAAGAGATCTCAAACTGTGTGGTGGCCAGATGGGGGTTGGTTGCAGGAGGGGGTGGGAGGGAGGGATCAGGATGACCTGACACAGGTACATGGCAGTTGGGGCAGGGTTCAGGAGATACCAAGGAAGCTGTATTCCCAGCCTTGATGTTGATTAGTTGTGGCCAGGGATGGGGAGGGAGAAGGGATTCCCAGGTTTCTGACTTGAGCAATGAGTAGCTATTGGTACCAGGATGTGACATGAGGAGGGAAGACTTGGCAGCAAGAGAGAAGGGTTTGAAGGGCCCTTAAAACTTCCCAGTAGCCCAGTGGCAATGACAGCCAGGCAGACCCACAAAGGTGTGGAGTTGGCACTGCTTGTGCAGACCTGGGTGGCTGCTGAATCCCCTGGAATGGATGAACGAGCAGCATGAAAGAGGAAGGTGCAGGGCGGATCCCTTTTAGATCACGGGGTGTGCTCTGCCTCCACTGCTGTAATCTCAACAGTCCCTGTACTTTCCAAACCCAGCACTCACTTCATTGTAATTATTTATTTGTCTGATGTGGTAGATGGTATTACTTATTCATAATTCTCTCTTCCCTCTCTGGCCTACTCTGGCTTTCCCTCCCGCTGATTTGGGGTTTGGCTATTGGCTTGCTTTCGCCAACAGAATGTGAGTGGACAACATATGTTAAATGAAACCAGAGGCCTTACATGTCCTGGGGGTAGTTTGGCTAGTACTCTTGGACTCCTGACTTGCCTTGAGCAAACCCCACGTAGTCACTGGTCCTAGAACGAGAGACACATGGAGCCAACCAGGACCTGCCAGGCAGTTTGAAGAGCTCCCCTTTTTCCCAGGGACCCACAGAACTGTGAGCAAGAAATAAATGTTCGTTGTTATAAGCCACTGAAAGTTGTTGGTAATAGTCTTACCATCTTAAAGGGGAAAGACAAGTCTATAAGTAGGGTTTTGATGTATTAATGTCTTCTCCTTTAAGATGGTAAGACTATTACTAATAATAGCTAATGCTTATTAAGCATTTACTAAGAATCAGGCACAGTTCTAAGGCTTAATTGTCACAAAAATCCTGTGAGGTACTTTTATTATACCCACTTACATGAGGCACAAAGAGGTTAGGTAACTTACTTAAGGTCACACAAGTAACAACAGGGTCAAGATCTGAACCTAGGCAATCTGCAGACATAAGGGGAGCTATAGAGGTGCTAGTGAGGAACATCTCTCTGGAGATGGCTTCACCACTGTGAATCGCCTTAAAGAGTAAGCCCATGGAAGAACCCTAGCTGGCTTCTCTCAGCATCCATGTCAGCTTAAGCCAGCCTTTCTGGAAGAAACCCTTGGAACTATAGCATGTGCTTCAGATCTGAGCTCATCCCCAGAGCCACTGGAAGCCAGGCCTCCAGGTTGCCCAACCTACATGAACCTTTGTTTCCACAGTGCACTGTGACTGCAGCCTGAGGCAGGACTGCCTAGCCAACCAGCAGACCTGTGATATATGCTTGTTATTGTAAGCCACTCTGTCCTTGGGTGGTTTGTGATGCAGCCTTGTTGCAGTAGTAACAGGGTTAGGGTAAGAGTTAGGGATAGGAGTAGGGGTTAGGGTTGGGGCTGGGGTCCAGGCAAATTGTATGGTGACTTTTAAAAAGAGGGTAGATATGAAGATAGGAGAAACGGACAGGTTTGGGGTATATGTTGGAAGTAAAACAAGACTTGCTGATGGATAGAGGTAGGGAATGAGAATAAGAATGAAGAAACCCTTGTGTTTTTAACTCTAACAACAGGGTAAATTGTGGTCCTATTTACTAAGACGGAGGAGTCTGAGGTCAAACAGGTTTGGGGCAAAACCAATACCTCTTCTCAGCCACGTATGGTTTGAGATGCCTCTTGGGCATCCACTGCAGATGTCAAATCGGCATTTTGATATATAAGTTTAGGGTTCAGTGGAAAGGCTAGAACTAGAGATATAAATGGGAGGGGATTGTTATCCATAGAACACCGTTCCTTAAACTTAGTGTGTTGCAGAATCAGCTGGAGGACTTTATATTGAAATACACTAGTGAGTCTTGTCCCCCGAGATTCTGATTAAGAAGGTCTGCAGTGGGCCCAGCAATATGTACTTCAAGAAAGTTTTATTATAAAACAATTCAAATAAATATAAAATAAGAGGCAGTAATACAGAGAACCCCCATAAGAAAGTAACCATAAGGCAATTATTATCAACATGGGATCAATACCGATTCATCTGTAAATCTACCCTATTACCCTCCCCGGCCCTTCACCTCTGACAGGTTTATTTCAACACAAATACTTTATCCATAAACACTCTCAGCATGTATCTATACTGACATCATATACTTCATCCATAAACACTCTCAGCATGTATCTATACTGGTATCATATACTTCATCCATAAACACTCTCAGCATGTATCTATAAAATACAAGGATTTTTTTTAAAAAAACACAACCATATCATTATCACACCTAAAACATCAATAATAATTCCATAACCATCAACTACTTGCTGTCAAAATTTGCCTATCTGATAATTTAAGTTGGTTTGCATTAAGATCCAAGCCAAATCCATGCAATGCATTTGTTCGCTATATCTCTCAGGTCTCTTTAAATATGGAGGTTTCCTGTCCTTGTTTTATTCCTTCTTATTTAGTGACAAAATCATTTGTCCTGTTGCGTGCCCAACATTCTGCAATCTGCTAATTGCATCACTGCTGGGTTGTTTCACATGCTCCTTTGTCCCCTGTAGTGTCTGTATATTGGTAACTGTGTCTAGAGACTTGATCAGGTTCAGATTCAAGGTTCTGGCAAGAGTAGCACATGGGTGGTGGTGTGTACTTTCTGTTACATAACATTGGGATTCACATGTCTCTATGTGTTAAGAAGATCAATGGGTTCAGGTGTTACCAACCTGATCCATTTTTATAAATTTCCTCATCAGTTGTTCACCTAGTGGTTTTAACAACCATTGATGACCATTACTTAGATCCATTATTTTTTCTTGGGGCCTGCAAAACAGCAGTATTTGATTTTATCATCCCATCTGCATGTATAGCTGGAATTCTCTATAAAAATTATTTCCATCCAGTATTTTGTTGCCTTGAGATAGAGTTAATATAACAAAGGCAGGATAAATACTTGATTTCCCCCTTTACTTACCAGGTTTTACAATAATAATTTTGTTTCCTAAATTCTTCCAAAGGTGGCCCTCATTGGATATTTTGTTGTAGTAGTATTATGATCTTAAAGAATTTAACAAATTTGAGATGCTTAATCCATTAAATTACTCTTTTTACACTAAAATTGTCCTACCTTTCAATTGGCCCCCAAGCCTTTTGACATGACCCTTGTGGCTTTTGATGGCTTCCTTGCTCTCTGGCATGACAAGATGACCCAGGCTCATCTTTTATTTTATTTTTTTCCTTAGACATGGAATCAGCTATTTCTCCAAGGAATCCCGGTTCCTTTCAGTGGGAAATGGTATTTAGAGCATATGGTAAGCTTTTAAAATGGTGGATTCTGTGCCTCTAGTCTCCCTCTCTTTTAAAACACCCTCCAGCCTCTATACCACTGTTTAGTAATATTTCTTTAAGGCAAATCTGATTACGTCCCTTACCCGATTTTAATTGTACACGGTGTATCATCATTCACAGGTTCAAGTCTAAGCTCTTTATATTGGCACACAAGGCCCTTTTTGTCTACTTTTGTGGCTCACTTCTCTATATTTCTAGCCTTCTTTTCTGGGCATACAATGTTCCCCAATCCTGTCAAAGCAATTTGGTAGCTTTCCAACCAAGCCATGCCTTTGTCTTTGTAAATTATCTTGGCCTGGATTGCTGTTCTCACTTTGTACTAGAAATTCATATATAGTGCAATTGTTACTTCTTCCGGGAAGCTTTGCCTGGCCTTATCACAAAAAATTCAGTATTTCCTCCTGGCTATTATCCTCGAATCTTGTTCATATCTCTATTATATTATTTATCGTATTGCCATGATTATTAGCTTTTATGTCTGTCTCTTGCACTTGGCTATGAGTACTGAAAGATAGGACAGTGTTCTTTATAGTTGTGTGTGTGTATAATAGTTTCAAAATTACAATACTGTATTATTACTAACAATATGATTATGGAAAACAGTTTAAGGTCATTTTATTACAGTGCTCGTTGTCATTAGAGTATATTTTGCACAAGCTATACAGTCAAATAATTGTTTCAAAATCCCTTGGGGAAAAAAATCTGGATAAATTATCAGCTTTATTCATTTGTTATACCTTCTTGGAAAACGGATCCTTTCATTATTATTTAGTGCCCTTCTTTGTTCCTGATAATTTCTCTTGTTCTGAAGTCTGTTTTGTCTGAAATTAGTAGAGTTATTCCAGCTTTCTTTTCTTTCAATGGAATCTCGCTCTGTTGCCCAGGCTGGAGTGCAGTGGTGCGATATCGGCTCACTGAAACCTCCGCCTCCTGGGTTCAAGCAATTCTCCTGCCTCAGCCTCCCGAGTAGCTGAGACTAAAGGTGCATGCCACGCCTGTCTAATTTTTCATATTTTAGTACAGACGTTTTCACCGTGTTGCCCAGGATATCTCTATCCCCATTACTTGTAATCTGTCAGTCTTTATATTAAAAATGTGTTTCTGTAGACAACATATATTGAACCTAGTTTTTTAAAATCTACTTTGATAATCTTTTGTTATATTTAGACATTCATATTTAAAGCAATTATTAATATATTTCTGGGAATGTCAACTATGTTTGTAACTGTTTTCTATGCATTGTCAGAGACTTCTTTTATTACCTTGTTTGGTTTTAATTGTGCATTTTCTCTTCTCTCTCAGTGCGTTATACTTGGTTTAAAAAATGTTATTGATTGCTCTAGAGTTTTCAACATACTTTTCTAACTAATGTAAGTTCACGCTCAAATAGCATTATTCACCTGTAGCACAGGCACTTTATAGCAGAACATTCCCAGTTCTTCTCTCCTGTCCCTTATGACATTGTTGTCATTTATGTACTTATCTATATGCTATAAACACCCATTATATTGTTAATATTATTCCCTTAAACTGCAGTAATCTTTTAGATCAAGTAAGAGAAATGAAAGATTTTATTTTACATTTAAACTTTCCCCAATGCTCTTATTTTCTTTACATAGATCTGAGTTTTCGCTTTTGTTTTGTTTTCTTTTGGTTTTGTTTTTTTGAGACAGGGTCTCACTCTGTCACCCAGGCTGGAGTGCAGTGGTGTGATCTTGGCTCACTGCAACCTCCATCTCCTGGGTTCAAGCAATTCTCGGCCTCAGCCACCCAAGTAGCTGGGATTACAGGCATGTGCCATCATGCCTGGTTAGTTTTTGTATTTTATGGTAGAGATGCGGTTTCACCATGTTGGCCAGGCTTCTTTTTTTTAAATACTAGATATGGGGTCTCACTTTGTCACCCAGGCCAGAGTATAGTGGCATAATTACAGCTCACTGCAGTCTTGCACTCCTGGTCTCAGCCCCCCAAGTAGCTGAGATTATAGGTGTGAGCCACAGTGCCTGGCTAGATCTGAGTTTCTGACATCACTCTCTCTCTCTTTGAAGAACTTCTTGTAACATTTATTGTAAGGAAGGTCTGATGACAATGAATTCCTTCAGTTTTTGTTAAAGAATGTCTATATTTCTTCACTTTTGAAGAATAATTTTTGCAGGATATGGAATTTTGGGTTGGTGTTTTTTTTTCCTCATAACACTAAATATATCACTCCATTCTCTTCTTATTTGCATGGTTTCTGATAAGTTTATTGTAATTCTTATTCTTGGTCCTTTATGGGTAAGGTGTTTTCTTTTTTTTTTTTTTTCCAATTTTCTCTTTGTTTTTTGTTTTTGCATTTTAAATGTGATATGCCTAAGTGGAGTGTTTTTTTGTTTTTGTTTTTGTATTTATTCTGCTTGGTGTTATCTGAGCTTCCTGGATCTGTGATTTGGTGTCTGTCATTAATTTTAGAAAGTTCTTTATCATTATTACTTCAAATATATATTTTGCTCTGTTTTTTTCTTCTCCTCCTGATATCCTAATTATATGTATGTTACTTATTTTGAAAACTGTCCCACAGTTCTTAAATATTCTCTTCTGTTTTTTTTTTTCCCATTGTCTTTGCATTTCTGTTTGGGAAGTTTCTATTGACTTATCTTCAGGCATGCTAATTTCTTTCTTCAGCTATGTCAAGTCTATGAAAGAATTCATCAAAAATATTCTTCATTTCTGTTAACAGTGTTTGTGATTTCTAGTATTTCCTTTAGATCTTTTCTTAGAACTTCCATCTCTCTGCTTAAATTGTCCATCTGCTTTTGCATGTTGCTTACTTTTTCCACTAGAGATCTTAACATATTAATTACCGTTATTTTAATTTCCCTGTCTGACAATTCCAACATCTGTGTCATACCTGAGTCTGGTTCTAGTGCTTGCCTTGTCTCTTCAGAGTGTTTTTTTCTTGCCTTATAATTTTTTTTTTTTTTGAGAAGGAGTCTCGCTCTGTCACCCAGGCTGGAGTGCAATGGTGTGATCTCAGCTCACTGCAACCTCCACCTCCTGGGTTCAAGCGATTCTCCTGTCTCAGCCTCCCGAGTAGCTGGGACTACAGGCATGCGCCACCATGCCTGGCTAATTTTTTGTATTTTTTTTAGTAGAGATGGGGTTTCGCCACGTTGGCCAGGCTGGTCTAGAAATCCTGACCTCAGGTGATCCACCCACCTTGGCCTCCCAAAGTGCTGGGAGTACAGGCATGAATCACTGCGCCCGGCGACCTTATAATTTTTTTGTTGAAAGCTGGACATGTTGCATTACGTAACAGGAACCGAGCCATTAGTGTGAAGATCTACATTAATTGGAATAGGAGGTAGACTTTGTTTAATGTTTGCTGTAGTCTAGTGTCAGAGATGTCAGAGGTAGTCAGGTATCAGAGGCTTCAAACTCCTTCAGTGTCCTTGTTTTTATCTTCCCTCTTGACGTCAGGCTTCCCTAAAGTATTCCTCTTCCTAAGATATAGTCTGAGTCTTCCAGCTGTAAGATGTCATCTGTAACCTATTATTATACTGGAATCCTGTTGGTGTTGTTGTAAGGTGTGAGGGAGGGGAGCCTTCTATAATATTCTAATTAAACCTTTTAGTGGGCCTGTGTCTCTGAACTGGTTTTTTTGTTTGTTTTGTTTTGTTTTTTGTTTTGAGATGGGAGTCTTACTCTGTTGCCCAGGCTGGAGCACAGTGGCACAATCTTGGCTCACTGCAATCTCTGTCTCCTGAGTTCAAGCAATTCTCCTACCTCAGCCTCCTGAGTAGCTGGAACTATGGCCATGGACCACCACACTCAGCTAACTTTTTTTTTTTTTTGTAGTAGTAGAAACAAGATTTCACCATGTTGGCCAGGTTGGTCTTGAACTCCTGACCTCAAGTGATCCACTCACCTCGGCCTCCCAAGGTGTGAGCCACCACACCCAGCCTGAACTATAATTTTCCCAAGTTTTCTATAGCTTCTCTTTTCCCCCTTCCCTTAGGTGAGACCGGGAGGCTAGAGGGGGCTGGAATGGGACACTCTTCCCTAAAGGCTCTGGGACAAGCTTCTGATGAAGATTTTTACTCTGGAGAATAGGCCTTTATTACAGAAAAAGCTCTGAACATATTTCACAATTATTAGTCCTTTCCTCTCCGTGATAGAGCCACGAAGGGATCTTTCTTAGATCTTTACCATGACAGCCTGGGTTGCTAGAGGTAAAGCCCATGAAATTTTGAGGGTGCCCTTAAGACTGAGGTCCCCAGGAACGTCTTCCTATTATGCTAATCCACACTTAACCTTCAACAATTCAAGAAAATGACCATTTAAACGTCGTATTAGTTCATGGCTCCAGTGATTTCTGCTCCAGATAGTAGATCTTGGCTGTGACTCTTTGGATCCTTCAGTTACGCTATATTCTGGGGTGGCACTTGCCTGGCAACCTCAGTTCTCTAGTGGATCCAAAAAAGTCATTGCTTTTCAGTTTGTCTAGAATGGGAGTAACAACTTCTGATCTCAAGGCCTAAAATTGGAAGTTGATTCATTTAACTTTTTAAAAAATGAAAAGAATTTTTTTTAAATGTAACTTATTTACATGTTTTCAAAGTCAAATATACACACAAAACATCTATGAAACAAAGTATATTAAGGATTTCATATCCCATTCCTGTCCCACTTACCATGTATTTTCCTTCCCTTATAGTAACTATTTCTTTAAAAAACAAAAACTAGGCTGAACACGTTGGCTGACGCCTGTAATCCCAGCACTTTGGGAGGCTGAGGCAAGCAGATCACTTGAGTCTAGGAGTTGAAGACCAGCCTGTGCAACATGGTGAAGCCCCGTCTCTACAAAAAATACAAAAATTAGCTGGGTATGGTGGTGTGCACCTGTAGTCCCAGCTACTCAGGAGGCTGAGGTGGGAGAATTGCTTGAGCCTCGGAGGCAGAGGTTGCAGTGAGCCAAGATCATGCCACTGCACTCCAGCCTGGGAGACAAAGTGAGACCCTGTCAAAAAAAAAAAAGAAAAAAAAAAAGAAAAAACTTTTGGTTTATCCTCCTATTGCTGTTGTGGCCTTTAAGTAAATGCCCTATGTAATTGTGATGCAGAAGGGTCAGAAGGGTCTTGGATCCACTTTGAGAGAACACTGCCCTATGGAAATATGTCTCATAAGGGAGTCAGCAAATGTGCATTTACAAAAAGAGAGGAGAAAAGAAAGAAGGATGTAAAGAAAGAAGAAAGAAGAAAAAGGAAGGAAGAAACAAAAGAAGGAAGGAAGGAAAGTGAAAGGAAAGGAAATGAAAAGGAAAGAAGGAAATAAATGAATTACCAATTCAGAGAATTACAAGATAAATAACCACCTCACTATTTCTACCAAGTTCTAGAAACCTAACTCTAAAGGCCTACATAACAAAAAGTCTGGTCATAGGAGGATTCCAAGTTTGGCTAATTGAGAGGCTCAAGAATGTCATCATGGCCCCAGGT
This sequence comes from Homo sapiens, assembly GCF_000001405.40. Classification (NCBI taxonomy): domain Eukaryota; kingdom Metazoa; phylum Chordata; class Mammalia; order Primates; family Hominidae; genus Homo; species Homo sapiens. The sequence goes on along the minus strand of NC_000012.12, from coordinate 106,570,377 downwards.
TCCTCCCACATTCAAGCTCTGCTTTCTGCTTGCTCTCGTCCTCTGCTTATCTTTCCTCACCATCACAAGATGGCTGTAGCTGCTAAAGCATCATGCCTACCTAATACACTTCTCAAAGATTGAATGGAGGAAAGAGAATGCATCCCTTCCTTCTGTCCTTTCTTAAGAGTAGAAGAACTTTCTCAAAAGCCTCTTGGAAGATTTTCCCCCTTATACCATCAGATAATTGATTTTTACCTGCCCATTCCTTAACCAATACTAGGCAAAGGGAAAATAAATACCATGATAGGTTAAGATGAACCAAAATTCTCCTCTAGGTCTGGATAAAGGTCTGTCCTCCTCTGAAACACACAGGAATAGGCAGACAGCCAGGAGTGTATGCCATACTATTTAAAAGAAGATCAGCCTTGCATAACTTCATGCTGTGTAGTGGGAAGGACCCTTTTGCTCAACTAAAAAATATACATCTTGTCCATGAATACCTTCACCCCAGGTCCTTGCCTTCCAGAGCACATGACCTCCAGCTCTCTCCTGTTTGATTCCCATTAACAATTCACTTGTGAGAAAGAGTATTCACTGCACAAAGCTTTGTGTCCCACCCATTTCTCAAGACAGTATCTTCAAAATGGTTCTGTGGTTTGGTTTGACAGGTGTAAAGAAGACTCATGTTCCCAGCTCTGCAAAAATACCTCTCCTGCTTCTTGTTCATGAGAAGAATGGATTCACCACAGTGAAAGGCTTTACTCTTTGTAGCCAGTGCTTTTGCATATAATAGGCTGTTTTAAGGGAATATGCATTGAATGAGTGAATGAATGAAAATTCACCTTTAAAATGCACAAATAACTGGGAGAAAATAATTTACACATCTAATACACTTCCAAGAGAAATTTTCATATGCTTTTATTTCATTTGGAATTGGTAGGACTTAGTCAAGACAACTTTTATTTTTCTTTTTTAAAAAATTCTTTTTGCCTTTGTTCAATAACAGAAGTAATACATGTTTGCTATAAAACTCAAATTATGGCCAGGAATGGTGGCTCACACCTGTAATTCCAGCACTTTGGGTGGCCAAGGTCAGTGGATCACTTGAGGGCAGGAGTTTGAGACCAGCCTGGCCAACATGGTGAAACCCTATCTCTACCAAAAATACGAAAACTAGCCGAGTGTGGTGGTTCACGCCTGTAATCCCAGCTACTCGGGAGGCTGAGGCAGGAGAATTGCTTGAACCCAGGAGGTGGATTTGCAGTGAGCTGAGATCAGGTGTGGTGGTACACGCCTGTAATCCCAGCTACTCAGGAGGCCGAGGCAGGAGAATCCCTTGAACCAGGGAGGTGGATGTTGCAGTGAGCCAAGATTGGGCCACTGCACTCCAGCCTGGGCAACAGAATGGGACTCCATCTTAAATAAATAAATAAACAAATAAATAAATAAATAAAATTTATGAAGATATATTAAAAATTAATAATCTACCTTTCCCTCTATAATTCTATTGTGGTAACACATATTAATAGTTTGGTGCATGTGATTCCAAACCTTTTGCTATGATCAAACATAAACAAATCGGATAAGAATATTTCATAGTTTGGTTGTACCAAAATTTCTCCAATCTTTCCCTTATTGAAGGTCCTTCACTTTGCTTCTAGGGGACTTTTTTTTTTTTTGCCCTCAGAGATAATGTTACAGTAGACCATCCTTGTACTAGCAAGTACTAGTGCTTTTATTTCTATGAAATAGATTGCTGTGAAGGGGATTGCCAAACCATTTAATATTTTAGTGACTGTGTTAATCTGTTTTGTGTTGCCATGAAGGAATACCTGAGACTCAGATATTTATAAAGAAAAGAGGTTTATTTAGCTCACGGTTCCATATGCTGTACAGGCATGGCACCAGCATCTGCTTGGCTTCTGGCGAGACCTAAGGAAGATTTTACTCAGGGTGGAAGGTGAAGGAGGAGCAGGTGAGTCACACGGAAATAGAGGGAGCAAGAGAGAATACAGGAGGTGCTGGGCTCTTTGAAGCAGCCAGCTCTTGTGTGAACTAACAGAGTGAGAGCTCACTCCTTCCCTTGGGGTGGGCACCAAACCATCCATGAGGGATGTGCTTCTGTGGCCCAAACACCCACTAGGCTTCACCTCGAACACTGGGGAGATCACATTTCAACATGAGACTTGAGGACAACAAATATCCAAACCATATCAATGACCTTGATGCATTGCTTTCCCCAAAAGTTTAAAAGTTCACAGTTCTACCACCAATACATGAAAGTGCCAGTTTCTGCAATGCCCTTCTGTGCACTCAATGTTATTACTTAAGAACAATTTTTAAAGCCAAATGTTGAGTAAAAATGAATAATTGCTGTTTTAATTTGTATTTTGTTGAATACTAGTGGGTACTCAGCACATTTTCTTGTGTTTGACTTTTGCATTTTGTGCTTTGTGAACTGCCCGTGTTAGGCATCTTCTAAAATGGCTCTCAGTGATCCCTGCCTCCTGGGATTCATACATTTGCATAATCCTCTCTCCTTGAATGTGGGCCAGACTTAGTGGCTCCCCTCTAGTGATAGAACATGGCAAAGGTAATAGGATGGTACTTCCGATTTTTTCCATTCTATGGTTTGCTCTTTGAGGGTCTTATTTAAGAATTCCTGTCTCCAGCATTACATTCATTTTTCTTTCATTCACTTGACCTTTTATCATTCCATCTAGGCACTTAGTCCATCTGTAGTTCGCCTTTGTATTGTTTTGCAATGTTTTTCCAGTATGGTTAACCATTCTTTTTCCATCAAAACATGTCTCAGTCAGCTTGTCCTGCCATTAAAAAATGCCATAGACTGGGTGGTTTAAACAACAGAAAATGATTTTCTCACAGTTCCTGAGGTGAGATGTTCAATTCTGCCAATTCTGTGTCTGGTGAAGGCTCTCTCCCTAGCTTGTGGACAGCCACCTTCTTGCTATGTCCTCCTATGGCCTTTCCTTAGTGTGTGGGCAGGGAGATAGAGAAAGAGATTTCTCCCTTTTTTTTTAATACTAGTGCACAAAATTTATGTATGCTTGCCTGTTTTTCAGGGAGAAAAATCTTCATTAATCATGGTGAGAAGAAACTCAACTCCTTGGACCATAAAAATACAACACCCAGGTATCACTTGTAGCCAGGTGCCTGATTTATACCTAGCAGGAGTTAAAGCAGCTATGGCACACTGGCCTGGAAAACACACTTATGGAAGGTCATGGTCTAGTTCTCTAAAACAGTAGGGAGGCTGCTTGTGGGGAAGGCTCCCCAGTAGGATCCCACCACACAAAAGATTCTTCCTTGATTGCTCATAAAGGCTCATCCACTCTCCACACCCAAAGACAGCCGTATGGGTATCTAACTGGAGTGGCCCAAGATGATCCAGAGGAAATTCAAGACGCAGATGCTATTCAGTGCAGAACAGATGCTTCCTGGTATCTTTGTGGTCTAGATGGCTGACACATTCTTTTGCCAAGAAAAGCATTTCAAAGCATGGTCCACGACTCTAGAAACCCTTTTCCTCTGCTTGGGGGCAGTGAGAGATGGATCAGTCAATCCAGCTGCTGGATTCTGTCTCTTGTTCATGCCTCTTAGTTAAAGGCAGATCCTGTAACTGGCCCAAGGTGACCCATGTGCAGGTGATGCCCTGCAGTCTGACCCCCACCCCAGCTGTCACATAGACAGTTCTAGGACCAACAAGGCATTGAACCCACCAAATTGGTTCCAGTTTTTATAAAGGTAGTTTTTAATGCTGGTGTGATGGTGATGAAACAGACATGGACATTTCAACTCAGGAATAGCCAAATGGAAGAGATGTGTAGGGCAAGCTGTGGGGAAGCAGGGGGATGCGCGTGTCTGTATGTCCAGAACTGTCATGTCTTCTCTTGGGTGCCACCCTCCCAAATCTCAAGGTATTCACCAACCTGGAAGCTCCTCCCTCTTCCTATAAGGCCACCAATCCTGTCGGCTTAGGGCTCCACTCTGATGACCTCCTTAAACCTGAATTACCTCCTAAAGGCCCTGCCTCCAAATACAGTCACACTGGGGGCTAGAGCTTCAACATATAATTTTGGAAGGACACAATTCATAATTCAGTCCACAGCAACTATCTGTTAAATAATCTATATTTTCCCCACTGGTGTGTGGCACCACCACAATCATACTCTAATTTCCCATATAGGCACTCTTTAGTCATTTTCTTTCATCTGTTTGCTTCTTCCTGACCTGGTTCCATTCTACCTTTATCACTATGTCTTTGTAACATTTTTTATATCTGGTAAAGCAAGTTTCCCTTTCTCTTCTTTTTCAAAACTGGCTTAGTGGTTCATGGAATTAAATTTTTCATATATATTTATTTTAGAAGAAATTTGTCAAATTTATCAAAAATCCTTGAGCAATTTCTTTCCTTCTTTCTCCTTCCTTCCTCCCTCCCTTCCTTCTCTTCCTTTCTTCCTTTCCTTCCTTCCTTCCTTCCTCCCTCCCTACCCCCTTTTTTTCTTTCTCTTCTTTCTTTCCCTCCTTCCCTCCCTTCCCTTCCTTCCTTCCCTCCTTCCATCCCTCCCTCCCTCCCTCCATTGCCCAGGCTGGAGTGCAGTGGCACAATCACAGGTCACTGAAGCCTCGACCTCCCAGGGCTCAACTGATTCTCCTGCCTCAGCTTCCTGAGTAGCTGAGACTACAGGCACACACCATCACCCAGCTAATTTTTTGATTTTTTTTTTTTTTTTAAAGACGGGGTCTCATTATGTTGCCCAGGCTGCTCTTGAATTCCTGGGCTCACTCGATCCTTCCACCTCAGCCTCCCAAAATACTTGGATTACATGCGTGACCCACCATGCCCAGCCCTTTGAGTAATTTCAGTTGAACTTGCATTAAATTGTTGAGTTGAATCAGTATGTTTACATGTCACTCCACATATAAACATGGAATAATCTGTTCATTTATTTTAAAAAAATATGTCCTTTAAGTTTGTTGGTAAAAGTCTGCCTTAGTTTGTTCAATTTAGTCAGGAACTTATGGTTTGGTTTCTATTATTAATGCTATCTTGTTTATCCTGTTTTATACGTGGTTATTGCTAGTATAGAGGAACACTATTGGATTTTTTTTTTCATAACTTTGCTGAGGTATGTGGCAGTCAGGTAGACGTGTGACTCAGATCTCTTTTAAGAGAATCTGCTGTGGGAGCATGGTTGACTGACAGCTGCTGCTGCTGCCTCTCTGTGGCTACCATCACAGTCTTACCTATGGCTCCCAGTGACTGGGTACAGTAGTGGTAATAGCGCCGGTGCATTCTTGCAGAATGCAAGCTTTGTCTGAAGGCCCCCCGTTTGCCCGGCTGAACCATTTTTAGAACGTTGCTGCAGACTGAGAGTTGTCCTACCTAATCTTTCTTCCTTCCCCCTTTCCTTTCACAGATATGAGTCAGGCGTTACCATGTGACGATTCTCCCCATCTTTTTCTACTCTTTTTTACCCTTCACAGGAATTTTTCTCCCAATACATTTCTTGCATGTCTAATCTTGCTTTGTCTCCTGCTTCTTGGAGGACTAGAACTGAGAGAAGGGATGATTTACATTTAGTGAAATGCACAGATCTCATTTACAGTTCCATGAGTATGACAAATGCTTACACTTGTGTGTCTCATACTACCAACTATACTTGCTGACTTAGTTATTTCTTTCAATTGTCATTTAAAAATATGTGTTTCAGTGCTTTCTTAGGTGAATATACAGGTGTGATCATATATCTGTTGAAATATGCCTTACAAATATAAAGCTTCCTTCTTTGTCACATATCTATTTGTTCTGATAATAAAATTGCTCTCTTTAAGATCCTATTTCTCTGGTGTATTTATCTCCCTTCTTGTATTTTTTATCTTTTTGTATTCTCTTGCTTTAAGTGTTTCTCTCATAGATAACATTAGATATTAATCCTCTCTGCATCTTTATCTTTTTATACTAGTGAATTTTATACATATGACCTTCCTTTCATGTATTCTATTTACCACACTTTCTGTTCCTTTTATTTCCTCTTACTACTTGCCATTAGAAAGGGTAAAATTAAACCAGGTTTTTGTTTTAGTAAGTTATGAACGACTACCCAAAGAATAAAATTGAATGTATAATTTCAAGCAAGAGACATTTCAATCTATCTAATCATTTTTAATTATCGATTGTCACATACATGTTTTGTTTGCTTATTTCATTGTAATGGTTGCTGAGTTTTACAACAGAATTTACCAAATTATTTATTCACCCTTCCATTTTTGACCACATCCTCCTTGTTTCCTTCTTGCTAGAGCACTTCCTTGAATATTTTCAAAGAGGGTGTTTCTATGGCAAACATGAATTATTAACATTAAATATTACTATTAATTATCATATTTAAATGATAGTTTAGCTGGATTTAGAATTTTAGGTCCTAAGTTCTTTTACTTTAATACTGAAAATATTACTCTGTGGTTTCCTTGTAGATGTCACTGTTGAGAAACCTGATGTTGGTGATTCTTGTTCCTTTTCAGGCAATTTGTTTTGTATCTCGAAGTGTTTAGAATTTTCTCAATGTCTCTGATGTGCTTAAATGATATGAACATGTATCTAGGTATGTTTTTTTCTTATGTTCCTTATCTTGTTAGGAGTACTTGTACTTTGAGGTCTTAAAAACCTCTCTAATCTGAGAAATTCTCTGTTTACTCTTTCTTTAAATATTCTACTCTTGTTATTTTTTCTTTTCTTCTGAGACTTCTATTAATTGAATGTTGGTGCTTCTGTTTCTATTTTCCATATCTCTTTTCTTTTTTATATTACAACTATAAAACCCATAATGATGCTATCTGGAACTAATACTCCACTACTTTGATTTCTTATCTATGTATTCTGCTATTCAATCTACTAATCAATAGTCAATCCATTGAGTTTTTGTTTCAATTTTTTATACTCAGAAATTCTTCTTGGGGCTTCATTATGCCTTTGGCTTCACAGTATCCTTTCTTATCTGTTTAATATGCTTTCTTGTTCTGTCTGGTCTGCTAAGTTTGCTTTATCTAAGATTAGATTTTTCCATTAGTTGCTTTTCTCTTATATCAGTGGCTAATTATACCCAGGAGTATATTTTTTTCCTAGGAGTTCAAATTCAGAGCTGTCACACTGCAATGCAGTGGCCCTATACCTATTCTTCTAGAATAGAGATTCTCAACCTGGGGTAAATTTGCCCCAACAGAAGAAATTTTTGGTTGTCATCACCTGTGGTGGAGGGTGGAGGAGTATTACTACTGGCTCTAGTGTGTAAAAGCCAGGGATGCACTTAAAAATCCTATAATGTACAGGAAATCCTCCCACAACAAAAACTTATTTGGCCAAAATTTCAATAATGCTAAGGTTGAGAAATTCCGTCCTAGAGGTACTAGATGCCTGAGCCAGTGAGAAAGGCTAAAGCATAAGCCCTAGCTTCTATCTTTCTTGATAAATTTGGCATTGAGGGAGCAGAGAGAAAGAGAGCAAGAGAGAGCTCAGGATGTTACAGTTTGGACTTCCATCTGGACCCCCTTGTTTTCAAGATTTGTCTGTGAAGGAGGAGTCACTATAAAGCAGGGTAGAGGGAGGAAGGAATGCTAAGGGGCTGAGCAGTTTACTTGTACCCACTGTTAACCGGTTCTTAACTACCCAGCTTGGCTACAGTGCCTACTCTGATGTTATCTTGGCAACTCTGGCAGTACTAGACTGGCTGCTTTTTCTGCTTCGCTGTGGCATTGGGGTGGACACATGTCCACTTAGGACAATGTTAAAGAGCAAACGGTGCATCTAAAAGTCTCTTTGAAACATATCTTCCTGCCACCATCCGTGGGACTCAGCCATGCTGGGCTCTGGGCTTCTACTTCTCCCTCACATCAGGACCTAAACACCTACTGTTATACCATAGATTTTTAAATGTGTTTATGTTAGTTTCATAAACATAGTTTCAGGCTTTTGTGAAATTTATGAGGAGGGATTTGGAGGAAAAAATTGGTGAGGCTAAGCTAATATTATTTTGTCAGTAACTGGAACTCCCAAATCATTTGAGTTTTAAAACTGTATAGCTGTGTCTGTCTGATAAAACAAACATTAATTTAAAAATAAAAGAACAAGCAAACTGAAGAAACCAAGGGGATGTGCAAAATTTACCATCTGAGTGGTACCAAAGGAGTCTACATTAGTTAGAATTGGTTCAGCTGGAGTAAAAGATTCAGAATAACAGTGGCTTATTCAGGATATAAGTTTAATTTTTTAATATAAGTGTGTGAAGTAGAGATATTTCAACTTATTTTCTCTTGCATGATCTCCATTTCCAAGATTACTTCAGAGTCCAAGATGGTGGCTCCAGCTCTGGTCATCATGTATATGGAAGAACAAAGGGAAAAAGAAGAGGCAAAGAGTGTATGGCTTAGTTTATTTAGTGTTGCTATAAAGGAATATCTGAGGCTGAATAATTTATAAAGAAAAGAGGTTTATTTGGCTCACAGTTCTACAGGTTGTACAGGCATGGCACCAGCATCCGGGTCTGATGAGGGCCTCAGGAAGCTTCCACTCACGGCAGAAGGCAAAGGGAGCCAGTGTGTGCAGAGATCACAGGGTGAGAGAGGAAGCAAGAGAGAGTAGAGGAGGTGCCAGGCTCTTTTTAACAACTAGCTCTCGTAGGAACTAATAGAGTGAGAACACACTCACCCCGAGGGGGAAGGCATTGATCTATTAATGAGGAATCTCAACATGAGGTTTGGAAGGGACAAATATCAAAATTACAGGATTATGTAACTATATTTTAAGAAAGATGTGTTAATTTTCTATTGCAGCATAACAAACCACCCCAAAACTTAGTGGCTTCACATAACAATAACTTATCATATGTTATGATTCTGTGGGTAGATGGCTTTTCATGGTGTTGGCCAGCATTCTGACACAGTTGATAGATCCAAAATGACTGCAACCACATGGCTGGCAAGTTGGCACTGGCTATTAGCTAGGAGCTCAGCCAGGGTCATGGCCTGAAGCCTGCTCTCCTTCATGAGGTTTCTTCCTCACAGTTGCTTGAGCTTCCTTGTAGCATGGAAGTTGTGTTCAAAAAGGATCATTCTGAACATAAGTATGTGGAGAAGAAGGAAACAGAAGCAGCCAATCCTCTTAAGGCCCAAGCTTGGAAGTCCCAAGATGTCCCTGCTACTATATCCTATTGGTCAAAGCAGTCACAGGGCCAGCCCAGAGAAGGGGTGGACATGTTCCACCTCTTGATGTGAGAATGGCATGCACATACAGGGTGAAGGGGAATTGCTGGGGGCCATCTTTGGAGGATAGCAACCATAGAAGCTTCCTGGAAGTTGCCATAGGCCACCCCTGCTTACCTCCCATCAGCCAGAACTAAGTCATATGGCCATACTTAGCTACAAGGGAGACTGGGAGATATAGTTTTTAAACTGAGCAACCATATGCCTACATAAAAACTGTGGGTTCATCCTTTATGGAAGAATGAAGAATATCCAACACAGGCTTGAAATGAGTCATCAAAACATGAATGGCCTGAAGTGGTTATCAGGAACCAGGATGCAAAACCAAGGGTTGGAAAGCCAGGGAGACTAGAAAAAAGAATGGCAAGTTGAGTGGGCAGACAAAATGGCTCACTGCAAGAATACAGTTTAGCAGATCCAATGACAAAGGATACTTTAAAAAATTATATTTTATTCATCAGTGTATCCACTGATTGTCAAATACTTATTGATTCCCGACTACAGACTAGGCACTGGGTTAAGTGCTAGGAATATAACAAGAATAAGACACTGTCCCTATACTCTGGGGCAGATGCAAGGTAAAGGCAAAAATAAAAGACAAGGCTAGCTAGCATACACTTCCACTATTCCCGGTGTAGATGACACTTTATGTGAGTACCATCACATAAGGGTAGAAGCAATACTAAGCAGCAGAGCACCTCCAAGAACCTTTATTCAGAAGAGTGGTAAATACAGTCATGCACCACGTAATGACGTTTTAGTCAACAACAGACTGCATATGTGATGGTGGTTCCATAAGATTATGATGGAGTTGAAAAATCACCTAGTGACATCTTGATGATTCTGACCCTGTGTAAGCCTAGGCTAATGTATGTGTTTGTGTCTTAGTTTTCATTGTTGTTGTTGGAGACAGAGTCTTGCTCTGTCACCCAGGCTGGAATGCAGTGGCACAAACTCGGTTCACCGCAACTGCTGCTTCCTGGGTTCAAGCAATCCTCCCAGTGTGCTGGGACTACAGGCACATACCACCACTCCTGGCTCATTTTTGTATTTTTTGTAGAGACAGAGTTTCACCATGTTGCCCAGGCTGGTCTGAGAGATCTGCCCACCTTGGCCTCCCAAAGTGCTGGGATTACAGACATGAGCCACTGTGCCCCGCCTGTGTCTTAGTTTTTAATAAAAAACATTAAAAAGTAAACAATAAATTCAAAGATTAGAAAAAAGCATATAGAATAAAGATGAAAAAAGAAACTATTTTTGTACAGCTGTATAATGTTTGTTTTAAGCTGTGTTACTACAAGAGTCAAAAAGTTTTTTAAAAAATTAAGCGTATAGGCTACCTGACTTCAAACTATACTACAAGGCTACAGTAACTAAAACAGCATGGTACTGGTACCAAAACAGAGATATAAACCAATGGAACAGAACAGAGCCCTCAGAAATAATGCCATATATCTACAACTACGTGATCTTTGACAGACCTGACAAAAACAAGAAATAGGGAAAGGATTCCCTATTTAATAAATGGTGCTGGGAAAACTGGCTAGCCATATGTAGAAAGCTGAAACTGGATCCCTTCCTTACACCTTATACAAAAATTAATTCCAGATGGAATAAAGACTTAAATGTTAGAACTAAAACCATAAAAACCCTAGAAGAAAACCTAGGCAATCCCATTCAGGACATAGGCATGGGCAAGGACTTCATGTCTAGAACACCAAAAGCAATGGCAACGAAAGCCAGAATTCACAAATGGGATCTAATTAAACTAAAGAGCTTCTGCACAGCAAAAGAAACTACCATCAGAGTGAATAGGCAACCTACAGAATGGGAGAAAATTTTTGCAATCTACTCAACTGACAAAGGGCTAATATCCAGAATCTACAAAGAACTCAAACAAATTTACAAGAAAAAAAACAAGCAACCCCATCAACAAGTGGGCGAAGGATATAAACAGACGCTTCTCAAAAGAAGACATTTATGCAGCCAAAAGACACATGAAAAAATGCTCATCATCACTGACGATCAGAGAAATGCAAATCAAAACCACAATGAGCTACTATGTCACACCAGTTAGAATGGCGATCATTAAAAAGTCAGGGGAACAACAGGTGCTGGAGAGGATGTGGAGAAATAGGAACACTTTTACACTGTTGGTGGGACTGTAAACTAGTTCAACCATTGTGGAAGTCAGTGTGGCAATTCCTCAGGGATCTAGAACTAGAAATATCATTTGACCCAGCCATCCCATTACTGGGTATATACCCAAAGGATTATAAATCATGCTGCTATAAAGACACATGCACGTGTATGTTTATTGCAGCACTATTCACAATAGCAAAGACTTGGAACCAACCCAAATGTCCAACAATGATAGACTGGATTAAGAAAATGTGGCACATATACACCATGGAATACTATGCAGCCATAAAAAATGATGAGTTCATGTCCTTTGTAGGGACATGGATGAAGCTGGAAACCATCATTCTCAGCAAACTATCACAAGGACAAAAAACCAAACACAGCATGTTCTCACTCATAGGTGGGAATTGAACAATGAGAACTCATGGACACAGGAAGGGGAACATCACACACCAGGGCCTGTTGTGGGGTGGGGGGAGGGGGGAGGGACAGCATTAGGAGATATACCTAATGTAAATGATGAGTTAATGGGTGCAGCACACCAACATGGCACATGTATACATATGTAACAAACCTGCATGCTGTGCACATGTACCCTAAAACTTAAAGTATAAGAATAATAAAAAAAGAAGCTTCCTTTGGAGGTAATGGCTGGTCTGATAATTCACCTGGGGAAATTAGGCTACTAGCTGCAGTCATTGCCTGCCTCACCACTGAAGGATCTGTAAAATACCATAGAATTTCACCTATTTTGATTTTGGCTGTATGATATCCGGGACAAAGGGGGCAATATATGAATAAATATGAGTGATTAAAAAAAATTGAGTGTATAAAGTAAAAAAGTTACAGTAAAGTAAGGTTGATGTATTATTGAAGAAAGAAAAATATTATTTATAAATTTAGTGTGGCCTAAGTGTATAGTGTTCATAAAGTCTACAGTAGTGTACAGTACTGTCCTAGGCCTTCCCATTCACTCACCACTCACTGACTCACCCAGACCAACTTCCAGTCCTACCAGCTCCATTATAAGTGTACTATAGAGGTGTACCATTTTCATCTTTTATCCAGCATTTTTTCTGTATCCTTTTTATGTTTAGATGTGTTTAGATACACAAATATTTTCCATGAGGTTATAATCATCTACAGTATTCAGTACAGTCACATGCTGTACATGTTTGTTGCATGGGAGCAATAAGCCATATAACATAACCTAGGTGCGTAGTAGACTATACCATCTAGGTTTATGTAAGTGTACTCTATGATGTTTGAACAACAATGAAATTGCCTAACAACAGATTTCTCAGAACTATCCCTGTCATTAAGTGATGCATCACTATATTTTCATATTTGATAGCATTTCCTAAATCCTCATCTTAAATGCCAAATTCCCATAATAGCTATTCCTCAGATTCCAAACTATTAATAGTTAAGCCCCATTGTAGACATCTGTGAGTTTGGTTTTTTCAATATCTATTCACACTCATTTCATTAAAAACAGCTGTGTTTTTCCTTTGATAGCATCTACTTTATGTGTTTGAACTATATGGAATTGACCCCATCACTAGTTCCAGTGAGTGGACATGCGGCTCAAACCTAGCTAGAGCTTTTGTTAGAATTCTTGCAAAGGGCAGTTGAAACTGATGGGTGAAATGCTGAATCTACCGGAAGTCACCTGAGAGGGGAGCCTGGCTGAGACTGAATCCCACGTGGATGGAAACAGCTGACAAATGAAGGGGAGAGTCCCAGTGATGCCTTTGGAGTGGCTGGGTTTAACCATGCCTGAAGTTGGCTCTTCTCTTAGGATTTTCAGATATGTCAGCCAAAAAATTCACCTTTTTTTTGCTTAAAGCAATTCTAGTTTTGTTTCTGCTACTCACAACCAAAAGAGTCCCAACCAAATCATTCCTTATATGATAGACTTTCAGCGTACCCTGTTCTTCTCCTTTGAGCCGCTTGGCCAAACATCTCCTAATTACTGTTACAGTGTTCATCTCCCCATGGATCCCTCTCCTCTGACCAGGTGCTCATTGAGCTGAATGGTGACTGGGACTGCCTACACTATTTCCACAGTGTTGACCTGTTTGTCTCCCTCTTTTTAAACACAAGGCTGAATTCCCCAGGTTAAATGCTTGTATGTGCTACCCCCATCCACTGCCTTCTCTCTGGCAATGGCTGATGACTGTGAATACCACCTCTCCACACTCCATCAGGCTAAAACCATCTCAGCCATGCTCTGTCACTTAGAAAACTTCCTGGCTCATAATAAATGCTCAATAAACATTAGTGACACTGATTATAATTAAAATCAATAGTACAAAAGTATAACTAAGGATAACTTTAATTATTCTTCTTTTCCTTTATTCTGCACTTAACAATGTATGCTGAAGCTTATGACATTTTATATCTATGTGGTGCTGCTTTGGTCTTTACATTTTTTAATGGTATTTTTTCTTATACATGTTCCATAATTAATTGATTTCATCTTTGTTGGCATTAGGTTATTTCTAATCTTTTTTTCTGGTATAAACAATGCAACAGTAAATCTCCTTGTACATTCATTTTCTGTACATGTGTAACTGCGTAGGATATATTACTAGACATTTAATTGCTGAATGAAAGAGAACATTTATTTTAGAATCAGCTTATCAAGTACCACGAACACCTCATTAGAATCGTTGTTGGATTTTGTTAAGTCTATAGATCATTTTGGGGAGAATTGTCATGTTTATGTTACTGTCTTTCTATCCATCAACATAACAGTTCTACTTAAATATTTTATCTTAGTTAATGTCAAAGAACAAGGCTGAAAGAAGTCAGTATCTTCTAAAGAAAAAAAGGAAGGAAGAGAACCTTGACCTACTAGCTATTAGGGCTGACTGTGAAGCTCCAGTAGTTGATAAATTTGTCTCTATAAGAACTGTTCAATAAAATACATTGGAAAGAAAGTGAAAATGCAAGTAATTAGCTATCTGCTTTAATGATTGCTACATCAACATTGTGTCCCCACCAAATCTCATCTTGAATTGTAACTCCCACAGTTCCCACATGTCGTGAGAGGAACCCGGTGAAAGGTGATTTAATTATCGGGACGGGTCTTTCCTGCGCTGTTCTCATGATAGTGAATGAGTCTCACAGGGTCTGATGGTTTTAAAAATGGGAGTTTCCCTGTACAAACTCTCTTCTCTTCTCTCATCTGCCACCATGTGAGACGTGCCTTTCACCTTCTAGTGTGAGGCCTCCGCAGCCACATGGAACTGTAAGTCCAATAAACCTTTTTTTTTTTTTTTGTAAATTGCCCAGTCTCAGGTATGTCATTATCAGCAGCATGAAAACGAACTAATACATCATTGGTTTTTCAATTTTATATGTGATTTACCTGTAATGCTAGCACTTTGGGAGGCAGAGGTGGGAGGATTACTTGAGGCCAGGAGTTCAAGACCAGCCTGGGCAACATAGTGAGGCTCCATTTTCTACAAAAATTTTAAAAAGTAGCTGTGTGTGTGGTGTGCACCTGTAGTCCCAGCTACACTTGAGCCCAGGAGGTTGAGGCTACAGTGAGCCATGACTGTGCCACTGCACTCTTGCCTGGGCAACATAGTGAGATCCTGTCTCAAAAATCAACAAATAAAAATCCAACTGGATAGCTGCTTTTTTATACCAGGTAACTTATTTCATGGTTTGAATGGTGGTGTCTAAAAAGGTGTGCCCACTTCCTTACCCCCATAGTCTGTGAATGTGACCTTATTTGGACAAAGTAGATGTAGTCAAGTTAAGGATCTTGAGATAAGATCATCTTGGACTATTCAGATGGGCACTAAATCCAATGACAAATGTCCTTCTAAGAGATAACCAAAAGAGAGAGAACAGAACGCCATGTGAAAGAGGTAGAGATTGGAGTTATGCAGTTACATGCTGTATTAGTCCATTCTCACACTGCTATAAAGAACTAACTGAGACTGGGTAATTTATGAAGAAAAGAGGTTTAATTGACTCACAGGTCTGCAGGCTGTATAGGAAGCATGCTTGGGGAGGCCTCAGAACACTTATAAAATAATCATGCTAGAAGGTAAAAGGGAGGCAAGCACGTCTTCACGTGGCCAGCAGGAGAGAGAGAGCGAGCAAAAGGAGAGGTGCTACACACTTTTAAACAATCAGATCTCGTGAGAACTCTCTCAGGAGAAAGCACTAAGGGGATGGTGCTAAACTATTAGCAACCATCCCCACGATCCAATCGCCTCCCACCAGGCCCCATCTCCAACAATGGGAATTACAATTCAACATGAGATTTGGATGGGGACACACTGCCAAACCATATCACATGCCAAGGAATGCCTGAAGCCACCAGAAGCTGGAAGAGGCAAGGAAGGATCTTCCCCTAGAATCCTGAGGGAGCACTTTCCCTGCTGATATCTTGATTTTGGACTTCTGCCTTCCAGAATTGTGAGAGAATGAGCTTTGGTTATTTAAGCCACCAAGTTTATAATAATTTCTTATGGCAGCCCTAGGAAATTAATATAATCTATAATATAATTAATCTATAAATATAATCTATTATTAATATAACTAATGTTTATTTATATTTATTGGCATAAATAGCATAGACTTTTAACAACTTTTAACACTTATTTTTGTGTTTTGCTTACCATCCTTTTTATTTGCTGCTTTACTTTCTTCCCTGATTTCTGTTGGATTGAAAATGTTTTGTATATTTTTTCACCCTCCTCTGTGCTGATTGTCTTTCTATTCTTCCAGAGGTTTCCCATGAAGTTTTAGCTATATATTCAATTAATCTTTGTATAAAAAGACTAAAGTCACAAATGAAACAAGCTTAACACACTTTAACTGCCCATTGACTATAACTCCCACTTAATGTTGATTTACGGATTTTACCTTTTTTTGGCGGGGGGATGGAGTCTCACTCTGTCACCCAGGCCAGAGTGCAGTGGCACAATCTAGGCTCACTGCAACCTCTGCCTCCTGGGTTCAAGTGATTCTCCTGCCTCAGCCTCCCAAGTAGCTGGGATTATAGGCATGAGCCATCATGCTTGGCTAGTTTTTGTATTTTTAGTAGAGACGGGGTTTCACTATGTTGGCCAGGCTGGTCTTGAACTCCTGACCTCAAGTGATCTGCCTACCTTGGCCTCCCAAAGTGCTGGGATTACAGGTGTGAGCCACCGCGCCTGGCCGACACTGAGATTTCTTAATTTGCTTTGGAATTTTGTCTGTAGCCTCATTTTGAGAAGAATCTCCCTCTAACAAACCCCCTTTTCCTCCTCCCTGTCCCTCTCTTTCTCTCTCTGTTCACTCTCCTACCAGCCAGCCTATTGGCACCGTTCCACTTAGTCCACTCCATCCTGAACCAGGTTTCATTTGGCAATGTAAGGTTCCTGCCCCATGGTGATATTGAAGAAATGGCAAATATGCTACCAAGCTGTCAGAGGACAGTTTAATTTAATTCCTGGTCATAAACTGTGCTGTGTTCTTTTCCTCCCTAACACCACAGTTCATGCAAGCCTTGCTCCAGGCAACAATAATTTTTAAGCCTTCTTTCACAGGTAGAAGAACCCTGGGTGCTGCCTCTGGTTTCTGGTGACAATGGTGGCTGCATAGGACAGCTTTTAGACCAAGTTACCCTGCAGAGGACAAATGCCCATCTACCATGGCAAGCTGAGCCTAGTTTGCCTGTTTCATTACCTGGGATTGTTACTCTGTGTTACTGTCCTATTTGCCAGTGCATGGATCTGTTTAATTTGTTTTTGAGCCTGCATATCTTAATTTTCTGTTTGTATATTTTATCCATTATTGAGATCTCTTTGGGTACCTCAATACAGGGACTTACAAAGCTGTATTATTTAATGTTCCAGAAAAAAATGTTGAAGTACTAGAATTCCTAAAATTTTGGTTCAATTCCTGCTGGCAAACCATGTGGGATGTTTTGGTGGAAGATACCTGGCTAAATCTTTGAAAGTTTATTTTGTCTATGTAATTGATCTGTTGAGATTTTTTTCTCTAAGCTGAATATTATACAGTATTTTGTTTTTTCCTGAAAAATCACCTCATTCCATTTGAAGTTTTATTTTATTGTCAGTTGACATATAATAATTGTACATATTTAGGGGGTACAGTGTGATGTTTTGATACATGCATATAATGTGCAATTAGGCTAATTTACATATCAATCACCTCAAACGTATCATTTCTTTCTGGTAAGAGCATTCAAAATCCTCTCTTCTAGCTATTTTGAAATATACTATGTATTATCTTTAACTACAGTCACCTGACTGTGCAATAGAAGACTAGAATTTATTCCTCCTATCTAAGTATAACTTTGTATCTGTTGACTAACCTCATCCTATCCCTCCAAACCTCCTACCTTTCACAGCCTCTGGTAACCACTATTGTTCTACTTCTATGAGATCAATTTTTTTTTTAGATTCCACATATGAGTAATCATTCAATATTTGTCTTTCTGTGCCTGGCTTACTTCACTTAACATAATATGCTCCAGGTTCATCTGTGCTGCCAAAAATGACAGAAATTCATTCTTTTTCATGGCTGAATAGTATTCCATTGTACAAATACACTACATTTCCTTATTCATTCATTCATTGATAGACACTTAGGTTGATTCCATATATTGGCTATTGTGAATAGTGTGCAACAATAAACGTGGGAGTGAAGACATCTCTTAGACTTACTGATTTCATTTCCTTTGGATACATACCCAGTGATGGGATTGCTGGATCATATGGTAGTTCTATTTTTAATTTTTTGAGCAACCTCCATACTGTTTTTCATAATGGCTGTGCTAATTTATGTTCCCACTAACAGTGTGTGAGGGTTCCCTTTTCTCCTTATCCATACCAACACTTACCTTTTGTCTTTTTGGTAATAGCCATTCTAACAGGCGTAAGGTGGAGAGATCGTTCCAAGATGGCCAAATAGGAACAGCTCCGGTCTACAGCTCCCAGCGTGAGTGATGCAGAAGATGGGTGATTTCTGCATTTCCAACTGAGGTACCGGGTTCGTCTCATTGGGACTGGTTGGATAGTGGGTGCAGCCCACAGAATGTGAGCCAAAGCAGGGTAGGGCATCACCTCACCTGGGAAGTGCAAGGCGTCAGGGAATTCCCTTTCCTAGCCAAGGGAAGCCGTGACAGACGGTACCTGGAAAATCGGGACACTCCCGCCCTAACACTACACTTTTCAAATGGTCTTAGCAAACGGCACACCAGGACATTATATCCTACGCCTGCCTCGGCAGGTCCCACTCACACAGAGCCTTGCTTACTGCTAGCACAGCAGTCTGAGATCGAACTGGGAGGCTGCAGCGAGGCTGGGGGAGGGGCATCCACCACTGCTGAGGCTTGACGAGGTAAACAAAGCAGCAGGGAAGCTCAAACTGGGTGGAGCCCACTGCAGCTCAACAGCAGAGGCCTGCCTGCCTCTGTAGACTCCACCTCTGGGGGCAGGGCACAGCTGAACAAAAGGCAGCAGAAATATCTGCAGACTTAAACGTCCCTGTCTGACAGCTTTGAAGACAGCAGTAGTTCTCCCAGCATGGAGTTTGAGATCTGAGAATGGACACACTGCCTCCTCAAGCGGCTACCTGACCCCCGAGTAGCCTAACTGGGAGACACCTCCCAGTAGGGGCCAACTGACACCTCATGCAGCTGAGTGCCCTTCTGAGGTGAAGCTTCCAGTGGAAGGATCAGGCAGCAACATTTACTGTTCTGCAGCCTCCGCTGGTGATACCCAGGCAAACGGTCTGGAGTGGACCTCCAGCAAACTCCAACAGACCTGCAGCTGAGGGTACTGACTGATAGAAGGAAAACTAACAAACAGAAAGGAATAGTGTCAACATCAACAAAAAGGACATCCACACCAAAACACCATCTGTAGGTCACCATCATCAAAGACCAAAGGTAGATAAAACCA